>NC_000023.11:113674979-114281198 GCF_000001405.40 Homo sapiens
CTGTTATGTCAAACAAAATAAGATCTGAGGATTAATTACCAACTACACTGAGAGTGGCGCTCCACTTTTAGTTATGCGGTGGAGAACCATACTGAAGTTGTCTGCAGTTGGTATGGTAAATGTCATGCAGGGAGCATGTGGAACATCTTTTCTGATTGATTCTGTTTCATTACGGAAATAAGAAACAAAAGGATTAGTGGTCTTAGTTGGTACCCTTCCTTATTTTTGTTTTTGGCTTCATGTTTTTTCCCCAATCACTAGACAACCAGGGAAAGCATCCCTTAAAACAGACCTTGATAGAAGGATTTGAATACAAGTAGTTTATTTGGGAGATGCAGGAGTCAACAATAGGAGAGTGGCCATGGAAAGGGAAGGAAGCCAGTAGAGATGCTTTAGTAAACCAGTTACCACAGTGAGCAACTGAAGTTTATTTCCACCAGTAAACTCTAAGTGCAAAACACACACCTCAGGATTATGCCATCTGAGTTGTGAAAGAGCTATGCTATTTAACCACTCCTGAGAGTCATAGGAATGCTGGGGTAGGGAATTACCCAACACTTCTGGCCTCCCTTGGGTACTAGAAGAGTTACCGTCTGTCTTTTTATTAAACTCATTTTTTTAAAAATTATAACATTTATTTTTGCTCTTATTCTAGTTATTCTTTCATCTTCAGAAACACCTATGTTGTTTAGGTTATTTCATTCTTATCTATCTTCCACATATCATATTTCATTATTCTCTTTGTCACTATCTGCATCAGTTTCTTAAATCTGTCTCACTCTATATGATGTGATCCATTTCAAAGGATATACATTTTGCAATTTTGCTAATTGTAATATTGGCTTTATTCCTGCTCTTGCATTTTAAGGTTTATTCCAAGCTACAAGGGCCCAACCCAATCGAACAAAAGTTAAAAAGGAGAGTTATTGGTTTACATCAAATGATATGATCAGCTCTTTTAGGACAAGTCTCCTTATTTATGTCTCTCCAACATCCAGTCTCTCTTCTTTTCTTTCTTCTAGTTGCTTGTTTTATGCTCCCTTACTGCAGATAGGCTCATGCCATGCAGCAGGCAATGTTGACCCCTGATGGACTCAGTTGAACATTGACCGAATATCGCAAAACAAAATTGTAAAAGAGAACTTTTCACATGCACCTGTATGTAACATTTCAGAACTAAACTGCAGAATAATCATTGAATTCAAGGAAATGCGTTATATGATTGGCCTGAATGTAGCAGCTACTGTGGAATTGGGGAAGAGCTGTTTCCTAAAGAAAGGGGAGATGAAGGTTGTTACCAGAGGGAGTGATTAAATACGCTAGACAGAAAATTAAAAAGCATTACCACCCTTCATTACATCTTGGAGCTTACTTGCCACTATGCAATTTACCATTGACAGATCAAACAGTCTTTCAAATCATATCATATTTACTAGTAAATTGTAGTATTAAAATATATGTGACATTAAACTGGGATGAGAATTCTACACATTAAAATTATAATACATTGAGTGTTTATTAAACTATACATACTCTGATAAATTATACCCACTATGTGTCTCTGCTCCCACACCTATCTTGGTGTGAATGACTGTTGTAGTGAATGGTTATTAGTGATTTTTTAGATAATATTTCTCAGGCATATTGCTTGGGAAGAAATTGATAATCATGGAAAACTGATGCAGAAAGCTCAACGTGAAGATAGGGAACAGTGATCTTATTGTGCTAGAAAACAGCGTTCAGGAAATAAGAAGGAAGATGTCCAGGAATTTTTTTAAATTCTTTTTTTTACTCCCGTAGGTTACCGGCGAACAGGTGGTGTTTGGTTACATGAGTGAGTTCTTTGCTGGTGATCTGTGAGATTTTGGTGCACCCATCACCCGAGCAGTATACACTGCACCCAATTTGTGGTCTTTTATCCCTCACCCCCTTCCTTCCCTTTCCCTCTGAGTCCCCAAAGTCCATCGTGTCTTTCTTATGCCTTTGCATCCTCATAGCTTAGCTCCCACATAGGAATTTTTTAAATTGTTGTTAGCACACATCCTGAGGAGAAAACCAAACTGTCTTCCCACCTTATTTTACAGGGATCTTTTTTCTTCTTCAAATTTTGGGAAGGCACTAAGATGAGGTCTAGATAGGTTATTTCCCAATCTAACTCCAGAGACTTAAGAAGCATGCCATAGAGTTGGAGTATCTGAAGAAACACCCTTGAAAAAGTCAAGTGTCAAATTATGTGCATCGGCTCAGTACCACAACTGCTCAGAAGAATAATATAAACTGCTAAACATAACTTTTATGAAAGCCTAACAATCTCAGGCTAAATTCACAAATAAAAAGTTAAAATTAATTAAGTGCTAAATTGCAGCCTAGGTATTTGTTTCTTTAAAGTACAATTAAGATACAGCTTGGAAGACAAGGGTGTGGTAAGTATAGTTGCAAATTCAGCTGCTTTAATAAAGAGGTATGTTTTTAACATAAACAATAAAAATCGAATGATGGAAAATCTTCCTCACAATAAGACATGGACTTTGAAAAAAGCATCACAGCTATTTTACTGATTTAATTTATTTATGTATTTATGGTTTAAGTATATATTATATATTCATTTAAATACAGTAAAATTCATTCTTTTGGGGATACCGATCTATGAGTTATAACTAATGCATGTGATTGGGTAACTGTTACAGCTGTTGCACAGGGAAGTTCTATTACCCTGCAATTAAAAAAATTTCCTTGTACTGACCGTTTGAAATTAAAATCTCCCCAGACTCTCAGATGCTGGCAACTGTGTTCTGTCCTTACAGTTTGCTTTTCCCAGAATATCATACACATGGAATCATACCTTTTGAGTTTGGTTTCTTTTACTGAACATAAGGCACTTGGGATTTATCTATGTTGCTGGGTGTGTTGATAATTTGCTCCTTTCTATTGCTCAGGAATATTCCAGTTGTATGGATATGGCACAGTATGTTTCTTAGCTTCCAAATTGAGGGATGTTTGAGCTGTTTCTAGTTTATGATTATTATGAATAAAGCTGCTATGAACATTAGCATCCAAGATTTTTGGTGAAATATGGTTTCCGTTTTTTCTCAGGTAAATACTTGGAGGAGGAATTTTTTTTCGTTCATATAATAAGTTTAACCTTTTGAGAAGCTGCCAAATTATTTTCCATAGTGGCAGTACTATTTTGCATTCCTATCAGCAAAATATGAGTGTTCTGCTTGTTCCATATCCTTCTCAGCTCTTGGCATTGTCAAATTTTTGGATTTCAGTCAATCCAATAGGTATGCAGCAATATCTTATTCTGATTTTAATTTGCACCTAACTAAATGACTAATGATTTTGAACATCTTTTCATGTGCTTATTTGCCATTAAAATATCTTCTTTTGTGAAGTGTCAGTTCATATTGTCTATTTTTTCATTGGGTTTTTTTTCTATAGTTAAGTTTTGAGTGACCTTTAAATATTAGGATAAAAGTGACTTGCAAATATTTTTCTCTGTCTACAGCTTTTCTTTTATTTATTTATTTGTTTATTTATTTATTTATTTGAGACAGGGTCTCACTTTGTCTTCCAGGCTGGAGTACAGTAAGTGACATGATCACCACTCACTGCATCCCCAAACTCCCAGGCTCAAACTATACTCCCATCTCAGCCTCCTGAGTAGCTGGGACTACAAGGAGGAACCACCACACACAGCTAATCTTTTTTAAAAATTTTGTAGAGACAGGGTCTCACTATGTTGCCCAAGATGGTCTTGAACTCCTCGGCTCAGGCAGTTCTCCCACGTTTACCTCACAAAGTGCTGGGATTACAGGTGTGAGCCACTGTGCCTGGCCCACAGCTTGTCTTTATATTGTCTTTCACAGAGCAAAATTTTAAATTTTGATTAAATACATCAATTTTTTTCTTTAATGGGTCATGCTTTTAATGTCATACTCAATAAATGTTTATCTAACCCAGGGTCACAAAGATTTCCTCCTTTTGTTTCTTCTAAAAGTTGTAAGGGAGGTAAAATTTCTCCTTTATCCTCTTAGGATCTCTGGCTGGGCCTAAGAATTAAACTGGCTTAAGACATATTAGCAGGAGAAATGATTACAAATTTTATTTCATAATGTTTGCATGTCCACAGGGGCTCTCACAAGAAAAATGAAGATCCAAAGAAGTAGTTAGGACCAAAAGATTATATACTAGGTTAGACAAAGGGTAGTAAATTGTGAAAATTTGACCAGCCAAAAGGTTTTGGGCAAAGGCAGTTAATTGTGGAAAGGTGACTGGGAAGATAAAGATGATTCTAATGTTTTTTCTGTACAGTTATGTCTCAGTCTCAACTTTTCATCTCTGGTGATAAGAATGTTCTTCCTAGTGCAGCAAGGACACCTTTCACATGAGTGTTTTATCTTCACCTGTTTTCAGGAAGAAAAAGGAAGGTCAGAGTGCCCTTCTTGCATCTCCTGTTTTCCAAGTGTCCTTAACTCAAAATGATAAATATGCCAAAGCGGCATCTGTTGGAATGGCATGCTATGAATGCCATCAAAGTTTTATAAATTTATGATTTAGTCTGTGGTCCATTTGAGTGAGTTTTTGTATAAAGGGTGAAGTGTTGATTATGATTCTTTTTTTCCTTTTGTATTTGGATAAAAAGACTATCCTCTCTCCATTGAAATTGCCCTTGCATCTTTGTCAAAAATCAATAGGTCATATACATATATGTCTATTTCTGAACTTTTTATTTTGTGGCATTGATCTATGTGTCTAATCTTTCACTAAAACCACAGTGTCTCAATTATTTTTAAAAGATATCTGAATATATTTTAATATTCCATTTTATCTTTTGGTTCATATGCATTTATCTGTTTTGTGGTTGCACTACAAATTTTAATATATACTCTCACAGTCTTTTTAGAGTAAGCAAAGTGTCTTATAACCATATAGATCTATTTATTCTCTTTTCTTTATATTATAGGTTTTTTTTTCAACCTTTAATATAGATTAAAGGTACACATGAAGGTTTGTTACATGGGTTTTATGATACTGAGACTTGGGGTCCCCACAATCCCATCACCGAGGCCATAAACATAGTACCCAACAGGTGGTTCTTTAACCCACACCCCTCTCCCTCCCACATCTAGTGATTCCTACTGTCTATTGTTCCCACCTTTACAATCATGTTTATTCAGTGTTTAGCTCCCACTTGTGAGAACATGCAGTATTTGGTTTTCTGTTCTTGCATTAGGTCCCTTAGAATAATGGCCTCCAGCTCCATCCACATTGCCGCAAAGGGCATGATTTCTTTCTTTTGTAATTATTACGGGTATTACATCTACATACATCAAAATGCCCCCCAGAAAGTGTTCTAATTTTTCCTTCAACAGTCATACATCTTACATCAAAGATCTTAAGAGGAGAGCTATTATCTATTAGATTTACCTGCATCTTTATCATGCCTATTACTCATCCTTTAATAACTTATGTTCCAAGTTTACTTCTGGTATTATTTCCTTTCAATGAGAAGAAGATCCGTTGGCATTCTTTCAGAGTAGGTCTGCTAGTGATGAATTTTCTGGGCTTCTGTTATCTAAAAATGCCTTTATGTTGCCTTCATTCCTTAAGGTTATTTTCTCTGGTTATACAATTCTACAATGACAGTTCCTTTATTTCAGCACTTGAAAAATATTGCAGCTTCCATGGTTTCTGATAAGAAATTGCAATTATTCCAATTGTTGTGCCCTTATATGTAGAGAACAATATTTTTTCTTTATTTTTGGTGCTGAGCAGTATATGATGTGTCTGAGCATGGCTTTCTCTGAGTATGTCTGGTTGTGGCTCACAGAGCATCATGAATATGTTAATTTATATATTTTACTGAATCTTAGACGTTTCATCATTAGTTTTTCAAATGCTAGCTTTTCAAATACTTCTTCTCTCTGTGCTAATCTCCTCTTTTTCAGAGACTCCAGGGCATGAGCATTAAATGTTTTGATGTCATTCTAGAAGTCTCTGAAGTTCCATTTAAGTTTTTCATTTGTTTCAGTCTGCTCTTCAGTTTGGATAATTTCTATTGATCTAATTTCAAGTTCATTGGTTCTTTCCTTTGCCATTTCCATTCTGTTACTGAGATCATTTAGTACATTTATTAAATTTCAAATATCGTATTTTTAAGTTCAAACTTTCTATTTGTTTTATGCTTTATATTTCTATATTGAGAATTTATCTCCTTACTACATTTGTTTTGAGATTGTTTGCTATTACTTAACGATGCATAATAACAGCTGCTTTCAAGTCTGTTGACAATGTTTAACTCTTTTATCTCAGAGCTGATATCCAGCTATTGATTGTATTTTTCTTAAGATTTTATGAGGCTTTTTGTTTCATGGTATGTTGAGTAATTTTTCATGGTATCCTGGACATTTTGAATATTTTGATGTGAGGCTTTGGTTCCTTTTAAAATCCTCTGGAGAATGCTGATTTGTTTTTGGTGCTGTTGCTATCAATGTTGTTCTTGCGGTAGGTAATCAACCTAGTTATGTTAAGACTCCACATTCTCTCTTGCTTTCTGTGTGAGGTGGTTGCAATGCCAGTTCATTTTTCAAAGACTTTTCAAGAATGTTCATGTGTGTCTCTTGCATATGCCACTTGGGGTTTGATCTGGGCAATGTTTATATTGCATCTCAGGTGTCAAATGGTTTATTATATTTTTTATGTGTATTTCATGCATAATGTGGTTTGGCTTTGTGTCCCCACCCAAATCTCACCTTGAATTGTAATCCCCACGTGTCGAGGGAGGGACATGATGGAAAGCGATTGGATTATGGGGGCAGTGTCCTCCATGCTGTTCTCATAACAGTAAGTGAGTTCTCATGAGATCTGAAGTTTTTAATAAGTGGTGGTTTCCCCTGCTCTCTCTTTTTCCTGCCACCTTGTGAAGAAGGTACTTGCTTCTCTTTTGCCTTCTGCCATGATTGTAAATTTCCTGAGGCCTCCTCAGCCATGTGGAACTGTGAGTTAATTAATCTCTTTCCATTGCAAATTTCCCAGTCTCAGGTATTTCTTTATAGCAGTGTGAAAACGGAGTAAAACAATGCATGCATAGCTTGGGGGGTGAGCCCTGAACTTTTGTTGCTTCATACTCAGAATCAGTGATCTTTTCTTTCTTCGCTCAGGGATTTTCCCCACACTCTCTACCCAGAAGGGGTCTATCTTCCTATTCGTCTGGCTAGAAAGATGGAATTTTCTCAAAGTTTTATCTTCCCACAATGATGTGCAGATCCTTGTCACTTGAGGTCAAGTGATAAAAGAGAGATATGAAAATGTGATATTTCCTCCACACTTACATAACAGAAACATCTTTTCCTAATTTCTCTATTCAGAGAGATGAGCTTTCTCTCCTGGTTTTAGGTGATCATACCATACCTCTGTGCCTCAGATGGAGCTGGTCTTGAGGCAGGGCTGACAGGAAATATTAGAAAGGAAGAAAAAAATAAATATTTCTCTTGCACTGAAAGATGAGCTTTTTGTGGAGTATTTGCTGGCCTGCCTGCCGTGCAATTACTGGTTTAGCCTGCCCTAGAGTTAATGCTGGAAGATAAAGGAAGAAAAAAATAAACCTCCTCTACATTAGCCTTTCTCCAGGTTTTGATTTCCTGCTCCAATATACTTATTGTTTACTTTTCAGAGTTCTGAAGTAAGTCAGTGTTTTGTATTTTGTGATGTCTTTAGATATAATTATTGCAATATAATAGGATTACTCATTGCGGCTACAACCATGTCCTATATTCTTATTTTTAAGTGATTAAGTTATTGTATAGGTTAACTCCACAAATAACACCAAGAAGTCATGGCAAATGCTAAAACATGACCTTTTTTCTTAAATTAATATTTTTAATTAATATAATTCTCTTTATCATCAACAATCCATTAGTTTAAAAAAATCATTATTAGCTAAATTTGAAGGAGGTAAAAATTGCATGAATTCCTCTGCTCTCTGGTTTTCCTTTTGAATGGGAAACCAGGCTTCATTTCATCTCAACCTGAATACAAAACAAAATAAGAATATTTCATCTTTAAGATAAATCACAGTCAACAAAGTAGACAGAGGAAGAAGAAGAAAGTTCTTATAATTTACTTCCAAACAAAGTTAGCAATGACTCTTCAGTTGTCATGTTGTCTTCAATTTCACAAAGACAAACACTTTTATAAACAATTATTTATATAGTGTATCCTCAATGATCTGAGGGGACAAGAGAAATGATGTAATTTCTTTTAAGCTGGATATCTCATAATAAAAAAGACACACCTCAGCAGGCATGGTGAAATTTCAGATAATCAAATAGCAGGTAGTCATATTCTGATTTTCAAAATATAACTGTGCACATTTTTCTTTGCAGGCAGTTTCTGCAAATGGACACATCCTCAAACCTATGTGCTTGCTACTTTTTGATGATCATCAGAGACTAATAACACTTCCTTTAATAACCCTGAAAATGTAAAGTAATAAGCCTGTGCTTTTTTCATCACAAAATGGTTTATAGAAATTGACAGAAGTTCATTTTAGTAGATAAATTTACTTAACCCAGTAGACCAATAAAACCAACATTATGTCCCATTTCTCCTACCTGCTGTCATGATCACTCAATATTTTGAGTTAAAATTCACATTTTTAAAGAAAATTAGACTTTATTTAAAAGATGAAAATATGTAAGTAAATGAGTAGCTAATTAATCCTGTTACATTTGGCTTAAATTCAACTCCAAGCTTCTGCCAAAACGTATGTAATTTATAAATTTTAATTTAAAAGAAAGTTTAAAATTCACAGACACAGAAAACAAATCCTTAAAACTAAACTCTATGAATAACTACAGATTGGCCAATATATAAAATATGTCAGACAAAGTAAAAGGCAGCTTTCAATCTCTGTCTTTTGGAAGATATTAAAGTTTTCCCCTAAGAAAAATTATTTAATTTACCTCTACTCCAAAAATTAAAGCAGGATGAATATTATTAAAATTCAGAAGAGTCATTTATGCAAGAATTGGAAATGCCTAATTGTACAGCAATCTAAATTGATTGATCGGAACACTTTCTCTTTCCCTTGACTTCCAATTGGCTTAATCCTTTTATAATTTTTTTATAATTTAGCTATTTAGATATCATATATCTTTGAACTTGAAGAAGTTAGATAAATGTTTGCTTGTGTGTTTAAGGTGCTCCCAAATGATGCCTATAATTCAGTATTGTTCATTTGTATCTTTGGGAATCAGAATATAAATGCCACACTCAGGAGTGTAAAATATAATTCTCTTGGGTCCTGTTTTCAGAAAACAGCAAAAATTACTAATATTTCAGAAGACATCAGATAGCTAAGCATGAAATCAATGACTATAGTAAAACTGCCTCATAGCCTCTACTTAAACAACACATAGCAGTGAAAGACTTTCCCAAACACAGGCTAAATATTCTTCCTTCTAAAATTTCTAAACTTCTCTGAAAAAAGACACAACATTTTAAAGTAGAAGGAGAATTTAGTGGTCATTCATTGTAAAGACTACAAATTCATTTCTTATATATCTACAAGTACATATCAGATGTGAACTCGAACTTAAGTATAACAACAGAAAGATTGGGGGTGATTTCCAGAGCAGAGTTTGGTCTGGGTCTTGGACAGTGTTTATATGGAAGTTTAGTTCCCAAGGCCTTTATTATACTTCTTCAGGTGTGTTCCATGCATGTGCCATTTAAGGGCAAACTGCACATGTCAGGGGACTTTGGCGAATCTGAGATTGCAGACTTACGTGAATATTTCTAATTCATTTCTTAATGCCACTCAGACCCAAAATGTTTTTATAAAATCCATCTGATATGGCATTCAAACTGTGATATTATAGTTTGCCACCTCTGATCTAGTCAAGCATATATTTTTCCAGAAGAGAAAATTAGAGTCCACAGGAAAGTTACTTAGTCTAAGACCTGCCTGTCTAATTAGCTAACAAAGTAAAGATTGGACCCTAGGTCACATAAAGCCCCAGTCAGTGCTTTTTTCACCACTCTCAAAGACTTTCCTTTCTCTTTTACTGTATTTTCAGTAGTAGTAATTTCCCAAATATAAACAAAGTATTTTTAAAGTGGAAACACATTTAACCTCTGACTAAATGAAAATATATTTATAGTTGTATTTATCTTTCTCAAAATTATAATGAAGATCATATAAATAGGAAAGGAAGGCATAATACATTGAGATAATTAGCAAAACAGAACTGAGATTCCCAGACTAACTCATGTGAAAGGAAAGACTAATTCATCTGAGAATCAAGCACCTTCTGATTAATTTCAGCACTCAAATTTCTTTCTCCACAATGTATTGCACAGACACCGTATTAGTCCATTTTTCATGCTGCTGATAAAGACATACCCAAGACTGGGTAATTTACCTAGAAAAAGAGGTTTAATGGACTCATAGTTCCATGTGGTTGGGGAGGCCTCACAATCATGGTGGAAGGCGAAAGGCACATCTTACATGGTGGCAGATAAGAGAGAATGAGAGCCAAGTGTAAAGGACTTCACCTTATAGAAAGGCCATCAGATTTGTGAGACTTATTTACTACCAAGAGAACAGTATGGGGGAAACCTCCAGTATGATTCAATTATCTCCCATCTGGTTCCTCCCACAATATCTGGGAATTATGGAAGCTACAATTTCAGATGAGATTTGGGTGGGGACAGAGCCAAACCATATCAGACACTATAAGTAATAGCACTGGATAAGCTATTTCCTACAAATCAGTGTTGGGAAATGTGGTTTATAGCTTGGGCTGCTTCTAGATAAGATTGCACATGTGAACAGTGCTGTACATGACCTTTCTCATTGACTGTAATGAGGTCACCTTGTAGGCTTTCCAACTGTTGACACATGGAATCACTTTCCATTAATTAAAACATAGCTACAAAATATAGCCCTTGAAATGAAATCCATTATAAAGATAACTGCCCAGTACAAATTATTTGAACATTACAAAACATACTTCTTAGTCTCCTGCCTTTTGTCTCAACTTGAAAATACTATGGCCCCAAAACACTTTCAAACTGAGTGTTGTGGAGGCTTTTTCTATTATTCCTTTTCTCTTCTCTGCTTTCCTGTTCTCTCGCCTTAGCTCTTTTACCCTAATTCACTGATTTCATCATTCATCCTTTCATTTAACAAACATTTTGACATTGCTTCTATGCACTACGGATAAAAATACTTGCAAAATATGCTAATATAACTTAGACTCTAGTCAGAGAGCAAGACGTATAAGTGAATAAAATTAGTACGGCAATAAGTATTGTAAGAAAAATGTGCACAAAGTATTAGGGGATGCTGAAGAGGGAGTGGCTATCTCTAATTGGTTTCAGCAGGAAAGGCTTCACAGAAGAAGCCATGTTTAAGCTCAGTCCAGATGAATGAAGAGAGCTTTCCAGACTGACAAAATGGGAAATGTATTACAAAGTAGAAATACTACGATTAAAGAATATTATTGAGGGCATGGGCTTAGCCTTATCCATCTTTTTATACATAGAACCTACTTCAGTGTCTGAAATATTACAGGAAATCAATAAATGGTACTTGTAAAAAAATGTTGTGAATTGGGAGCTAAAAATGCCTTGGATTATTAGAGCATAAGATTAATGTGAAGGAGTGTTGAGAATGATGCTATAAAGGTAAGTTGGGAATAGATCACAAAAGATCATTAATACCAAGCTAAGGAGTTTGACCTTTACATAATGATCAGATGAAAGGCATGAGCAGGTTATAATGTAATATTGCCTGATTTAAGCAGAGCAACAGTACGAGGAAAAAACAAATTAGTAGTCTCTAGAAGTAGTCCTAGTAAGAGACAATATGCCTTGACGAAAAGAAGTAGGATTTGAGAGTAGCAGTGTGAAGAACAAAATGGATAGGAACAAAACTTAGTGACAGTAGGACCAGTTACAAATCTATGACAATTAATAGTCCATGGAGAAGATAGGTCCTTAAGCTAACACTGTGACAGTGGAGACTAAAAAGAAGATGTGGATTTTAAAATTATTTTAAAAGGTGTAAATTCTAGGCCATGTTACCCAAAGGATGATTGTGTTTGAAAGAAAAAAAGAAGGTAGGAATGAAGGTCACTCACAGACAAACAAAAAGACAGCAGTTACTGCTGCAGACTTAAATGTCCCTGTCTGACAGCTTTGAAGAGAGCAGTGGTTCTCCCAGCACGCAGCTGGAGATCTGAAAACGGGCAGACTGCCTCCTCAAGTGGGTCCCTGACCCCTGACCCCCGAGCAGCCTAACTGGGAGGCACCCCCCAGCAGGAGCAGACTGACACCTCACACGGCCGGGTACTCCAACAGACCTGCAGCTGAGGGTCCTGTCTGTTAGAAGGAAAACTAACAAACAGAAAGGACATCCACACCAAAAACCCATCTCTACATCACCATCATCAAAGACCAAAAGTAGATAAAACCACAAAGATGGGGAAAAAACAGAGCAGAAAAACTGGAAACTCTAAAAAGCAGAGTGCCTCTCCTCCTCCAAAGGAACACAGTTCCTCACCAGCAATGGAACAAAGCTGGACGGAGAATGACTTTGACGAGCTGAGAGAAGAAGGCTTCAGACAATCAAATTACTCCGAGCTACGGGAGGACATTCAAACCAAAGGAAAAGAAGTTGAAAACTTTGAAAAAAATTTAGAAGAATGTATAACTAGAATAACCAATACAGAGAAGTGCTTAAAGGAGTTGATGGAGCTGAAAACCAAGGCTCGAGAACTACCTGAAGAAGGCAGAAGCCTTAGGAGCCAATGCGATCAACTGGAAGAAAGGGTATCAGCAATGGAGGATGAAATGAATGAAATGAAGCGAAAAGGGAAGTTTAGAGAAAAAAGAATAAAAAGAAATGAGCAAAGCCTCCAAGAAATACGGGACTATGTGAAAAGACCAAATCTACATCTGATTGGTGTACCTGAAAGTGACGGGGAGAATGGAACCAAGTTGGAAAACACTGCAGAATATTATCCAGGAGAACTTCCCCAATCTAGCAAGGCAGGCCAACATTCAGATTCAGGAAATACAGAGAACGCCACAAAGATACTCCTCGAGAAGAGCAACTCCAAGACACACAATTGTCAGATTCACCAAAGTTGAAATGAAGGAAAAAATGTTAAGGGCAGCCAGAGAGAAAGGTCGGGTTACCCTCAAAGGGAAGCCCATCAGACTAACAGCAGATCTCACGGCAGAAACTCTACAAGCCAGAAGAGAGTGGGGGCCAATATTCAACATTCTTAAAGAAAAGAATTTTCAACCCAGAATTTCATATCCAGCCAAACTAAGCTTCATAAGTGAAGGAGAAATAAAATACTTTATAGACAAGCAAATACTGAGAGATTTTGTCACCACCAGGCCTGCCCTAAAAGAGCTCCTGAAAGAAGCGCTAAACATGGAAAGGAACAACTGGTACCAGCCGCTGCAAAATCATGCCAAAATGTAAAGACCGTCGAGACTAGGAAGAAACTGCATCAACTAACGAGCAAAATAACCAGCTAACATCATAATGACAGGATCAAATTCACACATAACAATATTAACTTTAAATGTAAATGGACTAAATGCTCCAATTAAAAGACACAGACTGGCAAATTGGATAAAGAGTCAAGACCCATCAGTGTGCTGTATTCAGGAAACCCATCTCACGTGCAGAGACACACATAGGCTCAAAATAAAAGGATGGAGGAAGATCTACCAAGCAAATGGAAAACAAAAAAAGGCAGGGGTTGCAATCCTAGTCTCTGATAAAACAGACTTTAAACCAACAAAGATCAAAAGAGACAAAGAAGGCCATTACATAATGGTAAAGGGATCAATTCAACAAGAAGAGCTAACTATCCTAAATATATATGCACCCAATACAGGAGCACCCAGATTCATAAAACAAGTCCTGAGTGACCTACAAAGAGACTTAGACTCCCACACATTAATAATGGGAGACTTTAACACCCCACTGTCAACATTAGACAGATCAATGAGACAGAAAGTCAACAAGGATACCCAGGAATTGAACTCAGCTCTGCACCAACTGGACCTAATAGACATCTACAGAACTCTCCACCCCAAATCAACAGAATATACATTTTTTTCAGCACCACACCACACCTATTCCAAAATTGACCACATACTTGGAAGTAAAGCTCTCCTCAGCAAATGTAAAAGAACACTAATTATAACAAACTATCTCTCAGACCACAGTGCAATCAAACTAGAACTCAGGATTAAGAATCTCACTCAAAACCACTCAACTACATGGAAACTGAACAATCTGCTCCTGAATGACTACTGGCTACATAACGAAATGAAGGCAGAAATAAAGATGTTCTTTGAAACCAATGAGAACAAAGACACAACATACCAGAATCTCTGGGACACATTCAAAGCAGTGTGTAGCGGGAAATTTATAGCACTAAATGCCCACAAGAGAAAGCAGGAAAGATCCAAAATTGACACCCTAACATCACAATTAAAAGAACTAGAAAAGCAAGAGCAAACACATTCAAAAGCTAGCAGAAGGCAAGAAATAACTAAAATCAGAGCAGAACTGAAGGAAATAGAGACACAAAAAACCCTTCAAAAAATTAATGAATCCAGGAGCTGGTTTTTTGAAAGGATCAACAAAATTGATAGACCGCTAGCAAGACTAATAAAGAAAAAAAGAGAGAAGAATCAAATAGACACAATAAAAAATGATAAAGGGGATATCACCACCAATCCCACAGAAATACAAACTACCATCAGAGAATACTACAAACACATCTACACAAATAAACTAGAAAATCTAGAAGAAATGGATAAATTCCTCGACACATACACTCTCCCAAGACTAAACCAGGAAGAAGTTGAATCTCTGAATAGACCAATAACAGGATCTGAAATTGTGGCAATAATCAATAGCTTACCAACCAAAAAGAGTCCAGGACCAGATGGATTCACAGCCGAATTCTACCACAGGTACAAGGAGGAGCTGCTACCATTCCTTCTGAAACTATTCCAATCTTGGACCTTTTAGTAGGTTTATTTTAAGTGGTGGTATTAGATAATAATTTTGCAAATGAGAAAATGTATTTAAGTTTTGGGGATCCAGATTTCTCACTGTATGAGTATGGAATAGAAAAGTAGTATATGGAGATCTTCCCTACTTCTATAGAGAAAAATAGATACCTATACTTTATAAAAAGGCATATACTTAACAAAGGAAGACAGATAAGCATATATATCTGCTCTCTGTTATCATTCTTTTTATATTAACTTTTTATATTCTTTAAATTAAAAAAATTTATAGTTTTATTCCATTGTGATCAGAGAAAGTGCTTGATAGTATTTCAAGTTTTTTGAATGTTATAAGATTTGTTTTGTGACCTAACATATGGTCTCACCTTGAGAATGATCTATGTGCTGAGGAGAAGAATGTGTATTCTGCAGCTGTTGGATGAAATGTTCTGTGAATACCTATTAGGTCCATTTCCTCCATAGTGCAGATTAATTCCAATGTTGCTTTGCTAATTTTCCATCTTCAAGATCTGTCCAATGCTGAAAGTGGAGTGTTGAAATCTTCTCCAGCTTTTATTATATTGGGGTCTATCTCCCTCATTAGCTCTAATAATATTTGCTTTGTACATCTGGGTGCTCCAGTCTAGGGTACATATATTAATATATTTAAAATAGTTATATTCTTTAGCTGATTGACCCCTTTATCACTATTCAACGACCTTCTTTGACTCCATAGCTTTGTCTTGAAGTCTGTTTTGTGTGATGTAAGTACAGGTATTCTTGTCCTTTTTTGGCTTCCATTGGCATGAAATATCTTTTTCTATAACTTTGTTTTCAATCTGTTTGTATCTTTATAGGTGAAGTGTATTTCCTGATTGGATTGTTTGGTCTATTTACTTCCAATTTTATTATTGATAAGTAAGGGTTTACTCCTGCCATTTTTTAATTTGTTTTCTGGTTATTTTGTGGTCCTCTCTTCCTTCTTCCTTTTACTTTTTGTATACCCGTTTTATGTTTTCAAATTTGAGGTTACTGTGAGGTTTGCAAATACGGTCTTACAACCTATTATTTTAAACTGATGACAACTTGACACTGATTGCATACAGTGTCGAAAAAACAAAAAGAAAAAAATAATTAAAATGATACACTTTAACTTCATCCCCTTTTAACTTTTTGTTGTTTGTCTTAAAAAGTTGTTTTTTATTGTTTCATTGTTTAGTCTTTCTATTCAAGATATGAATAGTTTATGCACCACTTTCACAGTCTTATAATATTCTGTGTTTTTCTGTGTGCTTACTGTTACCAGTGTGTTTTGTGCCTTCAGATGATTTCTTATTGCTCATTAACATCGCCTTCTTTCAGATTGAAGTACTTCCTTTAGCATTCTTTGTAGGACAGGCCTGGTGTTAATGAAACCCCTCATCTTTTGTTATTCTAGAAAAGTTTTTATTTGTCCTCCATGCTTAAAGGATATTTTCACTAGATATACTATTCTAGGGTAAAAGTTTTTTCCTTCGTCACTTTAAATATTTCATGCCACTCTCTCCTGGCTGGTCATATTCTACTGAAAAGTCTGCTGAAGACAGATTGGACCTCCATATTATATTATTTGTTCTTTCTTTTCTCTTGCTGCTTTTCAGATCCTTTCATTATCTTTGACTTTTGGAAGTGTGATTATAAATGCCTTGAGGTAGTCTTCTTTGGCATAAACCTGCTTTGTGTTCTATAACCTTTTCGAACTTGAATATTGATATTTTTCTGTAGGTTTGGGAAGTTCTCTGTTATTATCTCTTCAAATAAACTTTCTGCCACTATCTCTTTCACTATCTCCCCATTAAGGTCAATATCTTTTAGATTTGGCTTTTGAGGCTATTTTCTAGATCTCGTAAGCATGCTTCATTCTTTTATATATTTTATTATACTTTAAGTTCTGGGGTACATGTGCAGAACATGCAGATTAGTTACATAGGTATAAACGTGCCATGGTGGTTTGCTGCACCCATCAACCTGTCATCTACATTAGGTATTTCTCCTGTTATCCCTCCCTTAGCCTCCCCACCCCAAAACAGTCCCCAGTATGTGATGTTCCCCTCCCTGTGTCCTGTGTCCATCTGTTCTCATTGTTCAACTCCCACTTGTGAGTGAGAACATGCGGTGTTGGTTTTCTGTTACTGTGTTAGTTTGCTGAGAATGATGGTTTCTAGCTTCATCCATGTCCCTGCAAAGGATATGAACTCATCCTTTTTTATGGCTGCATAGTATTCCATGGTGTATATGTGCCACATTTTCTTTATCCAGTCTATCACTGATGGGCATTTGGGTTGGTTCCAAGTCTTTAGTATTGCGAATAGTGCTTCAATAAACATACGTGTGCATATGTCTTTATAGTAGAATGATTTATAATCCTCTGTGTATATACCCAGTAATGGGATGGCTGGGTCAAATGGTATTTCTAGTTCTAGATCCTTAAGGAATTGCCACACTGTCTTCCACAATGGTTGAACTAATTTAAACTCCCATCAACAGTGTAAAAGTGTTCCTATTTCTCCATATCCTCTCCAGCATCTCTTGTTTCCTGACTTTTAATGATCACCATTCTAACTGGCATGGGATGGTATCTCATTGTGGTTTTGATTTGCATTTCTCTAATGACCACTGATGATGAGCTTTTTTTCATATGTTTATTGGCCACATAAATGTGTTCTTTTGAGAACTTTCTGTTCGTATCCTTTGCCGACTTTTTGATGGGGTTGTTTTTCTCTTGTAAATTTAAGTTCTTTGTAGATTCTGGATATTAGCTCTTTGTCAGATGGATAGATTACAAAAATGTTCTCCCATTCGGTAGGTTGCCCGTTCACTCTGATAACAGTTTCTTTTGCTGTGCATAAGCTCTTTAGCTTAATTAGATTCCATTTGTCAATTTTGGATTTGTTGCCATTGCTGTTGGTGTTTTAGTCATGAAGTCTTTGCCCATGCCTATGTCCTGAATGGTATTGCCTAGGTTTTCTTCTAGGGTTTTTATGGTTTTAGGTCTTATGTTTAAGTCTATAATCCATCTTGTGTTCATTTTTGTATAAGGTGTAAGGAAGGGATCCAGTTTCAGCTTTCTGCATATGGCTAGCCAGTTTTCCCAAGACCATTTATTAAATAGGGAATCCTTTCCTTGTTGCTTGTTTTTGTCAGGTTTGTTGAAGATCAGATGGTTGTAGATGTGTGGAGTTCTTTCTGAGGCCTCTGTTCTGTTCCATTGGTCTATATGTCTGTTTTGTTACCAGTACCATGCTGTTTTGGTTACTGTAGACTTGTAGTATAGTTTGAAGTCAGGTAGCATGATGCCTCTAGTTTGTTCTTTTGCTTAGGATTGTCTTGGCTATGCAGGCTCTTTTTTGGTTCCATATGAAATTTAAAGCAGTTTTTTCCAACTCTGTGAAGAAAGTCAATGGTAGCTTGATGGGGATAGCATTGAATCTATAAATTACTTTTGGCAGTATGGCCATTTTCACAGTACTGATTCTTCCTATCCATGATCATGGAATGTTTTTCCATTTGTTTGTGTCCTCTCTTATTTCCTTGAGCAGTGGTTTGTAGTTCTTCTTGAGGAGGTCCTTCACATCCCTTGTAAGTTGTATTCCTAGGTGTTTTATTCTCTTTGTAGCAATTGTGAATGGGAGTTCACTCATGATTTGGCTGTCTGTCTGTTATTGGTGTATGGAATGCTTTTGATTTTTGCACATTGATTTTGTATCCTGAGACTTTCTTGAAGTTGCTTCTCAGCTTAAGGAGATTTTGGGCTGAGATCATGGGGTTTTCTAAATATACAATCATGTCATCTGCAAACAGACAATTTGACTTCCTCTTTTACTAATTGAATACCCTTCATTTCTTTCTCTTGCCTGATTGGTCTGGCCAGAACTTCCGATACTGTGTTGAAAAGGAGTGGTGAGAGCAGACATCCTTGTTTTGTGCCGGTTTTCAAAGGGAATGCTTCCAGTTTTTGCCCATTCAGTATGATAGTGGCTGTGGGTTTGTCATAAATAGCTCTTATTATTTTGAGATACGTTCCATCAATACCTAGTTTATTGAGAGTTTTTAGCATGAAGGGGTGTTGAATATTGTCAAAGGTCTTTTATGTATCTATTGAGATAATCATGTGGTTTTTGTCATTGGTTCTGTTTACATAATGGATTACGTTTATTGATTTGTGTATGTTGAACCAGGCTTGCATTCCAGGGATGAAGCTGACTTGATCGTGCTGGATAAGCTTTTTGATGTGCTGCTGGATTTGGTTTACCAGTATTTTATTGAGGATTTTCACATCAATGTTCACCAGGGAGATTGACCTGAATTTTTTGTTGTTGTTGTTGTCTCTGCCAGGTTTTGGTATCAGAATGATCCTTGCCTCATAAAATGAGTTAGGGAGGAGTCCCTCTTTTTCTATTGTTTGGAATAGTCTCAGAAGGAATGGTACCAGCTCCTCTTTGTACCTCTGGTAGAATTCGGCTGTGAATCCGTCTGGTCCTGGACTTTTTTTGGTTGGTTGGTTAATAGCTGTCTCAGTATCAGAACTTGTTATTGGTCTATTCAGGAATTTGACTTCTTCCTGGTTTGGTCTTGGGAGGGTGTATATGTTCAGGAACGTAACCATTTCTTCTAGATTTTCTAGTTTATTTGCATAGAGGTGTTAATAGTATTCTCTGATGGTGGTTTGTATTTCTGTGGGATCAGTGGTGATATCCCCTTTATCATTTTTTATTGCATCTATTTGATTCTTCTCTCTTTTCTTCTTTATTAGTCTGGCTACTGGTCTATTTTGTTGATCTTTTAAAAAAAAACAGCTCCTTGATTCATTGATTTTTTGAAGGGTTTTTCATGTCTCTATCTCCTTCAGTTCTTCTCGGATCTTAGTTACTTCTTGCCTTCTGCTAGCTTTTGAATTTGTTTGCTCCTGCTTCTCTAGTTCTTTTAAATGTGATGTTAGGGTCTTGACTTTAGATCTTTTCTGCTTTCTCTTGTGGGCATCTAGTGCTATAAATTTCCTCTAAACACTGCTTTAAATGTGTCCCAGAGATTCCAGTACATTGTGTCTTTGTTCTCATTGTTTTTAAAGAATATCTTTATTTCTGCCTTCATTTTGTTATTTACCTAGTAGTCATTCAGGAGCAGGTTGTTCAGTTTCCATATAATTGTGCAGTTTTGGGTGAGTTTCTTAATCCTGAGTTCTAATTTGATTGCACTGTGGTCTGAGTACTGTTTGTTATGATTTCTCTTCTTTTGCATTTGCTCAGGAGTGTTTTACTTCCAATTACGTGGTCAGTTTTAGAATAAGTACGATGTAGTGCTGAGAAGAATGTATATTCTGTTGATTTGGGGTGGAGAGATCTGTAGATGTCTACTAGGTCCTCTTGGTCCAGAGCTGAGTTCAAGTCCTGGATATCTTTGTTAATTTTCTGTCTCATTGATCTGTCTCATATTGACAGTGGTGTGTTAAAGTCTCCTACTATTATAGTGTGGGAGTCTAAGTCACTTTGTAGGTCTCCAAGAACTTGCTTTATGAACCTGGGTCCTCCTGTATTGGGTGCATATATATTTAGGATAGTTAGCTCTTCTTGTTGCCTTGATCCTTTTACCGTTATGTAATACCCTTGTCTCTTTTAATATTTGTTGGTTTAAAGTATGTTTTATCAGAGCCTAGGATTGCAACCCCTGCTTGCTTTGCTTTCCATTTGCTTGATAAATATTCCTCCATACCTTTATTTTGAGCCTATGTGTGTCTTTGCATGTGAGATGGGTGTCCTGAATACAGCACACCAAAGGTCTTGACTCTTTATCCAATTTGCCAGTCTGTGTCTTTTAATTGTGGCATTTAGCCCATTGACATTTAAGGTTAATATTGTTATGTGTGAATTTGATCCTGCCTTTATGATGCTAGCTGGTTATTTTGCCTGTTAGTTGATGCAGTTTCTTCATAGCATCAATGATCTTTACAATTTGGTATATTTTTGTAGTGGCTGGTACTGTTTGATTCTTTCCATGTTTAGTGCTTTCTTCAGGAGCTCTTGTAAGGCAGGCCTGGTAGTGACAAAATCTCTCAGCATTTCCTTGTCTGTAAATGATTTTACTTCTCCTTCACTTATGAAGCTTTATTCGGCTGGATATGAAATTCTGGGTTGAAAATTCTTCTCTTTAAGAATGTTGAATATTGGCCGCCACTCTCTTCTGGCTTGTGGGGTTTCTGCTGAGAGATCTGCTGTTAGTCTGATGGGCTTCCCTTTGTGGGTAACCTGACCTTTCTCTCTGGCTGTCCTTAGGATTTTTTCCTTCATTTCAACCTTAGTGAATCTGATGATTATGTGTCTTGGGGTTGCTCTTCTCGAGGAGTATCTTTGTAGTGTTCTCTATATTTTCTGAATTTGAATGTTGACCTCCTTGCTAGGTTGGGGGAAGTTCTCCTGGATAATATCCTGGGGAGTGTTTTCCAACTTGGTTCCATTCTCCCTGTCACTTTCAGGTACACCAATCAAATGTAGATTTGGTCTTTTCATATAGTCCCACATTTCTCAGAGCGTTTGTTCATTTCTTTTCACTCTGTTTTCTCTAATCTTGTCTTCTTGCTTTATTTCATTGAGATGATCTTCACTCTGATATCCTTTCTTCCACTTGATCGATTTGGCTATTGATACTTGTGTACTCTTCACAAAGTTCTCTTGCTGTGTTTTTCAGCTCCATCTGGTCATTTATGTTCTTCTCTAAACCGGTTATTCTAGTTAGCAATTTGTCTAACTTTTTTTCAAGGTTCTTAGCTTCCTAGCATAGGGTTAGAACATGCTCCTTTAGCTCGGAGGAGTTTGTTATTACCCACCTTCTGAAGCCTACTTCTGTCAACTCATCAAACTCATTCTTTGTCCAGTTTTGTTCCCTTGCTGGCGAGGAGTTGTGATTCTTTGGAGGAAATGTCTGGTTTTTGGAATTTTCATCCTTTTTGCACTGGTTTCTCCTCATCTTCGTGGATTTATCTACCTTTGGTCTTTGAAGTTGGTGATCTGCGGCTGGGGTCTCTGAGTGGATGTCCTTTTTGTTGATGTTGATACTATTCCTTTCTGTTTGTTAGTTTTCCTTCTAACAGTCATGCCCCTCTGTTGCAGGTCTGCTGGAATTTGCTGAAGGTCCACTCCAGACCCTGTTTGCCTGGGTATCACCGTCAGAGGCTGCAGAACAGCAAAAATTGCTGCCTGTTCCTTCTTCTGGAAGCTTCATCCCAGAGGGGCACCTGCCAGATGCCAGCCAGCGCTCTCCTGTATGAGGTGTCTGTCGGTCCCTACTAGGAGGTGTCTCCCAGTCATGATACACGGGGGTCAGGGACCCACTTGAGGAGGCAGTCTGTCCCTTATCAGAGCTTGAATGCTGTGCTGGGAGATCTGCTGCTCTGTTCAGAGCTGCCAGGCAGGGACGTTTAAGTCTGCTAAAGCTGTGCCCCCAACCGCCCCTTCCCCCAGGTGCTCTATCCCAGGGAGGTAGGGGTTTTATCTATACATGTCTGACTGGGGCTGCTGCCTTTTTTTCTGAGATGCCCTGCCCAGAGAGGAGGGAATCTGGAGAGTCAGTCTGGCCACAGTGGCCTTGCTGATCTATGGTTGTCTCCGCCCAATTCAAACTACCCGGCAGCTTTCTTTACACTGTGAGGGTAAAGCCGCCTACTGGAGCCTCAGCAATGGTGGACACCCCTCCCCTCACCAATCTCGAGCATCCCAGGTTGAGCTCAGACTGCTGTGCTAGCAGTGAGTATTTCAAGCCAGTGGATCTTAGCTTGCTGGGCTCCATGGGGGTGGGACCCCCCAACAAGCCAGACCACTTGGCTCCCTGGCTTCAGCCCCCTTTCCAGGGGAGTGAACAGTTCTGTGTTACTGGCGTTCCGGGTGCCAGTGGGGTATGTGGGGGAAAAAAAAAAACAAAAAAAAACTCCTGCGGTTAGCTTGGCGTCTGCCCAAATGGCCACCCAGTTTTGTGCTGGAATCGGAGAGCCCTGGTGGCGTGGACACGGGAGTGAGTCTCCTGGTCTGCGGGTTGCAAAGACCACAGGAAAAGTGCAGTATCTGGGCTGGAGTGCACAGTACATTCCCTGATGGCTTCCCTTGGCTAGGAGAGGGAGTTCACCGACATCTTGCACTTCCCACTGTGCTTCAGCTAGCCCTCCTTGGGCAGCACCCACTGCCCAACCAGTCCCAGTGAGATGAACTGTGTACCTCAGTTGAAAATGCAGAAATCACCCACCTTGTGCATCAATCTCGCTGGGAGCTTTAGACCAGAGCTGTTCCTATTTGGCCATCTTGCCAGCAGTTCCTCTTTTGTATTCTTTATTCATCTGTCTCCTCTGACTGTGTATTTTCAAATACACTGCCTTCAAACTCACTAATTATCCTGCTTGATTGGTTCTGCTATTAAGAGACTCTGATGTGTTCTTCAGTATGTAAATTTTATTTTTCAACTCTAGAATTTCTGCTTGATTCTTGTTAATTATTTCAGTCTCTTTGTTACATTTATCTGATAGAATTCTGAATTCCTTTTCTGTGTTATCTTGAATTTCTTTGAGTTTCCTCAACACTGCTATTTTCAATTCTCTGTTTGAAAGGTCACATAACTGTTTCTCCAGGAGTGTCCCTGGTGCCTTATTTATTTGATGAGGCCATGTTTTCCTGGATGGGCTTGATTTTTATATAAGTTGGTCAGTGTCTGGGCACTGAAGAATTACTTATTTTGTCTTTGCAGTCTGGGCTCATTTGTACTCATCCTTCTTGGGAAGACTTTCCAGGTATTCAAAGGGATTTGGGTCCCAAGCACAATAAAGCTGTGGTTCTTACAGACCCCTAGAGTTATTACCTTTGTGGTCTTGGGAAAGATATGGAAGAATTCTCTGGCCTACCAGTCAGGTACTCTTGTTCTCTTTTCTTACTTTCTTCTAAACAGAGTATCTCTCTGCTGAGTTGCCTGGAGCTAGGGATGGGTGGATGCAAGCACCTCTGTGGCGACCACCACTGGGACTGTGCTGAGTCAGAGGTGAAGCCAGCACAACACTGAATCTCATGCAAGGCCTGCTATAACCACTACCTGGATATTGCCTATGTTCAATCAAGGCTTTAGCGCTCTACAATCAGAAGATGGTGAAATCATCCAGGTTTGTGTCTTTCCCGTCAGGGCAGCTAGTTCCCCCAGGCCCCAGGGAAGTTCCAAGATGCTATCTGGGAGCCAAGGATTGAAGTTAAAAACCTTAGAAATCTACCTGGTGCCCTATTCTACTGCAGCTAAGCTGGCACGCAAACACAAGACAAAGTCCTTCAGGCTCTTCCCTCCCCTTTCCGTAGTTAGAGGAGCTTCTTCCCATGACTACCGCCACCACCAGCCAATGCAGAATTCTGCCAGGCCACTGCTGACGTTCACTTAAAGCCGAAGTGCTCTGCAGTCTTCAGTCAGTTTGTGGTGAACGCTGGCAGGTCTAAGGCTCACCCTTCAGGGCAGTGGGCTCCCCTCTAGCCCAAGGCAGGTCCAAAAATGCTAAGAACCTAGGCTTAGAATTGGGGACCCCAAGAGCTCACTTGGAGCTCTCACTGTGGCCAAGCTGGCACTGAAGGTGCAAGACAAAGTCCCCTTTACTTTTCCCTATGCTTTTCTTAAGCAAAAGTATTTCACCAAAGCCACAATAAGTGGGAATGTTCTGAGTCTCACCTAAACTTAGCATGTCTCAGTCTCCCCCAAGGCCCATGGCATACTACCTGGGTATCGCTGTTGGTTCTTCAGGGCCCAGCAACTGTTTTTTCAGCAGGTGATTAGTCCTGCCAGGACTGGGTCCTTCTCTTCAAGGCAGCCAAGTTGCCTTGTGACCCAGGGTGTTTCTAAAAATGTCATTCAGAAGCTAAGGCCTGGAATGGGTTCCTCACAACTGTAACCAATGTCCTGTCTTGCTACTTCTGAACTGGTATAGAAAATGCAAAACAAAGTCTTCTTTTCTCTTCACTCTTCCCTCTCCTCTCCTCTCCTCAAGCAAAAGGAGTCACTTTCATTGCTGTGAGCTGCACTGTCTGTGGTTGGGGGGAGGGGTGGCACAAGCACTACCTTAGCCACAACAACTGGTAAGTCCTCAGGTCATGTGCCACCCTAGTCCTCTGGGTCTAAGCCCAGCGTAGCACTAGGAGTTGCCTAGGAATCACAGTCCTTGTGTCCCAGACTGGCTTTCAAGCCTAGGACCCCAGAGTACATTAGCCTGTGGTGTCAAGGCTTGCCCAGAAACTCAAGTTCCGACTGCCGGGATGGGTGACTCCCCTCTGGTTAGGTCTGGTCCAAATGCTCCCTCCATGGCAGGCACCAGCTGCGCCCAGCACAACCCTGCTCTTCACTGTGACAGAGCAGCACTGAGTTCAGGCAAAGTCCCCCAGATGCTACACTCTCCCTCCTCCATGTGCACGGATTCTGTCGGTGCATTACAAGGCTGCTGCTGGAGGCTGGTAGAGGAGTGGCATCAGAGATGCCAGACTGTCTTTCCTACTCACGCCAGTGCCTCTTTCAATGATATGAAGTTAAAACCAAGTACTATGATCGCTCACCTAATTTTTGGTTCTTATGAGGGTGCTTTTTTGTGAGTAGTTTGTTATTAAAACTTGGCATTACTGCAGTCGGGGGACAATCAGTGGAGGCTTCTGTTCATACATCTTGCTGCCAACCCAAGATTTCTTTATTGTCATTTTGGTGCTTAGAATATATGTGTTCAAGTTAACAGATTTATTTTTTGTCTGTGTTTACCAATTTTATATATTGCATTCATTTATCTCTGTGTACATTTTAGTGTTTGTTTTTTTCCCCAATCTTTTGGATTCACTTCAATTTTTGAATATGTAGAATAGTCACATGAATATAAGTCAAAATTATTACTCAATACTCATCATCAGTTCTTTTGCCTATCAGCAGCTATGTCTTGATTGAATAAAGCCAGTCTTCTACTAGATTCATCTGTAAGAATTTCTGAATGCAATATTATCTGAGTAAGTCAAATGACTGAAACTGGTTTTCTATAGCCTTGAAAGTGAAATGACAATTTTGTTAGATATAAAAGCTTTGTCTTATAGTTTATTTATTTAAGGTTATTTTTGTGTGTTTGTTTTTGTTTTTAATAAAGTTTCACTGTTGACTTGCATTGTGACTGGTGGTTGAGAAGACATACCAACTTGATTTTCTCTTCTGTGTAAATGACTCATTTTTCCCCATCCCCAAAAGACCTGAAGATGTAATCTTCATATTTAAGGTCTAAAAATTTTATTAGAATATCTCAATGTAGACAACTCAGTCATCACAAGAAGTCTTTTAAATATTTAGATTCATATTATCTTTTAACTATGAAAAAGCTATGTCTTATTGTCTTGTTTTTCTTCTTTAAGGATTTAAATTATAAGTATGTGGTATTTTCCTTGCTTATCTGCTACTTTAGTTCTCTCATATAATTTTTATCTCTTCATTATTATGTTTTAATTTTCTTGGTTGTTTTTCCACCCATTTTTATTGGGGTAAAACTTACATATATGTAAACATTTTATATATATATATACACATATATATATATATATATATGTATATATATATATACACATAAAACAAATTATAAAATAAATTACACCAGTTTTAGGTATACAATTGTATGCAATAATATAATGAGCAATGACCATAATTAAAATATAGACTATTACCATCCTGCTATTAAGTTTTATTATTACCCTTTACATTCAATCTCATCCCACAAACCACAGCCCTAGATGCCAACTAATATACTAATATGCTTCCTAATGCTATATTTTTGACTTCTCTAGAGTTCCATGCAAATGGATAATTTATATTTGTATATTATATATTATGTAATATATATTAGATGTAAATATTACATTATACATTTTATATAAAATACACAATATATAATGTTTACATATATACTATATACTATATATTACATATTTTATATAGTATGTTATATATATTTTAATATATATACTATATACTACATATATATTATGTTTACATATATTTTACTTATATATTTTATGTATGTATTTTTTTCCATTAGAACAAGATCACTCCATGTTGTTTTATGTATCAATGGTTCATTTCTTTTTATTGTTGAGTAATTGTAAACAGTATAGATTTACTGTTTTTAGAAATCTATTCACCAGTTCATGGACATGGATGTCACTTGCCATGTTTGGATATTATAAGTTATGCAGCTGTGAATAATGCAGTCTTAACTCACATACAAATCTTTTGTGAATATATTCATTTATTTCTTCAGCTTAAATACCTAGAATTCTCGATTGCATAGTAAATGTATATTTAACATTATAAAGAATTGCAAAACTGTTTTCCACTGAGATTTTACCATTTTGCTATCCTACCACCAGTTTATTCACATCTTTGCAAACACTAAATTTTGTCAGTCTTTTAAATTTTATCCTTTCTAGTGGGTGTATAGTATTGTAACATTGTGCTTTTAATTTTTATTTTCCTGATGCTTAGTGGTGACATCTGTTATGTGCCCATTGGCCATTCACATATCGTCTTGGCTGAAGTCTCTATTAGAATATTTTGCCAGTCTTTATTGGACTATTTCTCTTAACATTTGCTTTATATATTTTATTTACAAACCTTTGTCATAGACATGTTTGCAAATATTTGCAAATATTTTCTCCATGATTTGCCTTTTCATTTGTTTCACTATGTCTTTCAAATAAAAAAGATGTATAATTTTGATAGAGAATATGCTGGCCTTGCAGCCAGGTGCAGTGACTCACATCTGTAATCCTAGCACTTTGGGAGGCCGAGGTGGGTGGATCACCTGAGGTCAGGAGTTCGAGACTAGCCTGGCCAACATGGTGAAACCTTATCTCTACTAAAAAATACAAAAATTAGCCTGGCGTGGTGGCGGGCGCCTGTAATCTCAGCTACCCAGGAGGCTGAGGCAGGAGAATTGCTGGAACCCGAGAGGGGAAGGTCGCAGTGAGCCAAGGTCTTGCCATTGCACTCCAGCCTGGGCCGACAACAGCTAGACTCCATCTCAAAAAAAATAATAATAAATAAATAAATAAATAAAAAACAAAAACAAACTAGTTAATCCTAAATCTGTTTATGGCAGGTGTATAGTGACCTGGAAGATGAGAGCCTGATAAGGGAGATGCTTGGGGGTTTGGGCTTACTTGGCTACCGAAGAATGGGAACTGACTTGCTCCTAACCTGGGTCTCAAAACTGATCCAAGATAGTACTTTTAAAACTACATAAGAGGATTAAAGATACATTCTTAACATTTCACGATCCACCTACAGTTAATGTTGCATGACTTCAAATAAAATATAGAAACCTTGTAACCACAAAGCTCAGCTTATGTCCTTCCCATCTTTTGTGCTATAGTTGCTATATGCATTATATGAAAAACAGCAAGCAATCTATAAACTATATCATAGATTATACACCCTAAAATACAATGTTATAAAGCTTGCTTAAACTGTCATATGTTTTATGAAGGAATTTCAAGGAAACAATTGTCTTTTTATATTTTCCATCTCCTTCTATTCCCTTCTGAGGATCCAAATTTCCATCTGGTATCAACTTTCTTCCACCTGAATAACTTTCATTATTAATTCTTGTGATGCAGGTCTAACAGCAACATATTCCCTTATTTTTCTTTTATTTGAAAATGTCTTTATTTGTCCTTCATGCCTGAAGGATATTTTCATGGGATAAAGAAAACATGGTTGAAAGGTGTATTTTTTCATTCAGGACTTTACAGATATTTTGCTCTCTTCCAGCTTCCTAGCTTTCTAATGACTAGCCAACTATTAATTAAATCATGGTTCCTTACTACATAATACACCATGTTTTCCTTACTTTTAACATTTTCTTTATTTCAGCTTTCAGCTATTTGATTATGAAGTGTTCCGACAAAGATTGCTTAATGTTTGTTCTGCTTGGAGTCCCTTGAGCATCTAGATCTATAATTTTATGTGTTTCATCAAATTTGGAAATGTTGTAACCATTATTTATTCAAATTTATTTTCTACCCCATATTCTCGCTATTCTCCTCCTGAGATACCAATTACATGTACTTTAGCCAGTTTGTTATCATCCATCAAGTCTCTAAAGATCTGTTAAATTATTAAAATAAGATTATTCTTAAGAGCTGTTTTAGGTCCACAGAAAAATTGAATGGAAACTACACAGTGTTACCATATATTTCTGCCCCCTACACACACATGCATAGCCTCCTCCTCTATTCTTTGTTCTTCCGTGTGATGATCAGTCAGATACAGCCAGAAGAGAGGCTCAGGAAAACAAGGTCTATTGTACTCACAGGTTCTAGAAACAAGAGAAATGGCACATCACATAAGACCACACGGAAAAGTACCAGCATTGGTCAGGAGTCAAAAGGTGCAGGAGCAAGGGAAAAAGCCTAAGTCATGCCTTTATTGGAGTTCCCATGGCAAAGGCAAGGCAGAGCAGGGTGAACAGTTTGGGGTTGGCTAGCTTGAAACATCTGGGAAAGCTCTAAGCTATAAGGGTAGCTCCATACACCTGGTTGCCTGGTACCTGGCCCTGGAATGATTAAAGCAGAGAAATATTGCTTCCTGGGGTGTATGGGCCAGAGAGAGGAGGTATGACTCTAGATTGGTTAGTTTGCATATAGAAGGCATATTCCAGGCTGAACCTTTTGCTAGCTCTAAAGAATTAGCTAGCCCAAGAAGGGTCAAGCTTTCCTGAACCAGAACAATTTTTTTTTTTTTGAGACGGAGTCTCACTCTGTCGCCCAGGCTGGAGTCCAGTGGTGCGATCTTGGCTCACTGCAAGCTCCGCCTCCCAGGTTCATGCCATTCTCCTGCCTCAGCCTCCCAAGTAGCTGGGACTACAGGTGCCCGCCACCATGCCCAGCTAATTTTTTGTTTTTGTATTTTTAGTAGAGACGGGTTTTCACCGTGTTAGCCAGGATGGTCTCGATCTCCTGACCTCGTGATCCACCACCGCGCCCAGCCGAGCCAGAACAATTTTTAAGAGGCTAAACATCACAGTACATACATATACAATAAACCATATACTTATTCTTAATATTCTGCACTAGATAATACACTTGTTACAGCTAATGACCCTACATTAACAAATCATTATCACCCAAAGTGAATAGTTTACATTAGTGTGCATTCTATCAGTTTGGTCAAAGGTATTATGACATATATTCATCATTATATAGTAGTATCATACAAAGCAGTTTTGCTGCCCTAAAAAAATCCTTTGTGCTTCACTTATTCATTCCCTCCCCTGAAACCCCTGGCAACCACTGATCTTTTTACTGTCTTCATATTTTTCCTTTTTCCAGGGTGTCATGTACTTGAAATCACATAACATGTAGCTTTTTAGGCTCGCTTTTTCACATAGTAATATGCATTTAAATTTCCTTCATGTCTTTTCATGTCTTGATAGCTCATTTCTTTTTAGCACTGAATACTACTCCATTGTCTAGATATGCCAAAGTTTATTTTATCTATTCATCTACTGAAGAACATCTTGGACACTTCCAAGTTTTGCTAATTATGAACAAAACTACTATAAACATTCCTGTGCCGGTTTTTGTGTGAACATAAGTTTTCACATCCTTTGGGTAAATACCAAAGAGCATGATTGTTGGATCATACGTTAAGAGGATGTTTAGTTTTGTAGTTTTGTAAGAAACTGCCAAAATGTCTTCCAAAGTGGTAGTACCATGTCGCATTTCCACGAGCAGTGAATGAAAGTTCCTGTTTCTCCACACGCTCACCAGTATTTGGTGGTGTCAGTGTTTTGAATTTTGGTCATTCTAATGGGTTTATAGTGGTGTCGTATAGTTGTTTTAATTTGCAATTTTCATAAGTTTATTTGTTATCTGTATATCTTCTTTGGTGAGATGTCTGTGTAGTCTCAGGCCCATCTTCTTAATCAGGTTGTTTGTTTTCTTATGGTTGAATTTTAAGAGTTCTTTGTGTATTTTGGATAACCATTCTTTATCAGATATGTCTCCTGCAAATATTTTCTCCTACACTGTGTCGTATCTTTTCATTCTCTTGACAGTGTCTGCCACAGAGCAGAGTTTTTAATTTCAGGGAAGGCCAGCTTATCAATTATTTCATTTATGAATAATGCCTTTATTGTATCTAAAAACTGACCACCATACCCAAAGATATCTAGATTTTTTTCCTATGATATCTTCTATGAGTTTTATATTTGTGAAATCTTCTTTATTCTCCTTCAATATTGTGTTGACTAATCTGGGTCCTTTGTATTCATTTTTAAAATATCCTTTCCCTCCTGTTCTTAAGATTATGTAATTTCTACTCAAATGTCTATTATCGTGGTGTTTTTTTTTTTTTTTTTTTTTTTTTTTTTTTTTTTTTTTGACGGAGTCTCCCTCTATTGCCCAGGCTGGAGTGCAGGGACGCAATCTTGGCTCACTGCAAGCTCCGTCTCCCGGGTTCACACCATTCTCCTGCCTCAGCCTCCCGAGTAGCTGGGACTACAGGCACCTGCCACCATGCCTAGCTAATTTTTTGTATTTTTAGTAGAGACAGGGTTTCAGCGTGTTAGCCAGGAAGGTCTTGATCTCCTGACCTCGTGATCCGCCCACCTCGGCCTCCCAAAGTGCTAGGATTACAGGCGTGAGCCACCGCGCCCGGCCGTGGTTTTTTTTTTTTTTTAATTTTTTTTTTTCACTTCTTCAGCTTCCATTTAGTTCTTTTAAAAATTCTACTTATCTACTGAGTTCTTTATTTCTCTCTACCAAGCATTCAAGTGATGCACCCCTTTTCCAATTTGCCTTTCCTTTTTCCAGATACGATGTTTTCCCAAGTCTGCTACTTCCAGCTGTGCACACTTCTATGCCCATTTCTTGCAATTCATCGCTATCCTGCTTTGTGATCTACCAGTTTTCAGGGTTTTGTAAGCATTTTCTCTCTCAAAGAGTATCCCTCTTCTTCTGGAAGTGATATATTACTGGTTCTACCTCTCATAGTTCCCTGCTTCTTTCTCTTGTTTTTCGCATGTTCTACCTGCTTTTCTAATCTGGCTTGGGCCCTGGAAATGGTTGTACTGGTTTGGAATGTTCATTTACACTTGCAAGTACTTGAAATTTTGTTCTAGTCTCGGTGTCTTGGCTAAGATGTAGACATAGGATATGGGTAATTCTATTTGCTCTTCTCATTTATCTGTATGGTTTTCAGATGACATATGTAAAAATTCACATGTTGTTAGCTGAATTTATCCTATGGGAACGCAGAAGTCCCTGGACGTCTCTTTGTTACTGATGTACAAAAAGACAGTATTGTGCCTATAAAAATATATTTACCTTGTTTTTTAATTTTGTTAAAATGTGTTGCATTATTTTATGATGATGATGTGGTGATATATGGACATTTTACTGGCCTCCACTAAAAAAAAATTATTAACACTACTCAAATTCAATCAAACTCTTATTTCAATGTCTTACAAAATGGAAAAAAAATTAAGTACTAATTGTAGGGTCTGTCATTTTCAGGTTGTTAAATTATGCAATCTGCCTCTTTACATATTTTAAGTTTGTATTAAAGGTCTCTCCCCACATAGTAAACTGGAACTTAACTGGATGTGTAAACACAGACTGAAAGCTACTCTTGTACTAATCACTGAGTTTTGGCTAATCGCAGGTGGCCAACTGTTCAAACCATGTTCAAATGAGGCAAAGGCCAAGCTGTAACCAATTCAGCTGTTTCAGTACCTCACTTCCATTTTTTTTTTACATGACTTTTCTTTTTCTGTCCATAAATCCTCTATGACCGTGTGGCATCACCAGAGTCTCTCTGAACCTACTCTGGTTTGGATGCCAGGGAAGGGGGTTGGCAAGGTGCCCAATTTGCAAATTGTTCTTTGCTCAAACTCTGTTAAATTTAATTTGTCTAAAGTTTTTATCTTAACAAGGTAAAAAAAATATTTCTAAATATTATGCTTATTATGCTATTCTTTTTATAGGATAATTAAATGTAAAATGTATATAGCAAACCATTTTTGTAATCTCTATCATCATGTTTCACTATAAATCTGTAAAACTTTAATTATGTGGCACTTACATATTTAGAAAGAATTAATCTATTTTTCGTTAGTGTTAGGCCTTTTATGTAGCCATCTGTGCTCAGCAAATCTTAAGACCTGGAAAGGGTCTCTGAGCTTTTCTTACAGATTCCATTGCACTGAGACGATGGGGTTTTGTAGATATACAATCACGTCATCTGCAAAATCTCCTTAAGCTGATAAGCAACTTCAAGAAAGTCTCAGGATACAAAATCAATATGCAAAAATCACAAGCATTCTTATACACCAATAACAGACAGAGGGCCAAATCATGAGTGAACTCCCATTCACAATTGCTTCAAAGAGAATAAAATACCTAGGAATCCAACTTACAAGGGACGTGAAGGACCTCTTCAAGGAGAACGACAAACCACTGCTCAACGAAATAAAAGAGGATAGAAACAAATGGAAGAACATTCCATGCTCATGGATAGGAAGAATCAATATCGTGAAAATGGCCATACTGCCCAAGGTAATTTATAGATTTAATGCCATTCCCATCAAGCTACTGATGACTTTCTTCACAGAATTGGAAAAAAACTACTTTAAAGTTCATATGGAACCACAAAAGAGCCTGCATTGCCAAGTCAATCCTAAGCCAAAGGAACAAAGCTGGAGGTATCACGCTACCTGACTTCGAACTATACTACAAGACTACAGTAACCAAAACAGCATGGTACTGGTACCAAAACAGAGATATAGATCAATGGAACAGAACAGAACCCTCAGAAATAACACCACACATCTACAACCATATGATCTTTGATAAACCTGACAAAAACAAGAAATGGGGAAACGATTCCCTATTTGACAAATGGTGCTGGGAAAACTGGTTAGCCATATGTAGAAAGCTGAAACTGGATCCCTTCCTTACACCTTATACAAAAATTAATTCAAGATGGATTAAAGACTTAAATGTTAGACCTAAAACCATAAAAACCCTAGAAGAAAGCCTAGGCAATACCATTCAGGACATAGGCATAGGCAAGGACTTCATGTCTAAAACATCAAAAGCCATGACAACAAAAGCCAAAATTGACAAATGGGATCTAATTAAACTAAAGAGCTTCTGCACAGCAAAAGAAACTACCATCAGAGTGAACAGGCAACCTACAGAATGGGAGAACATTTTTGCAATCTACTCATCTGACAAAGGACTAATATCCAGAATCTACAAAGAGCTCAAACAAATTTACAAGAAAAAAACAACCCCATCAACAAGTGGGTGAAGGATATGAACAGACACTTCTCAAAAGAAGACACTTATGCAGCCAACAGACACATGAAAAAATGCTCATCATCACTGGCCATCAGAGAAATGCAAATCAAAACCACGAGATACCATCTCACACCAGTTAGAATGGCGATCATTAAAAAGTCAGAAAACCACAGGTGCTGGAGAGGATGTGGAGAAATAGGAACACTTTTACAGTCTCGGTGGGACTTTAAACTAGTTCAACCATTGTGGAAGACAGTGTGGCGATTCCTCAGGGATCTAGAACTGGAAATACCATTTGACCCAGCCATCCCATTACTGGGTATATACCCAAAGGATTATAAATCATGCTGCTATAAAGACACATGCACACGTATGTTTATTGCGGCACTATTCACAATCGCAAAGACTTGGAACCAACCCAAATGTCCAACAATGATAGACTGGATTAAGAAAATGTGGCACATATACACCATGGAGAACTATGCAGCCATAAAAAATGATGAGTTCATGTCCTTTGTAGTGACATGGATGAAGCTGGAAACCATCATTCTCAGCAAACTATCACAAGGACAAAAAACCAAACACCACATGTTCTCACTCATAGGTGGGAATTGAACAATGAGAACACTTGGACACAGGAAGGGGAACATCACACACCGGGGCATGTTGTGTGGTGGGGAGAGGGGGGAGGTATAGCATTAGGAGATATACCTAATGTAAATGACGAGTTAATGGGTGCAGCACACCAACATGGCACATGTATACATATGTAACAAACCTGCATGTTGTGCACTTGTACCCTAGAACTGAAAGTATAATAAAAATATATATATATATAAAGGTTCCATTGCAAAGTCCATGCTCCTTTTTAACTGCCTTTACCGTCAGCCTGTTCACTTAAGAATATTTACACATTTTTGCTTAACATATGATAATTTATTCAGTATTTGTCTGCTGAGCCTCTCCTGAAGTTTCTCACTAAGAAAAGAGTATAAACCAATTAAGAACCTAGATAACAAGAGACATTCTTAATTAACTCTGTGGAAATCATTTTAAAGCTCTCCTTAATGCAATAATTGTGACCAACCTGAAATTTATATTTGTTCTGCTTTTTACAACAAAATGATCTCAATTAGTTTGTATGCCTCCTCCTCCGGGGTCATGTTTTAACTCTATCTTGAAAGCCCTTGCTATGTTGTCAGTGGACAAAAGATGTCAAATAGTAAAGCAACGATCCAAAAATGGATGACATATTAGAACAAGGCACGAGGGTCTATTTTCTCATTAGAGTATAAGCTGAAGATAGGTTCATTCATTTATTTAGCAACCACTTATCGATTATCTAATGAAGTGGCAAGCATTAAGTCAGGCCCTATGAATACAGAGAGAAAAGACAGACTCTGCTATCAAATGGCTTGCCACCTAGGGAGGAAGAGGGACAAATGAACCCCCAGTTGGTATTGTGGCAGTGACAGAATGAGAAGAATGCACAGTGTGCCCTGCGAGCACAGAGGAAGACCACCCACCCAGCTCAGTCTCAGTGGTTAGCACAGGGCTTGGTGAGACAAACACCCTCTCTGCTAGGTGCCTTTATGCACAAGACAGGTTTCTTGACTAGATGTGGTAGCTCTGAAGCCAGACATGCTATGGGATTATAAAACTTGTTCTGTCAATATTATTTGTTCATCCACTTAGTGAATATTTAAGACTTGATGTGAAAATGAATAGTGGATTAATCTATCTTTAGGGAGAGTTTCACTTTTGTGCATGCTCTGTAATGGGGAACAAGAGGACTCGTACTTTTCTTAAGTCTTACCTTAAATGAGTTAGAGAGAAAGGCTTCAAGGGTATTATTGGGAAAGTTTTATGAAAAAGTGTTTATGTAATTTGTGAAACAGATTTACAATTGCCTGAGAAAGCTAAACGTAAAAGACTAGCTAGTACTATTGGTGTAGGGCAGATAAACAGAGGGCTCTGTTGACAGCAGGCTGAACTTCCACAGAAAGTAGGGCAAAGGTGTATGTTTTTAAGAAGCAAATGTTGACTTCCTTATAGAGAACAACTCTGGTGTTTCTCAAAAGGGACAACAGTGGGATGATCTGACTCTGATATTGTGATGAAACCCAAAACTCATGAGATAAAGGAGAAGATTTTAAGAAGTCAGTTAAGAAGAGACATTTTCTCATTAAAATATCTACATTGTGGTGGTCCTTGGTATGGAAACTCCATAAGGAACCTCTCAAGTGAAAGAACAAATAATATTACATTCTCCATATTCAAAAAACAAACATGCTAGTTTACCACCTTTTTGCACCTTGTGTTTCCCCCTTGCCAAAGCTTTGCAGAGGCCAGGACCTTTGGATAATAAGAAGGAAAGAGATGGATTAGAAAAGAGAGAAGTGATCTACTGTGCTATCCTTCCCAGCTCCACCAACTCTGGGCTTTTTGTTTGTTTCAGATCCCAGCTAGAAGAAGAGAAAAGATTTAAATTAAATGAAAACTTGGGGGAGGGGGGAGGGATAGCATTAGGAGATATACCTAATGTTAAATGACGAGTTAATGGGTGCAGCACACCAGCAGGGCACATGTATACATATGTAACAAACCTGCACGTTGTGCACATGTACCCTAAAACTTAAAGTATAATAAAAATAAATAAAAATAAAAAATAAAAATATTTTTTAAAAAAGAGTTTTAGCTATTATGCTGTACTGAACTAAAGTAACGTAACCATTACATTGGATTAGACTCTTAAATGTTAAAACAAAGGAAATATTTGCTTATGACTTAAGAGGAACAGAAAAACTGGGATACGGGTGAGTTTTCAGCCTGGGGTAGAAAAAAATAAAATCCCAGGGCAGGTTTTAAGGGACAACGGAATAAACAAATAAAATTGCTTTCTGCTGACATCCCGTTGAGTCCTGGTCTCTCAATAAACCAGTTAAGAAAGTATCATACGACATAAGTCAAATTGTTATCTATTTCTTGTGTGGTAGTGTTTTGATTGAGAATGATTTATATAAAAAGTCTTACACTGAATTGTAATTTCTGGATTTTTCTTTTGAAACATATTTATTTCTAAATGTGCTTTAATGTTCATAATAGTGTATACTCATTAAAAAATTATGGAGCCACAGAAAGATAGGAAGGAAGAAAACAGCCATGGGCCAACCCTTGGTTAATAGTTTGACATATTTCCTTTTAGTTATTTTAGGCATGTTTTCTTTACTTTTTGCTAACATTTTTGTAAATATACTACATTTTAAAAATTTGCATTCTGATTTTATTCCACCTAAAATTAAAATGAAAAGCATTTTCAGTGTTACCACAATTACTTTGAACCATCACTTTTTTCTTTTACTTTTTTATTATTAAGGTTTACGTTTGATATATTAACATGCACAGATCCTAATTACACAGTTCATTGAGTTTTTATAACATTAATTCATGTAACCATCAACCTAAAGAAGATAAAGAATAATTCCATTACCTTGAAAGTTCCCTTACGCCCCTTTAAAATCAAAACTTCCCACCCAAGAGCAACCATTGTTCTGATTTTTTTCTACTATAGTTTTGTTTGCCTTCAAATTTCATATAAATAGAATTACTAAGTTTATGCTCCACTGTATCTGGCTTTTTATGCTCAACATATTTTGGAGATTAATCCATGTTGTTGTGTGTGTCAGTAGTTAATTTCTTTTTATTGTTGAATAGTATTCCAATATACGACTACTTCACAATTTGGTTATCCATTGTCCTGTTAGTGGACATTTGGGTTATTTCTAGTTTGGGGCTATTTTGAATAAGGCTGTTTTAAACATTATTGTAAAAATCTTTTTTGTATATATATGTTTTCATTAATCTGGGACAACTGCTGAGTCACAGGTAGTTGATTATTTAATATTTTTAGAAACTACCAATTCTTTATTCCAAAGGTTTGAGAGTTTCTTTTACTCCACATCCTTTCTAACAGTTTTTCTGTCTTTTTCTTTTGTTTTTCATTTTTAAACACTTATAAATTCACAGTAAGTTGAAAAAAGAATACGTAGAGTGCTGTCAACTTTTTTCACTTAGCCTCCCCAAGTGGTGATACGTTACTTTAGTATAATTTGGAAGTGGACATTGCTACAATTCTGCTAAGTAGACTACAAACCTTATTCAATTTTCACCAGTTTCTACATGTGCTCATTTGAATGTGTCCCTGTGTATGCACCTGTGTGTGTGTGGCAGGGTTCGGGGTGGTCGTAAGTGGTTCTATGCAATTATATCCCACTTCTAACCACCACCACAAAGGAATACTCCAGTGCTATCCGTTTTTAGTTGCACCAACACCCCAAGATATCTTATATCTTGTCTGTGTGCTCTGGCAATCACTAATGTATTGTCAATCTCTACAACTATTATTTTGAATGTATTATATAAATGGAATTATTCATTAGGTGACCCTTTGAGACTGGCTTTTTTTTTTTTTTTTTTTACTAAGCATAATACTCTTGAGATTCATCCAATTTGATGGATGTATCAATAGTTTGTTTCATTTCATTGTCAAGTAATAGTCTATGAAATTAATATACCAGAATTTATTTAATCATTCAACTATAGAAGGACCTCTGGATTGTTTCCAGTTTTAATCTATTGTAAATAAAGGTGCTGTGAAAATAAATGTACAGGTTTCTGTGTGATGCTCAAGAATGCAATTGCTAGTTTGTATGGTGATGGCATGTTTAGTTTTATAAGAAACTGCCAAACTATCTTCAGGAGTGGTTGTATCAATTCTACATTCCTACCAGCAGTGTATGAGTGATCTGTTTCTCTCCATCCTTACCAGCATTTGGTATTAACCACTAATTTGTTTTAGTTCAGCTGTTTTTATAGGTGATATTGAACATCTTTTCACATGCTTATTTGCATTCCATATATCTCTTTAGTCAAATGTCTCTTCATATCTTTTGCATATTTTCTAATTCAATCTTTTGGGATATTTTTTAATTTTGAGCATCATTTATTCATTCTAGATACAGGTTCTTTGTTGTGTGTGATATTTCTCACAAATCTGGAGCCTGTCTTTTTATTCTCTTAACAGCCTTTCTCAAAGCAAAACTTTTAAATTTTGATAGAGTGAAATTTATCATTTTTCCTTTTGAAGGATCATGCTTTTGGTGTCATGGGTAAGGACTCATCACTTGGCCTCCAGTTCCAAAGATTTTCTTCTAAGAATTCTTCTAAATGTTTGATAGATTTACATTTTACATTTAAACTCATAACCTATTTTCAAATAATTTGTGTATAATGTGAGAGCTTTAGGCTGAAGTTCATATTTTGTCTATTACTCCACAAGTATTTGTTGAAAAGACGGCCTTTCCTCTTCTGAATTGTTTTTATACCTTCGTCAAAAATCAGCTGGGGTATTTGTGTGGGTCTGTTTCTGGTCTCTCAATTCTGTTGCATTGATCTATGTATCTGTCTCTCTGTCAATAATACACTCTCTTGATGCTATTAGCATCAGATCGAATGATTCATCCAGTTTTATTCTTTTTTTAGAAAATTGTTTTAGCTGTGCTAGCTATTTTGCCTTTTTATATAAATTTTAGTTTAAGCTTGTCAGTATCTACCCAAACTCTTGATAGAATTTTAATAGGCATTGCATTAAGTCTATATATCACTTTGGGGATAATTATCATCTTTGTTACGTTAAGTCTTTCATTCCATGGACATGTTATGTATCTCCATTTATTTAGATCTTCTAGTTCTTTCATCAGCATTTTATTATTTACAGCATATCATTCCTATATTACTTTTAGATTTATACCAAAGTATGTCTCTTTTCTATCAATTGTAAATGATATTGTACTTTTAATTTTGATTGTCACATGTTCATTGCTAGAAAATAGAAATCAGATAAATTTCTGTGTATTGATCTTGTATCCTGAGACCTTGCTGAACTCTCTTATTAGTTCTAGGAGGTTTTTGGTTTTATAATTTCCATGGGAATTTTTTACATAGACAGTTGTGTCATCTGTAAATAAAGAAAATATATTTTATAATTTCTAATCAGTATGTCTTTTTTTACCTTATTGCCATGGCAAGGAATTTCAGTACTACGTTGAATAAGTGTAGTGAGAGTGAGCATCCTTGCCTTGTTTACATTTTTTAACTTTTGAAATTCTAGCATGTGAGGGTTGTGGTATCTCATTGTACTTTTAGTTTGCATTGCCCAGATGAATAATGGTACTAAGAACCTTTTAATGTGTTTAATCTCCATTCTTATATCTTATTTTGGAAATTTTTTTCCTACATTCTAATCTAAAATCATTAAAATATTAGATTGGTATATTTAGGTGCATAATAAATAACAAACATCTAAATACTTTTTGGTACATAGCAGAAGATAGAGTTCCTTTGTTTTTCATGTGAATATCTTCTTGCAGCACAATTTGTTGTGAAACATTTTCTTTACCCATTGAATTGAATTTGAAATCAGTTAATATATGTATGTATTTATTTCTGACATTCTATTATTTTCCTTTAGTCCTCATGTCTACATTTATGCCAATCCCACAATGTCCTAATTATTGTAGTGATACGGGAGGGGACAGGGAAGTGCTGGGTAGAGAAGGGCAGGGTCCCTGGTGAGGGCTCCAATCTCGGACCTGTCCCACAGACCTAAATGTAGACAGACATTTCTGTTTTTACACCCAAAAAGTTGCTTTTTGGCCCACTATGCCTCCATCCTGTGCCCATAAAAACCCAAGACCCCAGCAGGCACACACACAAGTGGCTGGATGTCAAGAGGAACGGAAGAACACACTGACAGATACCAGCAGATACTGGCAGACCAGCAACAGTGGAATGACACAGACACCAAGGGGAATTCAGCCGGGGGCAGTCGGAGGACAGTCCAGGCACTGGGAGGCCCAACTCCAGGAGAAGACCACCTTCCCACTCCATTCCCCTTCCGGTTCCCCATCCATCTCACCGAGAACTGCCTCCACCAATCAATAAAACCTTGCACTCATCCTCCAAGCCCACGTGTGATCCAATTTGTCTGGTACACTAGGGCAAGAACCCAGGATATAGAAAGCCCTCTGTCCTTGCAATAAGGCAGAGGGTCTAATTGAGCTGATTAATACAAGCCATCTGCAGATGGCAAAGCTGAAAAAGCACACTATAAGACATGCCCGCTTGGGCTTCGGGGGCTATAAGCACTCAACCCTAAACACTGTCGTGGAGTCGGACCCTAAAAACACTCCCCACGACCTGCCCATTTGCATGCTTCTCCTAGGGGTTTGGGCAGTGGGGGAAGATAAGGGAACTCCCATTTCAGTAGCTTCATAGATATCTTGAAATTAGATAGTGCTAAGTCATCAAACTTTGTACTTCATAATGCAACTTTTTTTTGACTATTTCAGATTATTTTCATTTTTATATAAACTTTAGAATCATATTGTCAATTTCTAAAAGAAGGAAGCTGCAGAAATTTTGGAGGAAGTATGTTGAATCTACTGAAAAGTTTAGGGAGAATGATATCTTAAAATTTTTATTTTTTCCTATCCATGAAAATATTATATCTCTTCATTTATTTAGGCCATCTTAAATTCAGTGTAACGCCTTCATTAGTTTTTAGCTACAGCTCTTCATTTTATTTTTTATGGTTGCTTTAGTGATTACAGTAGGCATCCTCATCTTATTTCAGTATGACTTAAGTCCTTATTATAGCATTTCACACACAAAATAAGAAACTTAGAAGAGTATAATACCATTTACAACTCTCCAAATAGTTGTGTTAGTGTTGTTCAATTTTTCACTTTTACACACGATATAAACTCCAAAATACAGATTTTTAACTTGATTATTATTTTTTGGCACTTGGTTTCCCATTCATTGATATCAAAGCAAAATATTATCTTTTTTTTTTTTTTTTTTTTTTTTTTGAGACGGAGTCTCGCTCTGTCGCCCAGGCTGGAGTGCAGTGGCGCAATCTTGGCTCACGGCAAGCTCCGCCTCCCAGGTTCACGCCATTCTTCTGCCTCAGCCTCCCGAGTAGCTGGGGCTACAGGCACCTGCCACTACACCCGGCTAATTTTTTGTATTTTTAGTAGAGACGGGGTTTCATCGCATTAGCCAGGATGGTCTCAGATCTCCTGACCTCGTGATCTGCCCGCCTCGGCCTCCCAAAGTGCTGGGATTACAGGCATGAGCCACGGCACCCGGCCGCAAAATATTATCTTAAAAGGTTCAGCATTTCATTTTTCTTGGGTGAATACCTAGGAGTGACTTTCGATAGGAGAATATTCAAAGTTTTAAGAAAATACCAAATGATTTTCCAAAGTGTTGGTAGCATTTTACATTCCCACCAGCATTACAGAAGTGTTCCAGGGCTTCACAACCTTGCTAACTCTTACTATAGTCAGGGTTTTACATTTAAGTTGCTTAAGTTGGATTATAGTATTCTCTACTTGCAGTTTTAATTTGCATTTCCTTAATGACTAATGACATTGAGCATCTTTTCAAGAGCTTATTTTCCACTTGCATATCTTTTCTGAGTAAGTGTCTGTTAAAATATTTAACCTATTTTTAATTAGATTGTCTTATAACTGAGTTGTAGAAGTTCTTTATGTAGTCTAGATACATGTCCTTTGTCAGGTATGTTTTTTAAAAAATATTTCTCCTGCTCTAAAATTTTTTTTCTAACAGTTTTCTTAGAAGAATAAAGGGATTTTTCTAATTTTTAAAATGTTTAATTTGTTGATCTTTTATAGGTTGTGAGGTATTTTGGTATTGTTCCATCTTAAGAAATCTATTTTTAGATCTATGATGAATTTTGAGTGAATTTTATATATGGTGTGAGGCAAAGAAAAAGGTCTTCTTTTTTAATCACAGAGATATCCACTTATTTTATTTGTGTGTATGTGTGGAGTTGCTTTAGAGTTTACAATATACTTCTTTAACTTCTTATAGTCGGTCTTCAAGTGATACTCTACTAATTTATGAGTAGCATAAGAACTTTGCAAGAGAATATTTCCATTTTCTCCTTGTGGCCTTTGGTCAATTGCTATCCAATAACTTTATTTCAGACACATCATTAAAAATTTTTAGAATCACACAGTGGCAACTCCCTTTATATTGTATGTATTTCAGATAGCTATTGAACATAATCAAACAAGCAAGAACTCCATCCAAAATACAACAGAAATTTAATCTTCTCACAGCCTACTGACTACTGATTTCACCTTGAAAGCATCCTTATATGATTGTAACAACAGATTTGTGTTTATCAGAATAATGTCATGTAAATGGTGGTAAACTATATTTCACATATGGAGAGTTAATTACTACTGCATTATAATATAAAATTAAAAGAAAATTATACTTCTGAGATAAATGTAGACTTAATTGAATTTCTCAAATGCATTTAGGCACACAATAAGTATTAATAATGTTATTAAATATTAAATAGCAAATGATTATCTAGTTTCAAGAGCAAAGAAATTATTGTCATTTTTAAGCTAAATTCTCCACCATGAAAACACTGCAACTAATTTAAAAAAACAACAAATAGAAGTACAAACACATTCACGCCTGTAATCCCAGCACTTTGGGAGGCCGAGTCGGGCGGATCATGAGGTCAGGAGATCGAGACCATCCTGGCTAACACAGTGAAACCCCGTCTCGACTAAAAATACAAAAAAATTAGCCAGGTGTTGCGGCAGGCACCTGTAATCCCAGCTATTCAGGAGGCTGAGGCAGAAGAATGGCGTGAACCCAGGAGACGGAGCTTGCAGTGAGCAGAGATCGCGCCACTGCACTCCAGCGTGGGCGACAGAGTGAGACTCCGTCTCAAAAAAAAAAAAGAAGTACAAGGACATTGGCTCATAGGTATTATCAACCAATGAACCAATGTCTAATTGTCAAATTATGATTGTCAATTTCCTTCCACCAGACATTCCTTTGTAATAGAGTGTTTGCACATCTGTTGATAGATAACCACTCAGTCATCATTTGGGGCATTAGTCCACCAGGTGGTGTATATATTTGATACAAGGTAATTTTTCTAAGGACACACTGAAACTAGAATTTCCAAAGTAGCCATTTGTTTTATTTCATGTTTTGGCATGGAACACAATTTTATGTCATTCAAAACAGATTATAGCCATTTCATCACTGTTCCTGCCTTGTAAGTGTCAACATTATTGTATTGACAATAATTGTAATGTTTTGGAATGTATCTTTTGATAATGGTGATAACTTATGTTGGAAAATTCTAAAACATAACTAAATATTATAGCATCGTTGAATGGAAAAGGATTTTGAAAGCTCATTTATATTTATTCTCCAGCTTTTGAACTAAACCTCAGTCACTTTAATCTACCCCTAAATTTAATAAGTGTTTTAGTCTCCTAGAAAAGGAAATGTTCATTTCCTGTGAAATAATTTTAATATGTAGAAATTTTTAAAAGATATAACCCCAAGGCAAACAAATGAAAACTGTCATGTGTATATCATTTGCATTGCCCAAAACTTTACAATAATAATACAGTAATGTCTAAAATTTGATCAGCAGTTTAAATTTTACAAAGTTAATATTAGCAATATTAATATTATTCCCAGTTTATAGAATATTGGGGGAACCAGCCCCCCATATTTCAACATACGTTCTTTTCTATTTTCCCTAAGTGTCGGCCAGTCTGAGAAATAAAGAGTACAAGGAGAGAAATTTTACAGCTGGGCCTCCGGGGGTGACATCACATATCAGCAGGTTCCATGATGCCCACCTGAGCCACAAAACCAGCAAGTTTTTATTAGGGATTTTAGAAGGGGAGGGGATGTACGAACAGGGAGTAAGTCACAAGGATCACATGCTTCAAAGGGCCATAAAAGATCACAAGGCAGAGGGCAGAGAAAGATCACAAGGCAAGGGCGAAATTAGAATTACTGATGAGGCTCCATGTCCCACTGGGCATGCATTGTCTTGATAAACATCTTAACAGGAAACAGCGTTCGAGAGCAGACAACTGGCCCGACTAGAATTCACCAGGCTGGAATTTCCCAATCCTAGTAAGCCTGAGGGCACTGCAGGAGACCAGGGCATATTTCATCCCTTATCTCAACCGCATAAGACAGACGGTCCCAGAGTGATCATCTGTAGGCCTACCCCTGAGAATGCATTCCTTCCCCAGGGTTATCAATTATTAATATTCCTTGCTGGGAAAAGAATTCAGCGATATTTCTCCTACTCACACATTCATTTATAGGCTGGCTGTGAGAAGAAAAATATGGCTCTATTCTGCCCAACCCTGCAGGCAGTCAGAACTTATGGTTATCTCCCTTGTTCCCTGAAAATAGCTGTTATTCTGTTCTTTTTCAGGGTGCACTGATTTCATATTGTTGAAACACACATGTTTTACAATCAATTTGTACAGTTAATGCAATCATCACAGGGTCCTGAGGTGACATACATCCTCAGCTTATGAAGAAGATGGGATTAAGAGATTAAAGATAGGCATGAGAAATTATAACAGTATTGATTGGGGAAGTGATAAATGTCCATGAAATCTTCACAATTTATGTTCAGAGACTGCAGTAAAGACAGGCATAAGAAATTATAAAAGTATCAATTTTGGGAACTGATAAATGTCCATTAAATCTTCACAATTTATGTTCTTCTGCCGTGGCTTCAGCTGGTCCCTCTGTTCGGGGTCCCTGACTTTCCACAACAATAGAAGAGACAAGATCAGAATTATATATGCTGTACTCAAACTCATAGTAAAATAGCAATTGAAACGTATACTGTATATATAAAACTAGTTTGTAAAATGTAAATAGGTCCGATAAACCAGTTTTGAAGTACATGAAAAACATCTCATATTTGAACCTAAGTCTTCTGTCCCATTCTCTGTTCTTTTTTTCATTCGGCCACACTGCTTCTCTAGTACATATTCACTAAAGGCATTAAGTAACTCCTGTGATTATGTCTATGTGGGACTACAGGTCTGCTAAGGTCTGCTAATTTGATTGAAGTATCCAACCAATTCCTTTAAATAAATGAATTTTCAACATCAAATTTGACATTCTTCAGAACTCAGTTTAGACCCTTATTCTTGAAAGTTATAACTTAATCCTCCAAAACTGGGTTAGGTGGCCATTCTCCATCATTACACAGCACACTTTATTTACTCTATCTTAAAGTTTATTATATATAAGGCCAGGAGTGGTGGCTCATGCTTGTAATCCCAGCACTTTGGGAGTCCGAGGTGGGCAGATCACAAGGTCAGGAGTTCGAGACCAGCCTGGCCAATACGGTGAAACCCTGTCTCTACTAAAGACACACAAAAAATAGCCAGGCGTGGTGGCACATGCCTATAATCCCAGCTACTAGGGAGACTGAGGCAGAATTGTTTGAACCCGGGAGGCAGAGGTTGCAGTGAGCCGAGATCGTGCCACTGCATTCCAGCCTAGGTGACAGAGCAAGACTCTGTCTCAAAAAAAAAAAAAATAAAAAAAGGTTTATTATTTTCCAGTATTTGTAATTGTTCTATTATTTGCTTTCTGATCAACTGGATTGTATGTAACTAAAGGGTAGGCAATTTTTGTTCCCCTTGTTCATTTTATAGCTGTAGTACCTAACATAATTGTTAGTATGTAGTAGATATCATATAAAAAATCTAGGCTTAATGAAAGAATAAATTTAACTGTTGGTAGTGAAATTAGGGTAGGAATGGTTATAAAGAGTTGATTTGTCTAGCCTCTGTCAAGACTGGTTACAGATCTGAATGGATACAGATTTCTTAATGAATGAATAATCTGTTCTGTTTCTACTCCTACCTTAAGCCACTAGGTTGAAGCTTAGACAAGGAGGATGAATAACATTGTCCTGCCAGTTGTACAGATGTTCACCCAATATTCATGAATTACAAATTTAAGATCTAATCATTAGTGATGCCTAAGTCAATGATTTAGTCGTGTGCTGATTAAGTTTTCTGATGATTAATGATCAACAGTAGCATCCTACCATAGCAGAAGGCTCCACTTGCTTATTGGGCCACTGATTCTGCTCTAATCACAGCTAGCTGTCCAGAGGAACTTGGTTAAAGACCAAGATTCTGAAGAAAAATCAATCCTCATAGTTGAATATGTAGCTTAAATTACCTGCTCAAATGTTGATTGGTTGCCTAATCATTGCAGAATAGACTATAGACTCTAATTAGGGTGTAGCTCTGAAATTATGCGAAAAGGTCAGGAAACATCATTCTCCAAAGCTTACACTGATTAGGATCAATATTAAATGGATTAGATTGCTCATATGGAGAAATCTTCCACCATAAGAGATGAACTGTAAATGTTATTTCTACTGGGGTTTCTTCCAGAACTTGATCTTAGGCACTGTAACCCCACCTCGTCAAGAGGACTAAAATATACACTTTTTGTAAAACTTTGGTGGTGGAGCTGTTTGCAGAGTGTTTCAGAATTAAGACTGAACTGGTGTCTACACAATGCTCTCCAGGAGAGCAAGAGTCTATATTCAGCAGATGTTATTTTTCTGTTCACGTGCTCTCAAAAAGTGTTCTTTACGGTGCAATGAGGAGAATTCTCTATTCATATAAGATTCTTCAACTCCTTCCCACATTAAAGGGCCTCCTTTTGACTTATATATTGAATGCCACATGAAGGGTATATCATAGACAGCAGGAATTATCAGGAAAGTTATGCCTGTTCATTCTCTCTTTTTTAAGTGTACCCTTTCAGTGTATCAATCCATTTTAAGATGTTGGTTGGCATGATCAAGGGAAGAGACTGCCACAACCCTTCTCTCTGCTAGTTAATATGTGTGTGCATGTAACACTTTAGATAATAATGCACTTGGATAGTTTGGTCTCAGGTGGCTATAACTTTTTCCTTTTCCTTTTTACTTTCAAAATGGCATTTTTTCCTTAAGAGCACTTGAAAATAAAATATTTGTTATTGCTTAAAAACAAAATACCTTTTATAGAAATGTCTCTTTGTGTGTGTTTGTTTATTCTCTTCCTTGTCCAACCCCATTTTTTCCCCTTAGAAAGAACTACGATCTGTTATAAACTTTGCTTATTTATAGTAGATCAAATGAGTCTCTAGGTGCACATTACAAAAATTAAAACATAACTTCCTGGCCAGGAGTAGTGGCTCAAGCCTTTAATCTCATGTCTTTGGGAGACTGAGACAGGAGGATCACTTGAGCCCAGGAGCCCAGGAACTCACTCAAGACCAGCCCTGGCAACATAGTAAGACCCTGTCTCTCAAATAAATAAATAAATAAATAAATAAATAAATAAATACATAAATAAATTAGAGGGGCATGGTGGCACACACCAGTAGTTCTAGCTATTGGCAGGCTGAGATGGGAGGATCGCTTGAGCCCAGGAGTTCCAGGCTGTAGTGAACCATGATGAAGCCATTGCACTCCAGCCTGGGTGACAGAAGACTCTGTCAAAAAAAAAAAAAACCCAAACCTCATGGCTTCTTATGACTTTTGATTGATTTAAAAGAGAAGCTGCTCCCTGCCCCTCTGTGCCTTATTCTTACAGTCCAAGCTCGTCCAACCTGCAGCCCACTGGCCTCATGTGGTCCAGGACAGCTTTGAGTGCAGCCCAATACAAATTCATAAACTTTCTTAAAACATTAGAATTTTTTTCAACCCTTTTTTTTTAGCCTATCAGCTATGGTTAGTGTTAGTGTCTTTTACGTGTGGCCCAAGACAATTCTTCTTCTTCCAATATGGCCCAGAGAAGCCAAAAAGATTGGACATCCCTGTCCATCTGTGAGCACTCTCATATCTTTGCTTGCTATTAGGGATTTTCATTAACAAAATTGAAAACCTTATCCCAAATATTTTATTTTCCAAAGGTGCATGCATACCATTTAAATAACAAGGACATGTAAGTACTTGTGCAGTGTTTTTTGTAGAAAAATTCCCCCAAATTGTACATCTTATGTTTTGTAGTATTTGACTTGTATAAAGCTGGCTTTGCAGATGGACCAAAACTATTCTGTGGTCAAATTTTAGAGGCTCACTTTCTTCAGAATACACACACACACACACACACACACACACACACTTATTATAATGTTTAACATTACATTATTAGATAAGCATTCCTTTGGATTTAAAACATATTTATATCTTCTAAAGTTTTCTTTTTAAATAGAAATACATTTGGTTAGGGGAGCTCCTTAGGCCCTTATCAGATCCATCATTTGCTAAGAATCATGTAATGCAATAATAACAGCAAAGTTTTAAATTGGTGGGATTTCAGCAGCACAGCCGTTTAATAGACATGCTAACAAGGTGTCTGCAAAGAAGCGATAAACCCCAACATCACTCATTTCCAAATTTTTATCAGAGCCTAATGTAATCACATATGTAAGGACATTTGTTCAATAAAATATTGGTATAGGCCTTTAACATTTAGTAAAAATGTTGGAGCAGGAAGAACTCTTAGAGATCCCCTCATTCAAATCCTTCACATTACAGAGGAAAAAGAAAAAGGCTTAAAGAGTGGCTTGAGTCCTAATTCAGTTTTTCTTCCTCTAAGCCAAACTGATCTTGCCACTGTGCTATAGAGAAAGTGTTGGTACAAACTTACTAATTAAAGTTTTTTATGTGACAGAAAAGTATATATCCCTGCCTTTTGATAACATAAGCCATATGCTCTCACATAAACCTGATCTTCTAAAGCTAGAGTACACAGGCAAGACATATAATTTTCTTTTTCTTTTTTTTGAGTTGGAGTCTCGCTCTGTCACCCAGGCTGGAGTGCAGTGGTGTGATCTTGGCTCACTGCAACCTCCGCCTCCTGGGTTCAAGCGATTCTCCTGCCTCAGCCTCCTGAGTACCTGGGATTATAGGTGCCTGCCACCACAGCTGGCTATTTTTTGTTTTTTTAGTAGAGACGGAGTTTCTCCATGTTGGCCAGGCTGGTCTTGAACTCCTGACCTCAGGTGATCCACCCGCCTCAGCTTCCCAAAGTGCTGGGATTACAGGCATGAGCCACCGCGCCCGGTCAAGACATACAACTTTCTACACAAGTTAAGAGAAGATAAATGCCTTACTTTAGCACACACTGAAAGCTCATTTACACTACAAATGGTGTTCAAGGTGAAGAGTTAGGGTTAGTCATCATGCACAAGTAGAATAAGTTGTCCTCCAATATCTGATTCACCAATATTTCCCATTATACCTGAAATTTCACTATCAGAGAAATCATTCATCTCTACAAAAGTTTTTAGTTTAAAAAACATTCATAGTTGAGGAGCTCTTAATTTTTCTGACTGCTTCCCAAGGGTCCCGCTAGATGCTGGCAGGCCCCACAGGAATGCATGACCAGCAAGGTAAAGTATGTTAAAGAAGAATAAAAATGGAGGCCACAGTGTAGATATACCCTCAAAGCCAACGCCTGGAGCCACGTAGTTAAAATTTAAGTCATTCTGATTTCCCCCAAACACTAGCTCTCCTTATAAACCTAACACAGAATGTAAGCATCATGTTCTTTCAACATGATTCAGTGAAATAAAGCCAATCAGCTATAGACAAATCAATTTAAACATCTCTGCTTGCCGTAACAAGAATGTTAATGTTAGCAGCCAATCACAGAAAAGGTCAAAGTACTTTCTTCTTTATGCTTTATAAACTATGCTATAACAACTGTGAGCAGGGCTTCTCACCACTTTCAGCTTGAGGTCTCCCGGTTCACAAACTGATTTTTTGTATGCACAATAAACTTTAAATTTTTTTTCTAACTTGATTTCATTTTGGTTTTGACAAGGTTGATGGAGAAGTGAAACTACGTACAGAATGTAAGGCACCATTTATGAGGGTGACACTTGGCACTGCATTAGAGAACGTTGGACCATAATTAACACCTATGGGATTGTATAAATTGGGATGTGAATGCAGTATGTGGAGGTGATCAAAAAGTACTGAAACTCCTTCCATTTTGCTAAGAGCCAGCTATGGTTATGGGAAAAGATCTGGAAGAAAAGAGAGCAGTGACCCATACAAAAGATGGCTGGCATTTACTGGTGTTTTACATGTGGAGGGCTTTGTGCTAGGCTCCAGGGCTAGGCAATAATACATATTTCTTAAATTTTAAGGACAAAAAAATTTAAAACTTCTCAACTAAAGTGATTTCTTACATACAATAGCTATAAACTTCTAAGAAAGCATCTCTCTGTTCAGACCTGCACTGTAGCTTCTGTTTATAAAAGTACCAAAGTCTGCTCAAGCTTAGACATAAAGAAAGTGAAAGATCTAACATTTAGAGTTCTTAACTAGGTTCAATTCTCCAAGTTTATTATTCTGCAAGGCAAGTAGTTGCACATCGTTGAGAGACTAATGGTGCAAAATGAAGAGAAAGTTTCAATTCATTGAAAGTCGATTATATCATTCTCAGCGTAACACAGTACCCCGATGATTTCAATCTAGCCTTGCTACAAATTTTGCTAACTTCTGGCTACAGTCTGGATCCTTCTTTAGACTGGCAGCTTCAAGAGTAAATTAACCCAAAGTCAATAATATCTGACACTTTTTTCTGTCTTTCGATATATGTTTCAGCTTTTCCTCCACTTACTGTATCTTCAGCTCAGGTTTTGACTCTAAACTAGAACTTGACATTCAGTTAGACTGCTTTGATGGGCAAAGGAAGTACGTGCCTCATGAATGTTTTCTATTTTGAAGTGGTTCAACTGCCTGTGGTGAGCGTGGAATGTAAAACCAATGCCTCCTTGCTAATTGTGAAATCCTTCAGCTTTGTGCTGGGGGTCAAACCCAATCATTCCATTTGTTCAATAGGCATCTAATTGAGAGCTATGGAAATCTAACATGTTGGTTAAGACAAATGATCTGTACATACCAATATGGGTCCCCTTGTTCTGGAAATGCTGCTGTGGCTAACATGAGAAGAGTGCAGGATCCCTCCCCCAGGTGAGGACCATTACAAAATTTACATTTAGAGAGTACAGTGGGGTAGTTAAGTTCCCAGGCTATGGAGCCAGACTGCCTGGATTCAGATATTTGCTCCACTTTCTGCAGTTTGACCATGTGGTACATCTGACTTAACATCTCCATGTCCAGTTTTCTTATTTGCAAAACCAAGAAAATAATGGTACCTACTGCATGTGGTTTTAGTGAGGGTTAAATATATGTAACATACTTAGAACACATAAAAATCACTCATGTTATTTATTGTTACTATGGTTTTTAATTTTATTAGATGCCAAGCCTTTTGCTGGGAGCTGAAAGTATTTTCAGGGATGAAAATATGTTTTAGTAGGGGAGGCAAGCAATTATCATACATGTGATCATTGAGGTAACTAGCCAGCTCTCAGGGGAATCAGGGAAGGTTGCATTGGGGATATTATTCTAAAATTGTGCATGGAAGATGTGTAGGAGTTAGGCAGAGTGTGAAGGCACATTACAGGAGTAACAGTGTTATAAAAAGAGAGAACAGCCATGAGACTAGAGAGCATGTGGTGGGTTTAGGGTACTGAGAAAAGTTCAATATGGTTGATGGAGGCTCATACTGATCCAGACTGGGGAAAGATCACACAGGACCTTGAAATGCATCTCTAGAAATTTCGATATTACCATACAGGCAATGGGAAATCTTGAAGCATTTAAGCAGAAGGATGACTGGATCACATTTGCGTTTTAAATGATTACTTTGGCTGCAACATATATTGAGGGTAGGAATAGAAAGAAAAGTTAAGAGGCTGCGGGGAGAACAATAATCTGAACTAACATAGAGGCAATGGGATGCAGATAAGCAGAAGGAATAGAGAGATTCTAAGGAGGTAAGTCAGCAGCACTCGCTGATTGATAGGATGTGAGGGTGAGACAGAAGGATTCAAGGATTTGATTAATGGAGTGATTGTGGTGTATCCACAGCATGGAGACCAAGGCCATCTCAAGTTTTTACTTGATATTTTCCCCTTATCCCAGTATAGGAAACAGAAGATGAGGTGCATACTAGGAAGGGATGAGTAATAATTTGGTTTTAGACATTGTGATGTGAAGTGCCTGTAAAGCTACTAAATGAAAATGTCTTGGGAAGTGAATCTGGAGCTCAGAAAAGAAATCATGGTGTAGCCTGTGTGTTAATAAGGTCCATTGGTTACTCCCTGGAGCTGGATCAATTAGATAGGTTTCTTTTTAATTTTTTTTTTAATTTTTGGAAGTGCATAGTAGGTGTGTATATTTATGGGGCACCTGAGATACTTTAATATAGTCATACACTGTATAATAATCACATCAGGGTAAATAGGGTATCCATCGCCTCAAGAATTTATCATTTCTCTGGGTTACAAACATTTTAATTATACTCTTTTAGTTATTTTTACATGTGGAATAAATTATTGTTGACTGTAATCACTATGTTGTGCTATCAAATACTAGATCTTATTCATTCTGCTTTTGTACCCATTAACCTAGATAGGTTTCTTAAATTGACCTACAATGGATTTTATTTCAAGCTTTTGTCAGCTATATTCTAGTGGTGCTCTCAAATCTTTGAAGAGTTTATCTAAACAGTTTTCACATTTTTCCCTGAAAATGTGACATTTTAGTTTCAATAATAATTTAATTCAGCCTAAATCAGCTGAGAGCCCAAGGTATCACATAGTTAGCAACCATGCTAAGGTATTTTAGACAACCATATGGTGTCTATTCTTGGTTTTAGTTTTCATTCTAAGTGTGATATTTGCCAAAGCCATTCACTTTCTTGGCTACCAGCTTATTTGTTTCTAATGAGGGGATGGTAATAGTGGTGACATCTTGCCCTTCCTTAGCAGAAAGGTTTGGTAAACAGTGGTGACTTTCTCAGTTCAACATTCTATTTGTTAGTCATTAAGTACTCATTTAAAAATGTTCGGGCTCCTCAGAGTCAATCCAGTGCACTGACACGAGTTTCTAATACTCATAAAAACCTAAATCTATCTGATTGAAACAGTCAATATAGCAACTAAGTTGGGACATGAACTGATCATGTTGCTACTTAACAGAAGAGTTTCAGTGGGCCTTTACCACAGAATAAAAAATAATAATAAAACCTATATTTCACTTTGGATATAAGGATGTAGCTATATTTCCCTATCTAGAGAAGATTTACAATAAAGAGGACAAATAAAACCTTAAGTCAGATAAATTAGCCATAGTGAAACTGGATCCATCCCAGGTTGCCCAGATACAGCATCTCCAAACTTCAAGTAAATCATCTTTGAGTACTTTGTATCACAATGATAACTCTAAGCTCTAATATTTATTACATTTGTTATTATCTATTTTTGTATGGGAATGTTTTTTATTATACTTTAAGTTCTGGGATACATGTGCAGAACATGCAGGTTTGTTACATAGGTATACACGTGCCATGGTGGTTTGCTGCAACCATCAACCTGTCATGTACATTAGGTATTTCTCCTAATGCTATCCCTCCCCTAGCTCCCCACCCCGATAGGCCTTGGTGTATGATATTCCCCTCCCTGTGTCCATGTGTTCTCATTGTTCAACTCCCACTTATGAGTGAGAACATGCAGTGTTTGGTTTTCTGCTCATGTGTTAGTTGGCTGAGAATGACGGTTTCCAGCTTCATCCATGTCCCTGCAAAGGACACGAACTCATCCTTTTTATGGCTGCGTAGTATTCCGTGGTGTATATGTGGCACATTTTGTTTATCCAGTCTATCATTGATGGGCATTTGGGTTGGTTCCAAGTCTTTCCTATTGTGAACAGTGTTGCAATAAACATATGTGCAAATGTGTCTTTATAGTAGAATGATTTATAATCCTTTGGGTATATACCTAGTAATGAGGTTGCTGAGTCAAATGGTATTTCTGGTTCTAGATCCTTGAGGAATCGCCACACTGTCTTCCATAATGGTTGAACTAATTTACACTCCCACCCATGTGTAAAAGCATTCCTATTTCTCCACATCCTCTCCAGCATCTGTTTTTTTCCTGACTTTTTAATGATCGCCATTCTAACTGGCATTTGATTTGCAGTTAATGACCAGTGATGATGAGCTTTTTTTCATATGTTTGTTGGCCACATAAATATCTGTTTCTGAGGAAGTGTCTGTTCATATCCTTCACCCATTCTTTGATGGGTTTTTTTTTTCTTGTAAATTTGTTTCAGTTCTTTGTAGATTCTGGATATTAGCCCTTTGTCAGATGAATAGATTGTAAAACTTTTCTCCCATTCTGTAAGTTGCCTGTTCACTCTGACGATAGTTTCTTTTGCTGTGTAGAAGCTCTTTAGTTTAATTAGATTCCATTTGTCAATTTTGGCTTTTGTTGACATTGCTTTTGGTGTTTTAGTCATGAACTCTTTGTCAATGCCTATGTCCTGAATGGTACTGCCTAGGTTTTCTTCTAGGGTTTTAGGTCTCACATATAAGTCTTTAATCCATCTTGAGTTAATTTTTGTGTAAGTTGTAAGGAAGGGGTCCAGTTTCAATTTTCTGTATATGGCTAGCCAGTTTTCCCAACACCATTTATTAAGTAGGGAATCCTTTCCCCATTGCTTGTTTTTATCAGGTTTGTCAAAGATCAGATGGTTGTAGATGTGTGGCATTATTTCTGAGGCCTATGTTCTTTTCCATTGGTCTAGATATCTGTTCTGGTACGAGTACCATGCTGTTTTGGTTACCATAGCCTGGTAGCATAGTTTGAAGTCAGGTAGCATGATGCCTACAGCTTTGTTCTTTTTGCTTAGGATTGTCTTGGCTATACTGACTCTTTTTTGGTTCCATATGACATTTAAAGTAGATTTTTCTAATTCTGTGAAGAAATACAATGGTAAATTGATGGGGATAGCATTGAATCTATAAATCACTTTTGGCAGTATGGCCATTTCATAATACTGATTCTTCCTATCCATGAGCATGGAATGTTTCTCCATTTGTTTGTGTCCCCTCTTATTTCCTTGAGCAGTGGTTTGTAGTTCTCCTTGAAGAGGTCCTTCACATCTCTTGTAAGTTGTATGTATTTTATTCTCTTTGTAGCAATTGTGAATGGGAGTTCACTCATGATTTGCCTCTCTGTTTGTCTATTATTGGTGTATAGGAATGCTTGTGATTTTTGCACATTGATTTTGTATCTTGAGACTTTGCTGAAGTTGCTTATCAGCTTAAGGAGATTTTGGGCTGAGACGATGGGGTTTTCTTTTTCTATTTTTTTTTTTTTGACATGGAGTCTTGCTCTGTTGCCCAGGCTAGAGTACAGTGGCGCAATCTCGGCTCACTGCAACCTCTGCCTGCCAGGTTCAAACAATTATCCTGCCTCAGCCTCCCGAGTAGGTGGGAATACAGGCGTGTGCCACCATGCCCGGCTATTTTTTTTTTTTTTTTTTGTATTTTTAGTAGAGACGTGGTTTCACCATGCTGGCCAGGCTGATCTCGAACTCCTGACCTTATTTTCCACCCGCCTAGGCCTCCCAAAGTGCTGGGATTACAGGCGTGAGCCACCGCGCCCGGCCTGACAATGGGGTTTTCTAAATATACAGTCATGTCATCTGCAAACAGACAATTTGACTTCCTCTCTTCCTATCTGAATACCCTTTATTTCTTTCTCTTGCCTGATTGCCCTGGCCAGAACTTCCAATACTATGTTGAATAGGAGTGGTGAGAGAGGGCATCCTTGTCTTGGGCTGGTTTTCAAAGGGAATGCTTCCAGCTCTTGCCCATTCAATATGATATTGGCTGTGGGTTTGTCATAAATAGCTCTTATTATTTTGAGATATGTTATAGCAATACCTAGTTTATTGAGAGTTTTTACCATGAAGGGGTTTTTAATTTTATCGAAGGCCTTTTCTGTATCTATTGAGATAATCATGTGACTTTTGTCATTGGTTTTGTTTATGTGATGGATTACATTTATTGATTTGTGTATGTTGAACCAGTCTTGCATCCCAGGGATGAAGCCGACTTGATCATGGTAGATGAGCTTTCTGATGTGCTCCTGGATTCAGTTTGTCAGTATTTTATTGAGGATTTTCACATCGCTGTTCATCAGGGATATTGGCCTAAAATTTTCTTTTTTTGTTGTGTCTCTGCCAGGTTTTGGTATCAGGATACTGCTGGCCTCATAAAATGAGTTAGGGAGGAGTTCCTATTTTTCTATTGCTGGAAATAGTTTCAGAAGGAATGGTACCAGCTCCTCTTTGTATCTCTGGTAGAATTTGACTGTGAATCCATCTGTTCCTGGGCTTTTTTTTTTTAGTTGCTAGGCTATTGATTACTGCCTCAATTTCAGAACTTGTTATTCGTCTATTCAGGGATTCAACTTCTTCCTGGTTTAGTCTTGGGAGGGTGTATATGTCCAGGAATGTAGCCATTGCTTCTAGATTTTCTAGTTTATTTGCATAGAGGTGTTTATAGTATTCTCTGATGGTAGTTTGTATTTCTGTGGGATCAGTGGTGATATCCCCTTTATCATTTTTTATTGTGTCTATTTGATTCTTCTCTCTTTTCTTCTTTATTATTCTGGCTAGCAGTCTATTTTGTTAATATTTTCAAAAATACAGCTCCTAGATTCATTGATTTTTTGAAGGGTTTTACGTATCTCTATCTCCTTCAGTTCCACTCTGATCTTAGTTATTTCTTGCCTTCTGCTAGCTTTTGAATTTATTTGCTCTTGCTTCTCTAGTTCTTTTAATTGTGATGTTAGGGTGTCAATTTTAGATCTTTCCTGCTTTCGCCTGTGGGCATTTAGTGCTATAAATTTCCCTCTAAACACTGCTTTAGCTGTGTCCCAGAGATTCTGGTATGTTGTGTCTTTGTTCTCATTGGTTTCAAAGAACTTACTTATTTCTGCCTTCATTTCATTATTTACAAAGTAGTCATTCAGGAGCAGGTTGCTCAGTTTCCATGTAGTTGTGCAGTTTTGAATGAGTTTCTTAATCCTGAGTTCTAATTTGATTGCGCTGTGGTCTGAGAGACTGTTTGTTATGATTTCCATTCTTTTGCATTTGCTGAGGAGTGTTTAATTTTCAATTATGCAGTCAATTTTAGAATAAGCGCAATATGGTGCTGAGAAGAATGTATATTCTGTTGATTTGGGGTGGAGAGTTCTATAGATGTCTAGCAGGTCCACTTGGTCCAGAGCTGAGTTCAAGTCCTGAATACCCTTGTTAATTTTCTATCTCGTTGATCTGTGTAATATTGACAGTGGGGTGTTAAAATCTCCTACTGTTATACTGTAGGAGTCTAAGTCTCTTTGTAGGTCTCTAAGAACTTGCTGTATGAATCTGGGTGCTCCTGTATTGGGTGCATATATATTAAGATAGTTAGATCATCTTGTTGCATTGATCCCTTTACCATTATGTAATGCCCTTCTTTGTCTTTTCTGATATTTGTTGGTTTATCTCTTTTATCAGAGACTAGGATTGCAATCCCTGCTTTTCTTATGTTTTGCTTTCCATTTGCTTGGTAAATCTTCCTCCATCCCTTTATTTTGAGCCTATGTGTGTCTTTGCACGTGAGATGGGTCTCCTGAATACAGCACACCGATGAGTCTTGACTCTTTATCCAATTTGCCAGTCTGTGTCTTTTAGTTGGGACATTTAGCCCATTTACATTTAAGGTTAATATTGTTATGTGTGAATTTCATTCTGTCATTATGATGCCAGCTGGTTATTTTTCCTGTTAGTTGATGCAGTTTCTTCATAGTGTTGATGGTCTTAACAATTTGGTATATTTTTCCAGTGGCTGGCACCGGTTTTTCCTTTCCATATTTAGTGCTTCCTTCAGGAGCTCATGTAAGGCAGGCCTGATGGTGACAAAATCTCTCAGCATTTGGTTGTCTGTAAAGTATTTTTCTTCTCCTTTGCTTATGATGCTTAGTTTGGCTAGATTTGAAATTCTGGGTTGAAAATTCTTTTCTTTAAGAATGTTGAATATTGGCACCCACTCTCTTTTTACTTGTAGGGTTTCTGCTGAGAGATCTGCTGTTAGTCTGATGGGCTTCCCTTTTTGGGTAACCCGACCTTTCTCTCTGACTGCCCTTAACATTTTTTCCTTCATTTCAACCTGGGTGAATGTGACGATTATGTGTCTTGGGGTTGCCCTTTTTGAGGCGTATCTTTGTGGTGTTCTCTGTATTTCCTGAACTTGAATGTTGGCCTGTCTTGCTATGTTGGGGAAGTTCCCCTGGATAATATCCTTAAGAGTGTTTTTCCAACTTGGTTCCATTCTCCCCATCACTTTCAGGTACACCAATCAAATGTAGGCTTGATGTTTTCACAGAGTCCCATATTTCGTGGAGGCTTTGTTCATTCATTTTTATTCTTTTCTCTCTAATCTTGTCTTCCCACTATATTTCATTAAGTTGATCTTCAATCTCTGATATCCTTTCTTCTGCTTGATCAATTGGGCTATTGATACTTGTGTATGCTTCACAAAGTTCTCATGCTGTGTTTTTCAGCTCCATCTGGTCATTTATGTTCTTCTCTAAACTGGTTATTCTAGTTAGCAATTCCTCTAACCTTTTTTCAAGGTTCTTAGCTTCCTTGCATTGGGTTAGAACATGTTCCTTCAGCTCAGAGGAGTTTGTTATTACCCACCTTCTGAAGCCCACTTCTGTCAATTTGTCAAACTCATTCTTTGTCCAGTTTTGTTCCCTTGCTGGCAAGGAGTTGTGATCCTTTGGAGGAAAAGAGGCGTTCTGGTTTTTGGAATTGTCAGCCTTTTTGCACTGGATTTTCCTCATCTTTGTGGATTTATCTACCTTTGGTCTTTGACGTTGGTGACCTTTGGATGGGGTTTCTGAATGGACGTCCTTTTTGTTGATGTTGATGCTATTCCTTTCTGTTTGTTAGTTTTCCTTCTAACAGTCAGGCCCCTCTGCTGCAGGTCTGCTGGAGTTTGCTGGAGATGCACTCCAGAACCTGTTTGCCTGGGTATCACCAGCAGAGGCTGCAGAACAGCAAAGATTGCTGTCTGTTCCTTCTTCTGGAAGCTTTGTCCCAGAGGGGCACCCACAAGATGCCAGCAGGAGCTCTCTTATTTGAGATGTCCGTGGACCCCTGCTGCGAGATGTCTCCCAGTCAGGAGGCATGGGTCTCAGGGACAAACTTGAAGAGGTAGTCTGTCCCTTAGCAGAGCTCGAACGCTGTGCTGGGAGATCCACTGCTCTCTTCAGAGCTGGCAGGCAGGAAAGTTTAAGTCTGCTGAAGCTGCTCCCACAGCTGCCCCTTCCCCCAGGTGCTCTGTACCAGGGAGATGGGAGTTTTATCTATAAGCCCCTGACTGGGGCTGTTACCTTTCTTTCAGAGATGCCCTGCCCAGAGAGGAGGCATCTAGAGAGGCAGTCTGACTACAGCAGCTTTGAGGAGCTGCTGTGGGCTCTGCCCAGTCTGAACTCCCCCTTTGTTTACACTGTGAGGGGAAAACTACCTACTCAAGCCTCAGTAACGGCGGATGCTCCTCCCTCACCAAGCTCCAGCGTCCCAGGTTGACTTCAGACTTCTATACTGGCAGCAAGAACTTCAAGCCAGTGGATCTTAGCTTGCTGGGCTCCATCAGAGTGGGATCCACTGAGTCAGACCACTTGGCTCCCTGGCTTCAACCCCCTTTCCAGGGGAGTGAATGGTTCTCTCTCGCTGGCCTTCCAGGCAACACTGGGGTACGAAAAACCAAAAACCAAAAACCAAAAAAAACCTCCTGCAGCTAGCTCAGTGTCTGCCCAAACAGCCACCCAGTTTTGTGCTTGAAACCCAGGGCTCTGGTAGCATAGGCACCCAAGGGAATCTCCTGTTCTGTGGGTTGTGAAGACAGTGAGAAAAGCATAGCATCTGGGCTGGAATGCACTGTTCCTCACGGCACAGTCCTTCAAGGCTTCCCTTGGCTAGGGGAGGGAGTTCCCCGATGCCTTGAGTTTTCCGGGTGAGGCGATGACCCACCCTGCTTCGGCTCACCCTTCGTGGGCTGCACCCACTGTGTAACCAGTCCCAGTGAGATGAGCTGGTACCTCAGATGGAAATGCAGAAATCACCCACCTTCTGCGTTGATCTTGCTGGGAGCTGCAAACCACAGCTGTTCCTATTCGGCCATCTTGCCCACAACCCTGTATTATCTACTCTTATTTGGCATTTTATTATATCAATTACATAATATATCTTGAACTTAGACTTGTATTTTAATCAAGATTGCAAATTAATCAAGTAAAAGGGATTATATTTTAATGGAAGCAGGTATAATGTGCTTAGAAAAGCATAGGCTGTATATAGATTATATAAAACTGGTATAATAGTACACATATAGATCAATGAAACAGAATTAAGGGGCCAGAAACAAACACTTACATTTTTGATAAGTTGATTTTGCCAAGACAATCCAATGGAGAAATAATAATTATTTCAAAAAACAGTACTGGAGACAACTGGATATCCATATGCAAAAAAAAAATGAACTTAAGACCTTTGCCTCAGATAATATGCAAAAAATACCTCCATATGGATTATAGACCTAAATTTAAGAGCTAAAACTTATAATTTTTAGAAAAAAGGGGATAAAATCTTTATGACTTTGGGTTATTCAAAGAATTTTTAGATGTGATGCTGAAAATACAATTCATAAAATAATAATTGGAGTTTATTGAAATTGAAAACTTCTGCTCTTTAAACCATACCACTAAAAATGAAAAACAAAAAAGTCAGAATGAGAGAAATGAAACTATAATCCAAGATATCTGAAATATCAATCCCTTGCTTTTATAAAACATGATCACCCCAATATCCATGAGTATCAAATGCACTTTAAGTAATGAGGAAGGACTCAGAGAAATCATTACTTAGAATACATTGCTGGATGCCCTATGAAATTCTGATGAAATCAATTATTAGAAATTTAGTGTGTTGAAATGAAAATCTGACTTCAAATTCTGTGGCCTTACCGCAGATAATGTTCTTCAAATATTCTATTCCCTTTTTAATCAGTCTCTCTAAGCAAAACACATATTTCACCCTTCATCCTAACCCTTTAAAAGTTATATTAAGACCATAATAAAAGGATTGGAACTACTAAGCCATCATTTTACTGCTTCCCCCTCAGATTTCTCCTTCGTGCATTTCTTCCTGAAGGAATTGCACAAGGTTTGTCTTGAGAGAATTAGAGCCAGTCATAATGCAATTATTACCAGGTGCATGGACTTTGAAATAAGTGAGATTGGTTTCAAATTGATTGGATAAGGTGAAATGCTTGACCTCTCTCCAATCTTCAGTTTCTTTAGCTGTTAAATGGGACAATATTACCTATTTCTCAGGCACTACATGAAATTATGCACTTAAAGTATAGTTCAGTGAATGGTATAAAGCACTTAAGGAATAGTTGTTATTTTTATTGTTGGAAAATGGATTTATCTGACATGTTCACATTAGATATATTTTGAACAGCCCCAGGCACATATTTACAATTAAATTAGACACTACAACTCTGCAGAGATTAAAAACTAGAGTTAACGTTAGTCAGATTTTCTTAGAGCACAGATATACAAATAACAAGGTAGAAAGAATGCTGGATTATATTTTGGTTCTGGTTGTGTCAATAGTCATTCATTTTTGTATTAATAGTCATTGAGAACTTATTAGGTTATAAATATATATTGGGGAATAAAACAAATACCATGCCTAAATTTATGGAGTTCACATTCTGGTAGGAATGACAGAAAAGAAATAATTAAAGAATCAAGTAATGATATAAATAAAATTATTATGTTTGGTGAAGAAGATGAATACATAACAGATGGTGAAGTATAATGAGGGCCCCATGGTGGGTACGATATTAGGGATGGTGTCTCTGAAGAGCTAACACTTAAGGTAGTCCTGAAGAATGATAATGAGCCACTCGTGCAGGCAAGAGAAGGAAATCTATTCTAGATGGAAGAACAAGCACGTATGAAAGCCCTGGAGTGGGGAGGGGCCTGTCATGTGCCATGAACCGAAAGGAAGCCTGTGTGACTGTAGAGTGGTGAGCAAGGGCAGAATGGCCCACACTGAGTTGAAGTAGCAGTTAGGCGATGAACCACTCAAGGCCTTGTAGGCCATGGGAATTAATTTGGATTTTATCCTAAGAGTGAAGAAAAGTCATGAGTGTTTTAATCAATAGAGAAACATGATACAATTTTATATTTTTAAAAGACCTCTTTGACTTCTACATGTGGCAATGATGTGGAGGAGGCAACAGAAGTACAAAGACCATTTAAAAGACCCTAGAAATGGCCTCTGAGAGACATGCTGGTAGCCAAAACTATGTTGATGATAGTAGAGATGAAGAGAAATAGATGTGTTTGATATTTATATTTAGAAATTATAAACAGCAGTACTCACTGAATGATTGTCCACATAGAGTAACGAAAGAAAAATATTAAGGATGACTCCAAGCGTTCTGGTTTGTAAATCTAGGTTGCTTGTACTGCCATTTACGGAGATATGAAAGACTGAAACAGAAAAAGTGAATAGAGGTATGAGGTAAAGTTACATTTCAGATGCCCATGAGGCATCCAAGCATAGATGTCAAGTATGCAGAAGGAATATCAATCAAGAAATTTCAGGGATACATTAGGTATATATAGAGAGAGATTTCAGAAATTTAGGGTATAGATAACATTTGTGGTTATAAGACTGACTCAGAGCACTTAGAGAAAGAGTACAGGTAGAGAAGAGATGCAAGAACTAAGAACTGTGACACCCAACATTCACAGGTAAAGAAGAGGGGAGGGACAAGCAAAGAGAACTAAATGCAGTCCATCTCCAAAGGCTCCCTAATCTGCCTTTGTTTCTCCTTCCCATTGCCATTACTTCAGTTCTGGCCACCACTAGAGTTCTACTGAATCAAAAAGGTGTGATTTTTCAAGGTGTGAGAAGTATCTTGGAGCTTCATTTTCTCACTTCTTCCTATTTATGTAGTTTACACAGCCTGTGAAACAATCTGAGATAGGAACTAAAAAACAGATTCCAATGTTTTGCATCAGCACAACCACTCTCTAGATTATGCACTTCTGTTACTATGTGAGTTTATTTACAAAGGTCTTGATGACTTTTTTGAAGGAATGATATCTGTTTGGTGAGTCTTTACTCAAGGTATAGCTCCACATGCAGAATAAAAGATTTAACAAACACATTAAGTGTATATGCTCCTTTTGCTGATGACATCTGTGAGGTTTTGACAGATTACAGAGCATTCCCCATTTGGACACATTTGCCAACCTGAGAAAATTACAAATTGCAGCTGACTTTCAAAATAAGTGACAAGGAAAAACTGTGGTAAACTCTTCCATCATTCTTGTTTTATGGCCTCTGCCATTTCTCTAGAAGTTAAAAAAAGAATTATAAGGGTAGGACTGAGTGGTTTTTGTTATTCTTGAGTTTAGGTTTCTCAGGAATTGGAATAGATCAGAGTGACAGGAGATTAACGTGCCAATCCAACCACCAGTGTCTGGATTTCCATTCACTCAAATACCTAAGGATATTAACACATATTTGTTTTACAGGTTGGGAATTATCTCCAGAATTATCCCATCATTTGAGATGTGCCATTAAAAATGAGCCTTTTTTCCTTTTCTTTCAGAGAAAGCAAGAAATATTTTATTCAAGGGGAATTACAACAGTGGGGTTTTGTAGTAGAGGGAAGAGATTGGATTCACATCCCTAGTCTCTTTTCTTAACATTGGGATTTAAAAGTAGGTCTGAAAAAGATGGTCTTTTAACTTCTGCCATACTATTAATTTATGTTGAAAAAATATCTTTTCCATAATACTTTCTTCATGAGGTAAATACATTGCAAAGAATTTTACTGATTTCCAAGATAAATAATTGTTGCTAGCCAAGCCAGTAATGGGATAAATTCCCCCCAATACACACAAACTCAGTTACCTGCCTTTGATTTTGCTCATTACCAGTAAACAAGGTAGGAGGATATATAAACTTGAAAAACTGAGACCCAGTTTCACCATTTGTGAATCTTTAACCAAAATTCACTAAATCTTCTCTGATAGTGTCTATTAATGTTTGAGACAGAATTTTCTAAGCACCTAAAAAATGTCTGGTTGCGGCCGGGCGCGGTGGCTCACGCCTGTAATCCCAGCACTTTGGGAGGCCGAGGCGGGTGGATCATGAGGTCAGGAGATCGAGACCATCCTGGCTAACAAGGTGAAACCCCGTCTCTACTAAAAATACAAAAAATTAGCCGGGCGCGGTGGCAGGCGCCTGTAGTCCCAGCTACTCGGGAGGCTGAGGCAGGAGAATGGCGTGAACCCGGGAAGCGGAGCTTGCAGTGAGCCGAGATTGCGCCACTGCAGTCCGCAGTCTGGCCTGGGCGACAGAGCGAGACTCCGTCTCAAAAAAAAAAAAAAAAAAAAAAAAAAAAAAGTCTGGTTGCAAAATTTTCCGAGTGTCTATCCCTTCTTAAAAACATAAATTAAAATAATTATTTTAAAAATGTGTACATGTTTGTTTATATCTTTTTATCTTAACTACAGATTAAACTTCAGGTAGTGGCCACAATAACAAGAGTCAATAATATTGAGATCTGGTTTTCTTTTTAGAGGAGGCAGAGAAAGAAAAAGAATTTGTATATTCCTGGTGCCTAGCATGGTACAGATGCATTGTCAGTGCTCAATACATGATTGTATAAGGAAATGATACTAGTTGCTTTATTTGGATCTTACTTTTGTTTCGTTTTGAGACAGAGTTTCACTCTTGTTGCCTAGGCTGGGGTGCAATGGCACAATCTTGGCTCACCACAACCTCCGCCTCCCCAGTTCAAGTGATTCTCCTGCCTCAGCCTCCCGAGTAGCTGGGATTACAGGCACGTGCCACTAAGCCTGGCTAATTTTGTATTTTTTTAGTAGAGACAGGGTTTCTCTATGTTGGTCAGGCTGGTCTTGAACTCCCGACCTCAGGTGATCCGCCCGCCTCGGCCTCCCAAAGTGCTGGGATTACAGGCGTGAGCGACCGCGCCCAGCCTTACTTTTGATTTTAACTATAAGCAAATGAAGGGACTTGCTGAGCAAATTATCCTACCTACCTGCACCTCCTCCAACATATCTGTTTTACACAGGTTGTTTTCACATTATGAAATGGATATTTTTAAAAGTATAAATTGATTTCCCAGGTCATATTCATTACTGAAAAAAAAAATTAGGGTTTGAATTATAGTAACAGATGTATTTGGTTCTTGATGCCACCTAATTTAAATTTTACTGAAATTCTGACCCCAAAAATGCTCTATCCCCTGTTCCTACTTTTTATCTCCCTCTGAAAAAAGGAATTGGTCAGAAAGGAAACAGTCCTCTGTTTTCCTATAGGTACTTCATGCTCAGAGCATGGCCACTTCTCTCTGCTGCTGCTGTAGCATTGGTTGTGTTATATAGCTGCTTCAGAGTCAACCACCAACCTCCAACTGCTTAAACAAGATTCACAGTGATTTCTGTGCTGGACAGAAAAGACCTTTCCAGTCAAGAGACAACCTGGCTTCTAAAAGCTCACAAATATTTGGTACCTCTTTCAGGTTTACAGCACCCTCTGTTGGGAAAAGTTTGCCAAATCCAGAAACTGTGCAATAGCCTTAACGTTGCTCAACCAGTCCTGAAATTGTGCCACATGGAAGTTCTACTGCTTTTTAATAGAAATGATTCTCAGACTTTCCAAGACCCATGCCCATAGAGCTCTGGCCTGAATCAAAGTTGACAGTTCGACATCTGCAGCTCCTAAAGAACAGGGCAATTTCCCAGTCCCTGAATGAGCCTGTATGAGAGGCTTTGGAGACACTTGGCCAAAATGGTGGGAAATGTGAGTTGTTGGACAAGTTATAATGACAAAGACAGATTGAATATTTAAATATTATATACATTCCTATTAAATATGAATGGCATATAGTATATCAGGGAAATATTCTCAAAGGTTCAATTTCGGTTTACCATCTTCAACATATGTAAGTTCTCTTAAAAGTGCTAAATCACTTTCTGCCACATTTTGAAGAGCACGTCCATGCCAAGAAAAGGCGTAACTCAGATTGCATTTTAGCCTAATTTCTGAGACACTGGGCTTTTAAAATAGAACCCAGTAGGTATTCATTAATGTGCTACGTCTGCCATCCTTTAAAATAGAAAATGTAGCTCATTTCTTTCACTGTTTACTTGCATCACATTGATGTTTTTGTTAGTTCCACGATACTTAACAGTTTTAGATTAAATCATCTTGATGCGTTCCCATCCTGTATGTGTCATACATGTCCTCTGTTCACAGAGTAAAATGTGTAGTTACTGTGAATTCCATGAAACACAAACTACTATGCAAAATGATTTTTTCCCTAAAACAAAATCTAATTTATATCTCGAGGCTCCATTTTCTGTTGTTGAACACTTCATCTTAGGTGATTCAAGCTTAACTCAATGAATATAAGCTTTTCTCAGTTAAGTTGTGTTTCTTCCTCATACCCTGCATTTTTCCCAGCATATGAAAGCTCCAAGGGTCTAATACCACGGCATTGTTGGGAAGGGGTGTCTATTTCTTCGTCCTTGGCCAATATTCCTGTTAGCATCTGCCGAAATCCATATAATATCCCGCCAAAGGTCCGTGTGAGACACACTGTATCCGCTTAATTCTGTTATCTTTTGGTCTGTCACTCTTTTCTTAGCTACCACGTTCTCCACTAATAACAGATAGAAAATATTTAGATACCCTCCCCTCCCTCTCTTGGGCCTCAGAAAACTACTGGAACTGTATCAGGCCCTCTATCATAGACCCACCACACCACCATTTCCATGGTACTGCTGCTGAACTATGGTGGCACCAGAGACCTTTCAAGGTCTATGACCACCGTGGACTTCACCTGAAGTATAAAGCATGGGTGCTTCTCTCTTTCAGATCCCCAAATCTATTTTCAGTTTCTATTTCCCCCACCCCAACTCAGGGACACAGCTTGTGAAGAGGAATTCTCAGAATCACTTCTGAGAAGTACTAACCAGAGCTTCCTCTCTTGCTTCTTAAATATTCTCTGTTTTCCTCCAGTTCAGAGGATCTCTTATTTCCTCTGGTGTGGGAAAATTTGCTTATACATCATTATGCATTCTTCCAAATCAATTTTTTATGACTTTGGGTTCTGACTCTCAATGCCTAGGCTTCTGAAAGTTTTCTCTCTAAATTGTTTCTTTACCACTAGTTCCAAAATAGACTTTAAATTGATTTTTTCTCTGCATTTCTTCCATAACCTTTATGTCCTGAGGCAGTGAATGTCAAGGTCTAGTTTGAAATGGAGAGAGCTTCGAGGTAAAAGGACATTCAAGAAAATTGGAAAACATATTGGTTAATACTTCTAAATGTTATATTGTAACAATAAAATTTCCAAATAACACTGTTATGAAAGTTTGGGGATATGCCCTGGGATTGCCAACTGGAGCATATAAGAATTAAAACATTTCTTTTCAGCATCAACAACTATTACAATTACACACATTTTCTTAAGCCATTTACCTGTCAACAACATTGTTCTTCTCTGTGCATTGAAAGTGGAAGAGACCCACTCCATAAAGAATGATGCCAAACGTTGTGAAAACCTGCCCTTCTCTACGAGTCAACAGGTTGCTTCTAGTTAATGAATGAGGAGAAAAATAGAACAAGTGTGCTCCACTCTAATCTTAGAAACTCAAACCCTTGAGCAGGGGAAGTCTTTTTCAAGCTGCTAATTTTCTGTTCTGGTTCCAATTTGTTGGTTGAGAGATAGAGGATATAGAAATCTCCTTCAGATATACAACATTTCTTTTAAAACTTAAGATTTACTGCCTTTTTTATTTCTCCTTTTCACCTGAAATCTTTTCTGTTATTTGATGTTGCCTCCACCTGCTATGTGTACTCACATAAACATGCCTTGTCAGGATAGTATACAAGGATGTCACCAGCACCAAAATGAATCTTTCTGGTAACAAGTATCACAACAACCCATCCCCCACTTAATTAAATGTTGCTCCTCTGATGGCCATGTTGTTTCATCATGGTGATGTATCAGCTCCCAAAAGCTTTACTACCTTATTCTGGGACTCTTTGACTAATATCACTGTTGCCCCTTATGCTCATACTAGGTTGGTGCAAAAGTCATTGTAGTTTTTGCCATTCCTTTCAATAGATAAAGAATAGAGACTTTCTAGTAGAAAAAGAAATTCTGTCATTACCTACATCTTAATAGGTACACTATATTGTCTAGTATTAACTCTGTGTCAACCACCCTCATAGTCTCCTATGCAATACAGTGAAGCAGCTGAGAACCACATTTCCCAGAGTATCCTTCCTCATGTTAAAATTTGCCAATGAAAGACATACAGAATATGGGAAACAGAAGAGAAGGAGGGGTCATTACTCTCTGGAAACAACTGCAGTCAGACAAGTGGGCAGACATGACGTTTGAAGGAACTTCTTAAGAATCACCGACATCCCTGTTTTGTATATCATACTTGTATAGTTATAGTTGGTTAGAGTCCTCCAAACATTTCTGGCATTCACAGCAGCTTCAAGGGACATTCTTGAGACCCGCTCACTTCACTGCTGCAGATTGAAATAGTTAGGGAATCTTCTAAATGTTCCTGGGATTTGCTGTGGCTTTGGGATGACCTTAGGAGAACCACCTGCTTCAATGCTGAAGGCTGAATTCACTGGCTGTGGCTTCCTTGACCTTTGCTCCGCCTGTTTTTTCCTTTCAAATGTTGAATAACTTTCAATTCCCCCAACTAAAACTTTCATACTTTCCATATATAGAGTGGCTCTGATTTCTTGATCTAGCCCTAATTAATACATTAAACTTTATCCCTCTCCACTTTGTGAATTTAGTGAAACCCTTAATAAGATTTCTAAATTCCAATCTCTCCCTATTTGGGACAAATAGAAGCATCCTCTAAAGTGTTCACACTGGTTTGAATTAGTCCAAGTAGAGGTTGTAAGTATCTTTCTTTTTCTGTAGTAACTTCATCATTTCACACGGTAAGATGAGATCAAGGTGTTAAAACATTTACATTGAGATGATTGTTGCATCCACAGAACCTCATACTTCCTAAATTTCTGGAACATGTAGCACTAAAGCTCCCATTGTCTTTTTTATGGGTAGATCCTCTTTGAGCCTTGAAGACTAGGTTCAATGGCCTATAAGTTATTCATTTGCTTCTTACTAGTTTTAGCATTTGTGATTGCAAAGAATAATTCATTAGTTGCATAATTACTACCAAAAATAAATTATTCAATATATATACCTAGAGAAATTTTCTTCATAAAAGGTTAATTCTGTGTATCTGTTAATTCATGCCCATCTCAGAAAGTATACTCTGTCTGTTTGAAAGGACCATTTTGAAGATTTAATGAATCTTAAAATCTTCTTAAGTTCCTGAATACATTATTGACCAATCAAAACTTTGCTGAAATGTCCACTTACCCTCTGATACACTTAGGTACTTATCATACTTCAACAGATCTGATTGATCAAGATTATAGCTGAGACTTGGCTAAAATATTGGCAGATGTTTCCTTATAAAAGTTCACTTCTGAAGACATTACAGTCTTAAAAAGCTGTCATTGATATTTGAAAGACTACCTTATATAAGTGATGTGCTATTCTGATTTAATTATGAAAGCAAATGGAAAGCTAAGGGGTTTATACTCTGGAATGTGAAATAATGGTGTTAAGCCATCATGTCTCAGTTTTTTGGATATAAAGGAGTAAAAGTTTGTCTTGTTAAGCATTAAATGAATGTCAAAAATATGGAAACAGAAATTGGAATTTGGGGTTTGTTTGCTGCACCAGGTGGACTCCAGCTATCAGAACCAATAAAACACCTGTTGAATCCTTTAGAATAGGCATGTTATACATTTGTTTTGACCATTGGGACATAAGAGGCAAATACGACAATCAGCAACTTCACTGAAGGCATCACCAAGTTACACACTCCTATGAATTCTTCATGTAAATCTAGAATAAAAATGAACAAATTCATAACTGTTCAAGGTATGCAGAATTTCCAGACTTCCACATTGTCTCTTATTTGGCCTATAATCATCTTAGAAATACTCATAAAGCTCTGAACAAGTACTACAGTATAAGCTTTGGGAAGAAAGTTGAAGGTTAAAGAGTGTGTGTCAAGCGAACGTGCAAAATAGGTATTGTACCATAGACACTCCTTTTCTCCTGCTAAAAACATCCTTTTTGTCTCTAGCCATTCAGTATCCTCATGTTCCCTCAGCTACATCTGTGATAATAAATAGTCTGATAAACTCATCCATTCCAAAAAATCACTGATGTGCTGTTCAAAGGAAATTTTTAGCTAAAGAGAATTACTGGACAAGTAATGATAAAACCTAATCATTGCTAATAAATATTATTGGAGCAACTAAAATGGTACAAAAAGACATTTGGAGTCAGGGACACATTCCTAGTATCCTTTAAATCACAGCATATTTTACTTCTATGTAACACTGAGCTTGTTTATTTTTCTATTTCTTTTTATTTATTAATGTCTATGTTCTATTTATCTGAACTCAGATTTGGTATCAGCAGCCGACCTAGGCTTTCCTTACCAAAATAAGTTAACACAGGTGAGTGTCCAGATACTCAAGATTTACATACCAGGTTCACACATTGCTAAATCTAAACTAATTTTCTTTTTATTCTATTTCAAACTCCACTACTGAGCCACCCAGTGAACTCCATGTTTCCATTACAAAGCCAGTACTAGTAGAAAAGCCGTGACCTGTAAGAAGAGCTCAAAATAATGGTGGAATAAAAGGGAAAAAATGTCAAAAGAATTCATTAGGTTATAATAAAGTTGTGTAATAAGGACATCACTAAAATTCCACAAGAAATTCTTACATAAGAACATTCAAGGAAACACCTGTACACTACCTTCCTATACTTGTTCTTATGAGAGAAATAGTGATCCATGATTTATAAATCCAATAGTACTTAATACAGTCAGAAAGTTGTATTTATCCCATTATTCCCTTTGTAACTTTTTAATTCTCTCACTGCCTCTATCAGCCCTCAGGGGATACCAGCTGTGTTTCAGGACCCATAAAGAACCTGATTAGAGAAACAGGATATGAGAAAGCTAATTATAGATGAAGGCAATTCAAACTACAAAATAGCTACAGGAAAGAAAACATTTGGCCAAGATGAATTTGGCAAAATGAAAAAGTGCACAGCCATCTTCTGCTAGGCCTATCCCTAGGTAAGAAGAAACTAGAACCCACCCCCGACTACCTGCAAAAGGAAAATTCTTTGGGAAAATATTTTTAAATGTGTTTTCTAAGTCACACACAGAGAGATATTGTAATTACCCAGAGGAAATCTGGTCACTCAACTTCCTGTTTCTTTCTTATCTTTCACTCACAAAGTTACATAAAGGTAGGTGGAACTATCCAACAATAAACCAGACTGATAATTATTACAGTGTGCTTAATGACAAGTAAAAAGTGCACTTGCTCTAAGTCAGAGCTGCCAACTTGAGAATAAAGAAAAGATCTGAAGACAAACATAATAACTCAGTGATTAGACTGAGGGCAATGATGCTATTGCCATGGAAACCATTGAAAAGTACCCAAAATGTATTGTAAATACCATCTCTTTGTTGTATTACTTATTTATTTGTCAAAAAGCTCTCTAATGTGTTCAATAATATTAATTGAGAAGAACAAATATTTTAAAGGTTATGTCTCAAAATATTTTGTAGCCAATATTCTATGAACAAAATAACATGAAAAATTGGCAACAGGATGGCAGTAAATTCCGAAGTTTGGAGGTATGCTTAATTGACTTTGGTTTTGCCTGGAATTTCTTGACAGAGATATTGTGCCCTGGCAATACAAACATGCCTTATATATAACATGAAATAGTCTCTATGATTTGCATGTGCCAACATAGTATTTTCTAATGTCATTTAATTGCTTTTTTTTTTTTTTTTTTTTGAGACGGAGTCTCTCTCTGTCCCCAGGATGGAGTGCAGTGGCACTATCTCGGCTCACTGCAAGCTCCACCTCCTGGGTTCACACCATTCTCCTGCCTCAGCCTCCTGAGTAGCTGGGACTACAGGTGCCCGCCACCATGCCTGGCTAATTTTTTGTATTTTTAGTAGAGACGGGGTTTCACCGTGTTAGGCAGGATGGTCTCCATCTCCTGACCTCGTGATCCGCCCACCTCGGCCTCCCAAAGTGCTGGGATTACAGGCGTGAGCCCCCGCGCCTGGCATTTAATTGCATTTTTAACATTTCATACCATCGGCCTCCTTTCTTCTGTTTCTAAACAGAATGAACGTCCTAAAACAAGAAAATTAAGCAAGATATCTTCTGTTGCACAACCTGTTTTTGTTCATTACCAATTTAAATTAACTTGACAATCATTGAATAATCCCAACAAAGTGGTATTAGGTGCTGAAATAGCAATGGTGCTATTTAAAATTCATAGATGATGACACACAGTAAGTACTAAATAAATATTTTGGAATGAATGAATCTATTATTAAAAGTCCCACAATTAAAACATCTTTTCACAAATTCCAAATCTGCTCTTCTAGATCCATGAACCAACCAAGATTTTTTTTTTTCTTTTGGTCTATTTCACTACTCCAATTTATAAACAGACATGAAAACCCCAAACAGCTTTCCTCTCTTTCCCTAGGAGGGCACCTATCACAAATATCAAGGATTTTATTTGATTTTCACATTATGCCAAAGTAACACCAATAGCTTAGACTCAGAATTTCTACCTAACTTTAGTTGCACATAATGTCTCTTCCTGTCTTAGAGAAAAAAGATCGATGTCAGTATTGATTCACTTAACACTAAGGCCTGACAACATAACGTAATTGTAAAATAGCCTCTCCATCATTTCAACAAATTGGAGAGAAACATCTTCAAAAACACAGTTCATGAACACATTTAGGAACTCTATAAAAGAGGCACATATGTGTGGAGACAATTTTTGGAACTACAATTTTGTGATTCCATGGAAAAAATAGCTAAACTACGTTTCAACACTTGCAATTTTTAAATAATTACAGTTCCCACCTGTGTGCTAAGATTTCTGGTTGTAAAAATGTGGATGCTGGCTTATTCTGCAACAAAACTGAAACATAATAATGAGGACAATGGATTCTACTTCTAGGATTCCCCTCCCTTAGGGATTACAACTTCTTTTCAATGGTTCACTCCATTAATCCTTATACCATCCATCCAAGTTGGGCAGGAGGTAACCATATCATCCTGGTTCTATACACAGAGGAACTGATCTGCTGAAAGATTAAGTGATTTGCTTGCAATCAGACAATGAGCCAGAAATGGAGTGGGGCAAAGGAACATGGTGTGACAAAAAAGACTAAGGATAAAAAGCAATAAGGAAAGTAGGGAACCTGGTGTACTAGTCAACCCATTGCACTCAATTGGAGTTCTAAATGTATAACCAAACCACAGAAAAAAGAAAAAAAAAGTAATATTTGATGGAGAAGCAGTGCAAGAAGGTCTCATGATTATGAATTTTCAAAACTAAAGACAGCAATTTTAAACCACAATAAACATGCGGCAAGATAAGCTACCTGGCTGACACTGAGCTGCAAATTCAGACTCCCAATGCTTTATGTTTATGTCTCTTGTAAAGTTACTTACTACATATTCTGGAGGACTTTATAATTCCATCATCATGTCAACAAGTGCTTTCATTTGTGAACCAAGGCACATAAGACCTCTTAATCCCCAAACTGAATGTTTCCCTGTCTCTTCCATTTTATACCTACTTAATTGTTTCACCTCTTTCTTAGTCACCTTGGCTAGGCACTATAGATCTCAAAGCATTTTGGAGTTAGATAGAATAGCTTAAAAAATCACTTAGTCCTACGTTCTGCAAAGGATTAAGTAAATCAAATATCCCTCAAAAAAAAGTGTGTGGTCAAGTAAGTATGTAAAACACTTCGTTTTCAACTCCTTTTTAGAGTTTTACAGTACATGTAAATACATTAAGTGTTCTGACATGTTAACCTGTAAATAAACTGTTTCATTTGTTAAAGTCAAATTTTCAAAAATATTTACCCATCAAACCATTATTGTGCAAGTGTATCACATCTGTATAACACCTGTGGAACGTATTTGGGAACACATATAAAGTCTAACTCATTTATTTCACATTTTACAGAACACAGAGGGAGAAATAAATCATGCGCCCAAGGTCACAACAGCTAACAGGAACAGAGGCAGGATGTGCAGTGAGGTCTCCAGAATCCTAAACCTGTTTTCTTTCCATTAAGTCATTCTGTCTTTGACTCTTTCCTCACTTTTAACATATAAATCTGGCATTGTATTTTATCTATTATATCATGAATAGGTTTTCTGAAGAAAATATCCTCTTTCCATTCTCAATATCAATTAATTCTTTCTGTAGTTCTTAAACTTGGAAAATTATCAGAATCAACAGAAGGGCTTTTTATTTTTATTTTTGCCCCAGAACTGAGCAGATGGAGGAGCTTTTCAGAAGTAAAGATTCCTGGGCTTCAGATATATAGAATCAGAATCCCAAGGGTGGGAGCCAATATCACCTAGCTATGCATAAGTGATATTGGTGAGCCCTAAAGTATGAGAATTTATTCCTTTAGAGCAGAATTTAGTGGGTCTAACATCTTCCTTGGGGTATTTTTGAAAAAGTAGATTAAGCCTTGTGCCTAGAAATTCTAATTTTGTAGATCTGGGATGGACCCTGATAATTGGAAGTTAACAATAATTTTCCCCTTTGCCCCAGGTAATTCTGATATACATGGACCTTAGATGATGACTGCATTTGCCTGGACTTCTACATTGTTATCTTCTACATTCCATCCCATTCTACATACCATCTGGGAGTTATTTTTATCAAATATGAACATGGTGTCATGTCTCTGCTTAAAATCGTTGGCGAGGCTGGGCACGGTGGCTCACACCTGTAATCCCAGCACTTTGGGAGGCCAAGGCTGGTAGATCACCTGAGGTCAGGAGTTCGAGACCAGCCTGACCAACACGGTGAAACCCTGTCTCTGTCTCTACTACAAATAAAAAATTAGTCACGCGTGGTGGCACATGCCTGTAATCTCAACTACTCGGGAGGCTGAGGCAGGAGAATTGCTTGAACCCGTATGGCGGAGGTTGCAGTGAGCCGAGATTGAACCACTGTACTCCAGCCTGGGCAACAAGAGCGAAACTCTGTCTCAAAAAAAAGAAAAAAATCACTGGATAAATGCTGACCTACTTAATAAGGCATTCAAGTCTTATCTCTGCAGACTGATTGCAACCTCCCAAAGAGACATCTTACACTCTAACCCTAAAAAGTTTTGTGCTGTTCCTATACATGCCTTGCTTAATCAGGCATCATTTTTACTTTCTAAAGGGTTACCAGTTACTGTGTGATTATGTTCACTACCTGATACTTGAAAGTCCCTTGACTACCATTACACTGGATCCTCTGACACTCCTCCCAATGACATGAATGACGTGCTTCTAAAGATATTCCTACAGTACCTTCCTCCCTCCAGTTCTCTAAAGCTCATAGACAATCCATGGAATACTATGCAGCCATAAAAAATGATGAGTTCATGTCCTTTGTAGGGACATGGATGAAATTGGAAATCATCATTCTCAGTAAACTATCGCAAGAACAAAAAACCAAACACCGCATATTCTCACTCATAGGTGGGAATTGAACAATAAGAGCACATGGACACAGGAAGGGGAACATCACACTCTGGGGACTGTTGTGGGGTGGGGGGAGGGGGGAGGGATAGCATTGGGAGATATACCTAATGCTAGATGACGAGTTAGTGGGTGCAGCACACCAGCATGGCACATGTATACATATGTAACTAACCTGCACAATGTGCACATGTACCCTAAAACTTAAAGTATAATAATAATAATAAAAAAAAAGAATCTAACAATGGCAAGGATCCATTATGTTCTCAAATTTTTAAAAGTATATATTTAATATGAGCTTTCTCAACCAGGTAAAGCTTTCAGATTAATTTTGAGGTAGCCAACTTATTCCCTATAGCATCAGCCTTCTCTTTTATTTTATTTTATTTTATTTCATTTTATTTTATTTGAGATGGAGTCTCACTCTGTTGCCCAGGCTGGAGTGCAGTGGGGCAATTTCAGCTCACTGCAACCTCTGCTTCCTGGGTTCAAGCAATTCTCCTGCCTTAGCCTCCCAAGTAGCTGGGATTACAGGCGCCTGCCACCGTGCCTAGCTAATTTTTGTATTTTTAGTAGAGATGGAGTTTCACTATGTTGGCCAGGCTGGTCTCAAACTCCTGTCCTCAAGCAATCCACCTGCCTCAGCCTCCCAAAGTGCTGGGATTACAGGCATGAGCCATCCCACCCGACCAAGCTTTCTCTCTTCATGCTTTCCCTCTATAAACTGACACTGTCTTCTCCACAAGTATTGATTCCTTTCTCTTTTTCATTGATATGAGCTCATTCATGTAAACATGTTGCTTCTCCTGGGAGAATTTGCCTTGCACTTGGCACACATATGCCTAACAAATGCATACATAGAATCTGCAGTCAGGTTGCAGGGTCCTACTGGAATTTAAGTAGAATTTTAGGCTTCAACAGGTGGCAATGTTCTGGTGTGGGTGGTCTTTTTGGCAAACTAAATTCATAGTAAAGAGGGCAGCCACTCTCTTCATTTATGCACAATGATCATTATTCCCTGATACTCTTCTATCAAATTGAAAAATATGTGATATCATACTAGCTAATTTAACTTCAACGACAAAGTTTAAAGAGCAGAATAGAGCATTCCAGAGTTTTAGAGTTTGCTTTTACCAATATTAGGAGAAGAAAAATGCTGAGTTATTTTTACATTTACTTTTTAACTCTAAGTTTTGGCTTTATACTTTGTAATAAGTGAGTTTTAATCAATTTTTCTTCATGCAACCGAAACCCTTGTTAAATGAAAGGCAACTGATCTCTCTATAGCTAAAATCTTTGATATAAGTAGAATAAGATTTGCTATAATTTGAATGTGTCTTCCAAAGTTAACGTGTCGAAAACTTAACCCCAGTGCAACAGTATTGAGAGATGGGATCTTTAAGAGATGATTAGATCATAAGGGCTCTGCCTTCATGAATGGATTAATGCAGTTATTGCAGCAGTGGGTTTGTTACCATGGGAGTGAAGTCTTTACTCACCAAAGATGAGTTTGGCCCCTATTCTTGTTCTCTCTTGCTCATGTGATGCCTTCTGCCATGTTATGATGCAGCAAGAAGGTTCTCTCCAGATGTGTTCTCTCAATCTTAAACTTCCTAGCCTCTAGAAGTGTGAGCCAAATGCATTTCTGTTCATTATAAATTAATCAGTCTGTGGTATCTGTAATAGCAGCATAAAGCAGACTGAGACAGGATTGTTTTCTATGTGTTGTGTGATGGAAGGGGAATTAGACTAGATGCAGCAAACTTGGGAAGCTAATTTACCCAGTTTACTTACTGTCCTCTTCCTCCATCTAGAAAGAAACCTTCCCTACATTGAGAAATGGGTTATTCTCACAGAATATATACCACATATCAAACTGTATTTACACAATAACTTTAAAACTCATTCACTGACCAATCCACAAAAGTAGTAGCCTCAACCTGCAGCTTGGTAACAGTGACTATAGCTGTAAGCAAAGCTTTGCTCATGGTTGGAAAAGGCTTCACATAGAAAATGACACTTGTTAGTGTGTTTCATGTAGTTCAGCCGATACTTGTTGTGTGCCTCTATGTGAAAGGAACCATGGTGGACATAAAGAATACAAAGATAAATAACACTTAATTCTTGACTTTGAGAATGAAGTGGAAGACAAAGTTCAATAAATAAATGAGCTCACCATATAAGAGATCTGAAAAAGGTGCTATGAGAAAATTAAGAATGTATACTTAGCCTTAGCTGAGGATTTGGAGATGAGCTAAATCATGAAGGATGAGCTGGATATAATCAAGTAAAGAAAGGTGGTAATGGAATTCCAGGAAGAGAGTGGGCAAAATGTGAGCAACAGGTTAGTAGCTTGGTACAGTACCTTAAAATGTACAGAAACCTAAAAAAAAGATTCCCACTATTACTGATTATAAGGTATGAGTGAACGATAAATGAAGCAGAAGCTCATGTCAGAAGTCAAATTCTATATCATGGGAGAATGTGCCCATATGAATAAACTCACACTTATCCAACCTTATCTTCTGCTTTTCCTTGATCCAGAACCTCATGATCCAGTACCATACAGAGGTTAAGTACCCCTTACCCAAAATTTTGGGACCAGAAGTGTTTTGGATTTTACAATTTTTTGGATTTTGAAATACTTGCACTACTGGCTTAGCATCCCTAATCCAAAACTCTAAAAATCTAAAATGCTCCAGTGAGAATTTCCTTTGAGTATCATGTTGGCACTCAAAAAGTTTCATATTTTGGAGCATTTCAGAGTTTACATTTTTATATTAGGATAGTCAACATGTATATTTTCCCAGCTTCTGCTAGTAGGTATTGGCTGGGTCCCTCAGCTCCTTTTGAAATTTAGTCCCTTTTCTCCCTTAAATGGCCAGCCCAGGGACCAGGAGGGGAGGTGAGAGCATATCCTGATACAGATGCAAGTTGATTTGCAAGGCAGAAGCTTTTGCATAGTCTTCAAGCAATACTGGAGAGGCAGCCTGTAACAGGGAGAAATGAGCTACTTCAGGGGAATCTAGGCTTTCAAGGTTTTTGATGAATCAGTACAAATGTTTCCATCCCCCAGTATCAGGGTCCCACCCTTCCTAATAACCAGGCCTTGATCTTGGCAAGCAGATATTTTAGAACTGAGCATTCCTCTTTCTCAGCTCTTCAGTTACTCTTATGATCAGGTCCTGGACAAAATCCTTAGCTTTTCCTGCCCTATCACTACAGGAGATAACATTCTGTTTACATGATCCCAAACAGCTCCTATGGCTTTCACATTTGAACTTCCATTTCTGATTAATTACCCTTAGCCTTTCCTTCTTTTTCTCCAGTGAATTGATGGCATTTAACAAAAAACATTTGATTCCATTGCCCTTATTAGTAATATTCCACCCAAATATTTCAAAGGCCTATTTTACAACCTGTGAAAATGTTAATAAGTTTTTGTATGTCAGGGATTATCAGTGCTTTACCTACCCCTAGCAATGAAGACCCTAATTGCCAGCTAATTAGCAGCAGAACTAGCTGCAAAATCCCATTTTAGAGCCTGCTTCTTTCTATTATTTCTGAAACCATCCCTCCTAGATTGGGTTACCTGGGAAACAGACCCTAAGGTCAAGATTTGCATTCAGGAAGTTTATTAGGAAGTGACCTTGGCATCAAAACCTGCAGGGAAGTGAAAGAAGTAGGATTATAAAAGGGAAATAGTGATCTGTGAGGCAGTCTCAGCCAAGGCCTTTGCTAATCCCCCTGAGAAGATTGGAACCGGGTTGGAGAGAGATCTATCTTAATGGGAATAGACTTTTCCAAAGTCAGTCATTTGGGGGAAGAAGCAAATCATCACATAGAAAACTAAAATTTAAAACGTAAGTCTTCAAGGAAAAAAAAATAAAGTCTTGCATCTTTCAAAAATATTTGGAAGCAAGTTTCTACCCATCTCCTCTTGCCACTCATTCAACCTTATGCATGGGAGGAGGAATAACTTGATGAGATTCAGAAAAGGGTTATAATGGATAGACAGCCTAGGCCCCTCTTGGCTCTTGAGCTTATTCCACACAGCAGGGTGTGGAAAAGACTGCAGTCCTTCACTACCTGGCCTGCCAAACATATGCTATGTAGACTCAACTCTCTCCCCTCGGAGTGGGGGATCTGAAAGTCCTTAGATTTGTGGTAGAAATTCATTTCAGCTTCAGGTCCAAGCCACATTCTCCAATTCAGCTTATTAGCTATAAAGCTGATATTTATTTGTATTCTTTTTAAAAACTGTAATATATAAACTGTTTTTTAAAAAATAACATATGCCCATGGTAAAAAGTCAAACAATACAAAAAGGTATACAGTAAAAAGTTTATTTTCCTCTTTCCCACTCTTGGCCTCAATCCTCCCGTCAAATTTTCCAAAAGTAGCCACTGTTACCAGTTACTTATGTATCCTTCCAGAGATACTCCATGTATTTACAAGCATATTGTATGTAGGTATGTGGGAGTATCCCATTTTTTTGCACAAATGATGGCCTACTATACATGCTGTTTCAAATATTGCTATCTTCACTGAACAATATATTAAAGTTGATATTTTAATTCCCCTCCAAGATAAAAGGTGAGTCGTAAGCAACAACAGCAAGGAAAATAGAGTCCCTCTTTAGCACCTCATTCTAGGAACCCTTACATAACTGCAAACGTTTCTAGTACTGGTTACAATGGTCACATGGAGATATTCTGGGAGCATGGTCTGAATGTATCTTTTGGGAAATGACAAGCTGAGGATGAGTATCTTGGATTTTAGAAACAAGATTATCTAGTTACATGTTTTTGAGTTTGTTTCCCTCCTACTGTCTCTAAACATTTATTCATCTTGTAAAAAATAAGAGCCTGATTTCAGCTGTGCTACAGAAAATGATGATGAATACCTCATTATCTGTAATTTGTCCATCCACGGGGACAAAGGGGAAACAGCCTCTCCCCCGCTAACCATCACTACCTTGTAGCCAGCATGGAGATGGCAACATGGAATAGCAACACTCTCAAGAGGAAGGCGAGTCTAGGGAAAAAAAAGCCAGGTCCCGGGGTTCTAGCTATCTTTTCTATATGCAGATGCTGTTTTCATTATTATCTTGGAGACTTCGATTTTTAATTTATTAAAAGACACTGCCTAATTTCCTACCCCTTCCTTGGCAGCTGAAGTACCAGTTTCTTATTATGACCACTGATAAAGGCATTGCTGTCATGAGCTTCATCATCCTCAGCATTCCTTGCAGAGCTTGAAGGAGTCATATAACAAATACCAATCATAACATTTTGCACTTGCACCTTTCCAGGTGCTTTCAGAATCTTAACAGAAAGTACTATTAGAATATAAAAGTGAAACACAGGCACGGATTTCCTATTGTGTGACTTTAGGTAATTATGAATATCAGTGATTCTCTAAAATATCGGGCTGCTTTAGATGATTTCTAAGTTCTCTTTCTTCAGTGACACCATTTGATGTTCTTCACTAATTTGGTAACTGCTACAAACAAGTGAAACAGATAAGTGAGGCCTAATGAAACTGATTTGACAGTTGAGAATACTGAGGCACAAATAGGCTAAGTAATTTTTTTAAGGTTGCAAAACCAATTTGGAATAGGGTTGGAACTGGAAATTGGGATCTTTCTGCTATTTTAAGATCTCCCTAAAGAATATGGCGAAGGTGACTTTGGCCAGTAGCAGAAATGAGGGGTATAAATTTTCCTTAGAACTCAGGAGATTAAGCCTGCCTTAATGGATGCTGCTGGCATCCTTGTAGAGTATTGGGAATTGGTAAGAAAGAGCTAGGCCATATATCCTCAAGTGCTAAAGTCAGGAAGCCTGGGAAATTTTATATGAACAAACAACTAATTGTGTGTATATTTGTGTGTGCTTCTGTGGCATTCAATAAAAAAAAACAACAAACATCTATTTTATATCTTCACCTCTGATGTGAAAGCTCTCCAGAGTATACAAAAATATGACCCTTGTTTTCAAGAATCTTGAAACTTACAGAGAAATCAAATGCACAAATGTAAAAAGTTGACAACCCAGGATGGGAGCCAGAAGCTTGGCTTGGAAGGAAATATAAGAGGCAGTGTCTTTCTTCAATCCTCCACCCCATTCTAAGAGAGGAGGGCTGTAATCCAAATTGCTATCTCTCAGGACAGTGTATGTTGACATTCCCACCTTCATCCTTAAAATATTTTTATCTCTTTTTCTCTCTTTCTTTCTCTCTCCCCTCTCCTCACACAGAGAAAGAATGGGGACTTGGGGGTTCTATCCTTTAGCAAAGACATAAATACAGCCTACTTTCAAGGGAAGGAAATAACTTTTCCCTCGGCCCCAAACTAAGCCCCACTGAAATGTAGTGTTCTAGGAATTTATTCCTATGATCTACAAGATCTAGAATATTTGTGAGATTACAAGATCCTGGAGAGCACTTCCAAAATATGAAGTGTATGCAAATGAAAGGGATTTCAAAAATACTAATTATTATCATTATTTAAACAAATCTTTGTTGATCTGAATATAATACACTCTGCATAATGATTATCCCTGCACAAGGGCTCTCTCTGGTTTCCATCCTTGTAACAATTGTGCTCTCTATAATGAATGAACTAGACTATATTGTGCACTGAAAGGAAAGCTGAGTTAAACTAAATTATTAGCAGTTCTTTTGTTCTGCATTCAAGAAGCAATTACTCTTGAATTATGACAGCCAGCCTCCTTTCCCATCCCCTACATTTCAAAAAGCAAGCAACATCCCACCCAAAGTCCCTAGATTCAAAATACCAGTGCACAATCCCCAAAACCAACGGGACCTCAAAACATTAAATAACTAAATATAATGTACAAAATATGTATATTTTTACAAATATACATAATATATAAATTCTGTACATTATATAAAATTCAAATGTGTGTGTATTTTACATCTTTAATTCTTTATTGTCAGCCTAGCAGTTTTCTCTTTCAGACCTGCAAACTTTGATTTCTGACACGAGACTGGATCTGGTGCCGTGCACATAGTAGGAAGTCAAAATCAAATTTCTAGATGAATGAAGCAATTCATGTTAATTGAGTATTCAGAGAAACCTGAGCAAAGCCAATTGACTGAGTTAGTAAATTGGTTGCTATGGCAACATTTTCCTGATTGGAAAGAAATTATAGCAGGGTCAAGAGCAGATTTTACACAACTGACAATAATGGGAGAGGAGAGAACAGCATGATCTTTTCTTAATTTTTTCCTGTTTTGGAAATGAATTAATAGATATATAGAAAAGACAATTTGTGGTTTTCTCTTGGAGCTCTCTTTCAGGAGAGAGGCCAACTATTTTAATAACAAGCTGTTTTCTTGACTGAGTTCTGCCATTAGTAACTCTCAAAAATGCAGGTGGAAAAAAAAGTACTATAATGAATTTTGGTAGTAAGGTTGTAAGGGGCTTGCTGAAGGCTGTGAACAGGCAAAGGACATAAAGATTTCCATTGCCTGGAACTACTCTTGGTGAGAAACAGTAATGTTGTTTTTGTTGGTTTGCTCGTTTTGCTTTTAGTTTCATTTAGTTTTGCTTTGTTTGTTTCTCAGTTGGAAAAAGAACACTCAGGTCTTAGGTTAACAATATTAAAAGATAAACTTGGGCACATTAAAATTTTAAAGAGTTTATTTGAGCAGACAGCAATTCATAAATCGGGCAGCTCCACACCACAGGCACTTTGGGGCTCCACCCCAACAGATGCAAAAGGAAAACTTATAAGGTAGTCATGGAAGCATAATTTAAAAATATATATTTGATTGGTTAAAGTGAAAAGTCCCCAATTATAGGTTAGTGGGCAATTTCTGATTGGTTAAATTACTCTGAGATGAGTTTCAGTTTGGTTATTTTGGAACCCAGAATGCTGGAGCCATCTCAGCCTAATGGCCTCTCATTTAACTTTTACCTACTTACTTATTTATTTAGAGATGGGGTCTCACAATGTTGCCCAGGCTGGTCTTGAACTCCTAGGCTCAAGTAATCCTCTTCCCTGAGCCTCCCAAGTAGCTGGGATTACAGGCCCATTTAATTTTTTTTTTTTTAACAATAGTGATTGAATAACCATTGAGTTACTGACAGAATTTCAAAGGGATACCAATTTGTGGTCATTTTTACATGCTTATTATTTCTGTAATTGCATACTAACAAAGTGTATCTAATTAACAGGTAGTTACACTTTTGTGATGCTGTTTTCATAAAGAAGCAATGTAGTATAGTAGAAGGAGCAATGGAAGAGATGTTGGAAGGCCAGAGTTAGAACTCCATCACTGTGATGGTTAACACTGAGTGTCAACTTGATTGGATTGAAGGATGCAAAGTATTTATCCTGGGTGTGTCTGTGAGGGTGTTGCCAAAGGAGATTAACATTTGAGTCAGTGGGCTGGGGAAGGCAGACTCACCCTTAATCTGGGTGGGCACCATCTAATCAGCTGCCAGTGCAGCTAGAATATAAAGCAGGCAGAAAAACGTGAAAACACTAGACTGACCTAGCCTTCCAGCCTACATCTTCTCTCATACTGGATGCTTCCTGCATCAGACTCCAAGTTCTTCAGTTTTGGGACTTGGACTGGCTCTCCTTACTCCTCAACTTGCAGATGGCCTATTGTGGGACCTTGTGATCATGTGAGTTAATACTTAATAAACTACCCTTTATATATCTCCTATTAGTTCTCTCCTTCTAGAGAACCCTGTCTAATATAGATTTTGGTGCCAGGAGTGGTTCTAGAGGAACAGAATACTAAGGATGGAGTTCTTTAGTTTGTTTTGGGGTTTCTGGAGTTGGCTGCTTAATAAAATTAGACCCCCAAATCCTAAGGATTCTACTTCAAATAGTATGGAGAACACTGATAGTCCTTGGCATGAACTGCTTACAGAGTTATGCAAAATAAATGCATTTGACACTCCTGATTCACCACTCATGAGAGGCAAGGAGTTTAGTGACTCTATACATAATACCTTTGACCATATGTGGAGAACCAAGGAACACAATGAAGCTGGTTGGTTGTTTCTAAGTTCAGTGGACCAAGTGATGAAAGAAAAGGATAAACTCAGGGATTCTAACTCCCAGCTTTAGAAGCAGATACTGAGCCTCAAATCTATTAAGATTGCCCTGAGTGAGAGTCTTATCTCCTGTAGAGAAAGAACTGAAATTGTGGAAAAACAGACACAAGCTCTTATCATACGAGTGGCTGACCTGCAATGAAAGGTGCATGCACAGCCCCACCAGGTGTCTACTGTTAAAGTGAGGGAATTGATTGGAAAAGAACAGGGCCCTGAAACTTGTAATAGGGATGTGTGGGAGGACCCTGTTGAAGCTGGGGACACTGAGTTTGTAAACTCTGATGAATCTTGTTTGCCAGAAGAAACAGCTTCCCCATCCCCAGTAGTGGCAACATCCCCCCAACCCCCAACCCATGCTGCCATCAGCCTTTCCACCTTTGTCTGAGGAGATAAACCCTGTGCTGCCTGAGGCAACAGTAATGGCCTCCCCTGAGGCAGTTGCCAGACAAGATAGTATTGATTATCCTCAGGAGCCACCCCCAACACCCCTGTTTGCTTTCAGACCTATAACTAGACTAAAGTCCCAGCAGGCCCCTAGAGGTGAAGTTGAGAGTGTGAACCATGAGGAGGTGAGCTACACTTGAAAAGAACTGCCTGAGTTTTCTAATTTATATAAGAAGAAATCTGGAGAACAGGCATAGGAATGGATATTAAGGGTGTGGAATAATGGTGGAAGGAGCACAGAGTTGGATCAGACTGAATTTATTGATTTCGGCCCACTAAGTAGGGACTCTTCATTTAATGTTGCAGCTCGGGGAGTTAAAAAAGTTCTTATAGTTTATTTGCTTGGTTAGCTAAAATATGGATGACCTACTGTGAGTGAGCTGCAAACGCCTGATCTCCCTTGGTTTAATGTAGAGGAAGGGATCCACAGGCTTAGAGAGATTGGGATGGTGGAGTGGATTAGTCACTTCAGACCTATTCATCCCAGCTGGGAGGGTCCAGAAGATATACCCTTGACCAATGCCTTGCGAAATAGATTTGTGGGGGTAGCACCTGCATTTTTGAAGAGCGCTGTAATTGCTCTTCTCTGTATGTCAGGTCTAACAGTGGGAACTGCAGTCATTCAACTACAAAATTTAAATACAATGGGAATAATTGGATCCCAAGGTGGCAGGGGCCAAGTAGTGGCACTCAACAATCAAAGGCAAGGTAGGCATAGCTACCATAATGGACAGCAGAGGCAAAGCAGCAATCAGAATTTTCTGACTCATGTAGAGCTCTGGCATTGGCTAATTAATCATGGTGTTCCTAGGAATGAAATTGATAGGAAGCCTACTGCATTCCTACTTAATTTAGATAAGCAGAAAACTTCTAGGTTGAATGGAAAAAAGATTAATTTGAATTATAAAAACAGAGATTCACGGCCCCTCAATGAATTTCCAGGCTTCAGCCAGTTTACAGACCCAGAACCTCTTGAATGAAGGGGAGGCCAGGTCCACTAGAGGAAGGACCCCACTACACTACTGACAATTTATGCTGTTAATCTTTCTCCCATCATTCTCCAAACAGACCTCTGGCCTTTTACCAGGGTAACTGTGCATTGGGGAAAAGGAAATGATCAGACATTTTGGGGACTACTGGACACTGGCTCTGAGCTGACGTTTAATCCAGTGAACCCAAAACGTCACTGTGGCCCTCCAGTTAAAGTATGGGATTATGGAGGTCAGGTAATTAATGGACTTTTAGCTCAGGTCTGACTTACAGTGGGTCCAGTGGGTCTCCGGACTCATCCTGTGGTTATTTCTCTAGTGCCAGAAGGCATAATTGGGATAGGCATACTTAGCAGCTGATAGAACTCCCACATTGGCTCCCTGACTGGTAGAATAAGGGCTATTATGGTAGGAAAGGCCAAATGGGAGCCATTAGAGCTGCCTCTACCTAGAAAAATAGTAAATCAAAAACAATATCACATCCTTGGAGGGATTGCTGAGATTAGTGCCACCATCAAGGACATGAAAGACGCAGGGGTGGTAACTCTCACCACATCCCCATTCAACTCTTCCATTTGGCTTGTGCAGAGGACAGATGGATCTTGAATGACAGTGGATTATCGTAAGCCTAACCAAGTGGTAACTCTAACTGCAGCTGCTGTACCAGATGTGGTTTTATTGCTTGAGCAAATTAACACATCTCCTGGTATCTGGTATTCTGCCATTGACTTGGCAAATGCCTTTTTCTTCATTCCTGTCCATAAGGCCCACCAGAAGCAATTTGCCTTCAGCTGGCAAGGCCAGCAATATACCTTTACTGTCCTTCTTCAGGAGTATATCAACTCTTTCGCTTTGTGTCATAATCTTATTCGGAGAGACCTTGATCACTTTCTACTTCCACAAGATATCACACTGCTCCATTATATTGATGACATTATGTTGATTGGATCCAGTGAGCAAGGAGTAGCAAACACACTAGACTTATTGGTGAGACATCTGCCCACCAGATGATGGGAAATAAATCCAACTAGAATTCAGGGACATTCTACATCAGTAAAACTTCTAGGGATCCAGTGTTGTGGAGCCTGTCAAGATACTCCTTCTAAGGTGAAGGATAAGTTGCTGCATTTGGTCCCTCCTACAACCAAGAGGCACAACACCTAATGGGCCTATTTGGATTTCGGAGGCAACACATTTCTCATTTGGGTGTGTTACTCCAGCCCATTTATCGAGTGACCCAAAAGGCTGCCAGTTTTGAGTAGGGTCCAGAACAGGAGAAGGCTCTGCAACAGGTCCAGGCTGCTCATGCTCATGGAATTCACTGCTCTTTCCATGTTCCCCACCATCCTGAAGCAGCTGGATTGACAGAACGGTGGAATGGCCTTTTGAAGTCACGATTACAATGCCAACTATGTGACAATACTTTGCAAGGCTGGGGCAAAGTTCCCCAGAAGGCCATGTATGCTCGGAATCAGCTTCCAATACATGGCACTGTTTCTCCTATAGCCAGATTCACGGGTCCAGGAATCAAGGGGTGGAAGTGGTACAACTCATCATCACCCCTAGTGATCCACTAGCAAAATTTTTGCTTCCTGTTCCCAGGACATTATGTTCTGCTGGCCTAGAGGTCTTAGTTCCAGAGGGAGGAACACTGCCACCACGAGACACAATGATTCCATTAAACTGGAAGATTGCCAGTGGACACTTTGGGCTCCTCCTACCTTTAAGTCAACAGGCTAAGAAGGGAGTCACAGTGTTGGCTGGGGTGATTGACCCAGACTATCAAGATGAAATAAGTCTATGGCTCCACAACAAAGGCAAGGAAGAATATGCATGGAATACAGGATATCCATTAGGGTGTCTCTTAGTATTACCATGCCCTATGATTAAGGTCAATGGGAAACTACAACAGCCCAATGCACGAGGACCTAGACCCTTCAGGAATGAAGGTTTGGGTCACTCTTCCAGGAAAAAAACCACAACCTGCTGAGGTGCTTGCTGAAGGCAAAGGGAATACAGAATGGGTAGTAGAAGAAGGTAGTCATCAATATCAGCTACAGCCATGTGGCCAGCTGTATAAATGAGGACTGTAATTGTCATGAGTATTTCATCCTTTTGTTAAAAATGTATTTGTGCATGTATACACTTGCACTAAGAAAATATCTTCATTTAATTTCCTTTTTCCTTTATCATGTAACATAAGATTTATTGACTTCATATCAATATTTAAGAATTGTTAACTTTATGTAATAGTATTTGGGTTGGGGATTGGTGCATTTTCAGTTATATGAAGGATAGATGTATTACGTTAGGCATAATTATGACCTTATTATTGTCTTTATTTGAAGATTATGTATAATCTCAGGGGATGTATATGTGTTCAAGTTGACAAGAGGTGGACTTGTGATGGTTAATACTGAGTGTCAACTTGATTATATTGAAAGATGTAAAGTATTGATCCTGGGTGTGTCTGTGAGGGTGTTGCCAAAGGAGATTAACATTTCAGTCAGTGGGCTGGGAAAGGCAGACGCACCCTTAATCTGGATGGGCACCATCTAATCAGCTGCCAGTGTGGCTACAAGCAGGCAGAAAGACATGAAAAGACAAAACTGGCCTATCCTCCCAGCCTACATCTTTCTCCCATGCTGGATGCTTCTTGCCCTCGAACATTGGACTCCAAGTTCTTCAGTTTTGGGACTTGGACTGGCTCTCCTTGCTCCTCAGCTTGCAGACGACCTATTGTGGGACCTTGTGATCATGTGAGTTAATACTTAATAAACTCTCCTTTATATATATCCTATTAGTTCTGTCCCTCTAGAAAACCTTGACTAATACAATCACTTACAAGTTGGGTGGTCATACATGTTGTTTGAATGTCAGATGCTGTACATATCAAGAAAAAAAAATAAGACTGCTGTTAGTTTCTCTGCCTACCTCACAAGTGGTTATGAGAATCAAATAAATTAGTTTATGTGTATTAACTATGAAATTAACGTATAAACATAAGTGAGGTCAGCTTCATGGGCATGCAAGCTGTGCAGCTGTACAGTGCCCTATGCTTAGAAGGGCCCCACACTTGGTTTATTGCACTGTTGTCACCATCTTGAAATTCTTAATAATTTTTTAACAAGGGGCTCACATTTTTATTTTGCACATAACTCCACAAATTTCATAGCTATTTCTGAATGCAAGATATTATTAGAAAGACATGTCTTCTTATAGAAGAAGCAATATTTGTGAGTTGCAGTTAACCCAGACTGTTTTTTGAATTGCAAATAGGACAGAATGCAAGAGATTTTTTTGTAATTCACTTCTAAGTGATATTAAGAAAACTACATAGGTCAAGGTTAAATAACAAGGTTGAGTTTAAGAATAATTAAAATCTAAATGAGAGAAATAATTGCATATTTCAATCTGCATCACTTTATATTTGACCTTGTTTGGAGCATTTCAAAGAGAATAGTGTTGTGTACATTTGTGTTAGGGTCAGGGGAAGGGAGGGTTGTCAAATTTGTTACTATTGCTAGCCTCATTGGCAGCAGGTACCTGGATGGGAATGGCAATTCCTAGTCTAGTTGTTTTTATGACCCTAATCCCATGGTAAAAAATCTTTTCATTGTAATAGTTAAACGGATTAGACCACAGTATACCATGGCTTTCTTCTGTAACCCTTTAATGGCATTTATTCTTCATGGTACCACCTAAGATAGCTAATGTCTGTGAAGAGAAAAATCTTGAAAATGCAAATAAATTAGGGTCTGAAATGTAGCTTTAATGTGTGCCATCTTCATGTGGGAACTTGAGGAAAGCCCAGGGCCTTGAATCCAACAGGTAAACTAAGAAAAGAAAGAAAAACTTTAAATTTCTGCTAGAAAATATGTGACTTGTAAAATTCACCTTATTTTCAAATGCTTTGCACATTTTCTCTAACAGACACTAATGACTTTTCTGCACTAAAATTCAGTTGCTGATAGGATTGCAAATAAGACTCTGGAGAATTAGTCTATGTATCTCCTTAGATTGCCCCAAGCTCTTCTTTAGACAAATGTAAAGAAAGGCTCGCCTCTGAATAAAGCAGGCATATTTAATTTAAAAGATAGAAAATAATTAAACAGGGAAAACATTCTAAACCTATGGAAATTGGAATTTCTGAGATAAAATTTTGGGTAGGAATTACTAATTAATACTAAAACTCTAAAATGTTACCTGATTTCTTGGTGAGAAATCAGAGGGTGCTGAGTGCCAATTTCTGTGTGTGCATCTTCCCTGCTCCCTCTCCCTATGAAAAAATTTCTAGTTGATATTTCAGCTAAAAACAGCCCCTCTGTGACTGTCAGATATGTGAAATCAGCCATCTGGAATTCTTTTACTTTTTTTTTTTTTTTTTTTGAGATGGAGTTTTGCTCTTGTTGCTCAGGCCGGAGTGCACTGGTGCGATCTCGGCTCACCGCAACCTCTGTCTCCCGGGTTCAAGTCATTCTCCTGCCTCAGCCTTCTGAGTAGCTGGGATTACAGGCATGCGCCACCATGCCTGGCTAATTTTGTATTTTTAGTAGAGATGGGGTTTCTCCATGTTGGTCAGGCTGGTCTCGAACCCCCGACCTCAGGTGATCCACCCTCCTCGGCCTCCCAAAGTGCTGGGATTACTGGCGTGAGCCACTGCACTCGGCCGGAATTCTTTCCTTTTTACTGCATCACTGTAGCCTCACTCTAAATCATCATGGGGGAAATGCATTTGCTATACAGGTAGTTTTTGTGGATTACACATGTGGCAAAATAAATAATAGATAAAAATAAATACAATCTAGAATGGCCAGGTAGCATATGTCATTCACCCTCAATGCCTGAACAATTTTTTTCTTCCCTGAATAATGAGCAAATTTTAAACATAAATGGATTCATTTCACACAGGACATGGTACACACCAGCCACACAAAATAAACTTCTCAAACAAAAAGTTGGGTCAAAAATTAAAACTAGTCCAGGTGTGGTGGCTCATGCCTGTAATCCCAGCACTTTGGGAGGCTGAGGCAGGAGAATCGCTTGAGCCCAGGAGTTCAAGGCTGCCGTGAGCTCTGATGGCACCACTGCACTCCGGCCTGGGCAACAGAGCGAGACCTAATGTCTTATTTAAAAAAAAAAAAAAAAAAGGCATGGAAGGAAGATACTCTTGGATACTCTTGTCTCTTCAGCTACTTGTCTGTTTAAATGCTGAATGCTGACTAATTATTATTGACATTATTAATAATATCCTTCAGGGCACTTTGAAATAAACTATTTCAAATGTAATTCTAATGTAATACAGTAATTACAGAATTTACAGTTATGAACAAGGGTCAGATCTTTCATCAGGTAAAATATTAAAGGAATGTAAATTAGTTCTTGGGGGGCCCTGCTTTTGCCTTGGGTCCTCTTCCTTTTGATCCCTCTGATCCTGGCTTCAAGAACCTCTCTGCAGAAATATTCTACCTAGGTATGAACACCCTAAGCAACAATGCAGTTTCCATTTTCGTCTCTTTCTTATTTCTCATCAGATTTTGGATTTGGGTGGGTTATCTAACACCTGTGGCAGAATTTTGCTGTTTTGGGAATTTACATAAAAAGTTAAATTAAATTTGTCCACTGGATGGCTTTCTGGGATAATAAAGCTAACGTGCTACCACTCTTAAGATGTGACACGGTCCTTAAGATTGGAAATCATCCATTCTTTCCAAAGTGTTTCTTCGGATGGGAGAACATCATGTTTCTGAAGCTGGTTTATGGTTTAGCTCAGAACAAGAAACTCAGTAGTTTATTCTCCCGAAAATGCTTCTTAAACACCAGCATGTAAGGAATTCTTTGTTGTTTTCATTTAGTTTCTGCCTAAGTTCAATCCCGCTTAGTTTTTGAGAACTAGCAAGATTATAGCCCAAAGGTGTTAGGAAATTTAATATTTCATAACAGCTGCTCAAGAGTTTTAAAGAGAAGTTATAAAACTGGATAACTACTATTTTCTGCTTCCCACTAATTATTCTGGAACAGTTACAATGGCTATTTATGACTACATCAAAAGTTGTTCCTAACTTTGTATCTTAGACTTGCAGAATTCTAAAAATACTGAGAGAATCTTCTTTCTGAGATCCGCTTTGTTTGTCAGTAACTTATTTGTGCCATGCTTTCCCATTTTAGGGGCTGGCCTTTCTGCTAGACTGTGAAATAGACAATGTATTTCTAATGTTCTGCCCAGGGTTCAGTGCCACTGTGACATCCTCCTTGGGCCTGTCTCTTCCCACTGGATGGGGATTAAGGCTCTAGTGGAGACCTTTGCTTTCCTGTTTCCTCTTGTCTTGTCAAAATATGAAACTCCCTGTTATCATCTTCATTTAGAGCAGTGTTACTCAACATATAGTCTGCAGACTAGTGTTGCTCCAGGACTGGATTAGATATGTACAGAAATTGAGAGTGTGCATTTAGAAAACTTTGTAGCGATGGATGAGATGAGCTGGAATCTTGTTCTTTTTTGAAAATAGTTTGAAAATATTGTTTTGGAGTCTACTCTGACAAACTGGATTTTGATCCCATGTGCTACAATGTACTGAGATGCATATGTTACTCCCTCAGGGTAACATATTTATTTCTGAATAGGCACGTCCTGGACACCCAAAAGGAATAGTGATCAGAAGTGCTGATTCCAAGATTGTAATTAACTCAGAATATGGTGCAAAAGGGAGATTTGATTTTCTAAAATACAAGACAAAATATAGCATATTACCTGAGAAACTCCGCTGAGGAAGTTCCTAGGCTAAATGATATATTAGGCATTCCTAGATGACTTTTCTTCCTATTACAAACTTCATGCTATGTATATGTATATCACATGTGTAATTTTTACAAAATCAAATTATACCTGAGTTCCTCCCAAGATAAAAGTTATGAGTCCAGTGTTATTCAGTGGTAAAAGAGTAAAATACTCTTTCTCATCAGTGCCGAGAGCTCATCTGACTGATGTAAATTGGTTCCCCTAGAAAAAGAAATGCCATCTCAGGAGGAATTATATTTCACTTTGTTTACTTTAAGGCAGGATCAGGCCCACCAGTCTCTGATGTTGGTGATGAGAATAGATTGCTCCCATAAGTAGCTCTACCTCCTTTTCCTTGGCAAACTCGCCAAGAATGTATATCAAGTAACACTTCTTTCTAGTCCCACGAAGATGCCAAGGACTTGAACAATTCTCACTCTGCCTCATTGGAGTGGCAGTAAATCCCTTGATCAACTCTGACTCCAATCCTCAGGTGAAATGGAGAGAATAAGTAGCTAGAACTGAAGTGCATTTATATTAGTCAAACCATTTTAGCTCTGTGCTTGCTAAAACAGTAGCAGGGAGGAAGGAAAAGTAACTTGTTACTTAGTTAACTTGCTAGAATAATTTTAATTGGGGTTCTTCTCATTTGGGGAAAGTAAATATTTCTTCTGTTGTTGTAAACTTCTAAAAGGAAGGGGGTAGGGGAGTATTTTTTTTATATCATTCTCTGTTTTGTGCTTTGTTTTCTTTTGCTTCTTTGTGCCTGACAAAAGTACAGACAGAATACACTAAAGATAAATGAAGGCTCCCAGATGCTGGCACGGTCTTTAAGAAAAGTTCACATTATCTTCCAACGAGTCCAATTCATCTGCTCTCTTTTGAAATTATTCCTAGAAATGTTGTCTTCATGAAGGAACGAAGTCACTACAGCAACAAAACCATCTGATGTGTTATGAACATTTCAGGGCTGTGTCTCAGTGGGAATATTTCTAAATACGACAATAGCAGCATGACAATCAATGAGGTGATTAATTAACTAAATCATGTTTCAGTTGAATTCAGAAAGAGATAATCTCCAAAGCATTTGCCTAAACCACAAGCAGATTCCTTTGTCCAAACCGAAAGTTTGAAAGCATTTTGGTATCACGGGTTATTCTGCTTTACAAATATAAAAGACATTTAAAATCCTTGTAGCTGTCTCTGGGTTTTACCCACCTTATCAAAAGTATCTTTGCATGAACCTTAAATAAGAATCAAAGTTTCTAGGTTAGAACAAAGCAAGTTAGAACAAAGGTGACCTTAAAGACTTTCTCCATTATTTTAGCTTAATTCAGTAGCAAATTAACTTTTTTAAAATAATGAATTGAGGGTACTGAAGCCCCTAAATCATGCATCATTTTAGCAATTCTCCCTTGGAGGAATGAGATATAGGATCTTCCAGATATAGAAAGTTTTAGGACTGCAGCAGCCTTTCAGGATTCATGCCTAGGACTAGCCAGGCCTAGAAAGTCAGCCAACTAACTTTTCTTTCAGAAATCTGGCTTTCTTTTTTTCCGGATGCACTATTTCTGAATGCTCTCAATCTTCTGTTGTTCTTATTGCATTCTTGGCTTTGGACCATTGCACTGCCTTAATACATTATTTCTATGTGATCTCTGGCCTTTGGCTACTTGTTTGGATTTTCTTACATCACTTTCTTGTCTTCTAGCTTTTAGATATAATCTATGGCTAGACTACTCTTTTTATTTATTCTTCCCATTTTCTCCCGTACCTTCTATTGTCAGTACTGGTACTGACTCATAGGCCTTCTCTTAATCATTGTTGTTCATGACCTTGCATTACAGCTGAAGAACAGGGTGTGTTGGTACCATATAGATATACTATATTCCATTTGGCAGTAGCAAGGTAGAGGAAAGCCTGTCTATGAAAATGGCTACAATTTTCATTTGACTTTCTTTTGCTTTGAATGTTTTTGGCTTGTGTCACATTGTATCTTAACATGTATAAAGTCTTTTTATAATATCAGAGCCTTAAAACTATGAATTATTACTTTCACAGGGCTTACCACTTGCTGTATATAAAACCAGTTTTTATTTAGCTTTTGTTAACTACCTATTTTTTGAAGAAACACATTTACCTTTCCTTATTATGTGATCATGAAGGCATCTAGAAGACAAGTTGGGTAAGAATTAAATTATATGCAATATACTCAACTACAAAGACTGACCCATTTTCATCCTGACACCATTAATAGGCAGAAACATTCACCTCATCTAGAGCACTCATTGTTTATACCACTTAGTTTATGTGTTCTGGATTTAACTGTCATTTATATGGATGACTTTTCTTCCCATACACAATCTAAGATCCATACTACCTCTGTATCCCCAATATTTAGTGTATTACTTTGCATATGATAGTTTATTATCAGTCAATAAACTGACAGACAATGTACAATGAACCCTGGAGGTAAAATGAAGGTTTTGGTGTGTCCCTTTCAGCAGTCATTCTGAGAATCTCTAAGAAGATACATTTATCAAGGAAACACTCTAGAAAAGTTAATAGATCAATATAAACCCTCCAGCTGGCTTTTCTTCTAACTATAAAATGAGTTGGTTCAGCAAAGAATAACAGTTGTGATAAAAAATCCTTTTTTTCCCCAAATATAAAACCTGAAGCCTTTCTGAATAAACTAGGACAAACCTTATGACGCACTTGTGCTAATTCATGTGCTTGTAAATTATTTCACATGTGCTAAACTCTCACACTTTAGCAACCAATATATCTCAGATTCAATACAAAAGCATTATGTTTATGCTTTTCAAATTTTTTTTCTCCTTTCATGTCAATAATTAGTGCAGAATATACTTTGTTGATTTAATACAAACATTATATTGCACTCCTACTATGGAATAGATTATCAAGGGGATGCATTGACTTGTTGAAAACCTACTCATTGTACCTATTTTATTTCTACTTTATCTTTTTGGTTCATGGTAAACCAACAGAGAGTTCACATGTATAATGACATGTGTGTTTGATATAAAGTATATTCAAAAACTGCAATGTAAGTTACATTATGCAGTTTAGTTGGTACCTAAATTTTCCATATATTATAAGATAGTGCAGAAAGTATTCTGAATGTATTTTGAATTGTGATGTCAAGCTGAGGGAAATTCAGTAGTTCCTAGAGAAAAAGAGCCAGTCTTAAGACATGCACAAGAGCCGTTTGCGCACATAGTATGTGTATTAGCTCGTTTTCACACTGCTATGAAGATACTACCTGGGACTGGTTAATTTATAAAGGAAAGACGTTTAATTGGCTACCAGTTCCGCATGGCTGGGGAGGCCTCAGGAAACTTACGATCATAGTGGAAGGTGAAGGGGAAGCAGGCACCTTCTTCACAAGGCGGCAGGGGAGAGCCAGAGTGCAAAAGGAACTGCCACTTTTAAACCATTAAACCTCATGAGAACTCCCTCACTATCACGAGAACAGCATGGGGGAAATCGCCCCCATGATCCAATCACCTCTCACCAGGTCCCTCCCTCAACAAGTGGGGATTACAATTGGAGATGATATTTGGGTGGGGACACAGTGCAAAACCATATTAGTATGATTTGAGGAGCACTGATTAAAGAACTCTTTATAAAAAAATACTGAGAATGGACTTTGGAGCCAAATAGGCCAGAATTTTCAAACTGCTTTTTCAACTTATTAGTTGTATGATTTTAACTATATCATCTCCTGTCTCTGAGCCTTAGTCTCCTTATCTCTGAAACGGAAGAGAATAATAAATTCCATGCTTGAGAACGAACTGAGATGTCATAACAAATATTCAAAAGTCATTGATTCCCTTTCCCCTTACTGTTGTCCTATCACAATATCTAAAATTCTGTAAGTGGATATTAATCTTATTGTTGAGGTGACAACACTACAGACAAGCTTGATTAAAAGTACAATATCCTTTGAAAGGGCAACATACTGAACAAATATGCCTTAACATTTTAGATATTACTTCATGGAGCCCTGACGGAGTGGAATCAGGAAGTTCTAGTAAAGAAGAAATGGTTGGCAATTGTTTTTTCACTTTGCTTTGTTTTGTTTTTTTAGAGATGGGGTCTCGTTATGTGGCCTAGGCTGGAGTGCAGTGGCTATTCACAGGTGTGATTATAGTGCACTGAAGCCATGATCTCCTTAGCTCAAGAGATTCTCCTGTCTCAGTCTACTGATAGCTGGGATTTCAGCTGTGTACCACCACACTTGGATTTAGGTTGGCAAATTTGAACACAATTGCTTCCAGAGGTGGACAGAACCAAGCAGGACATTGCAATTATGGGATATAGACAATATAGTCAGAATACTAGGTGCCCAAGGGATGCTCAGCAAGGAAGAATGAATACAGAAAAGATAAACACAGCTGCTTCCAAATTTTGCTAAGATTAGGCACTGGTAGAAGGCAATGCCCCCAACATGGGAAGATGTTCAAATTGCTGATTTAGATGATCAAAATAATATGAAAACACATGTTTCAGGCACATTTTTATGTATTTCATACTCATTAACTCATTTATTGCTCACAACAACTCCAAGAGGGAGGAGATACTATTATTTTCATTTTCCAGATGAGGAAACAAGGCACAGGGCAATTTGTTACTTGTCCAAACACAGAACTAGTAAGTGTATATGCCAGAATTTAAATCTAAGCAGTGTGGCTTCAGAGTTCATGTATTTAAACTTGGAGTAACAGTCAGCCTTGTATTTCTTATACTCAAAACATGAATTAACATCCTTAATTCTGTATTCTTGAGGCACAAATAATTGGCATATTGGAAACATCAACAAACTGGGAAGCAAAAAGCCTGTATTCTAGTTTGAGATGTATTAGCCACAGGGACCATGGACAGGTAATTTCCTGTCCTTTGGACCTCATTTTCCTGATCTGTCCACTGATGGGTTTGAGCTAAATAAGATTCCTTTTAATCCTGGTTCTAGGAAACATTGTAACAAGTAATTGGTTTTAAAGGTATTCAGAATTTTATTATGTATTTATTCTGAAAACACTTCTTGTGATTTGGATAACAATCACCTTAATTCTCTCTTTTTAGCAGCTATAGAATTTCTGTGGGATTTATAACTGTATCTGAGCTTTGGAATGTATAATTATGATAGGCGTATGCTGATGATCTTGATTACCATAGAAATCATTACCATTGAAGTTTCTTTCAGAACCCTCTTAACTTTTGAATGTTTTTTCTTGCTGTTTTTCAATGATGAAAAGCAGGATGGTCTTTTAAATTTATTTTCATTTTTAAATTGTTCATTCACCAAGAGGAACTATTGCCAATAATGATGGGTAGTGTAGAGTAAACGCCTCTCTACCCCACAAAGAAAATTATGAATGGTCCACCACACATTTAATTAATTTTTTTTGTCCCAGCAGCGGCTCAACTTAAATGGTATTTTTGGCATCATAAATTTCATGAAATGGCTGTCATTTCAGCTTCATTTCCATCCTCTTGGCAGGTTTTTTGTACACTTGGCCTGGAAAAGTTATAGCTATGTTCTATTTAGATTGATGTAGGATTAGGTACATTTGATTGAACTGCTGAACTAATTCAGCAGCATTTTCATTTGACACAGATGTATTACTCTGCATTCATCAGCTGCAGTACTCAGCTTTAACCTTCTGGTCTCAAGGATCAGTTCTCAAAATGTGGCTGCAAAGTTTTCCCAAGTTCACCTTCTAGAATTTTAAGTAAAAGCAAAAGACCAAAAACTGATGTTAATATATATTCCTAAGAAGAAATCCAGACATGATTAATCTCTCTCTCCTCTGGGCCCCACAGCACTTTGTTTTGATCTCTATTAAAGCATTTATTGAATGTTGCTTTGAATTCATGTTAGCTGTGTACATGTTTATCTTTTCCGCTAACCTAAGTTCTTTGTGAATAGGAACTACATCCCTTAGTGAATATCCTCATAGGGCCTAGCATAACACAGAACACAAAATAAGTGCCCAATGCATAATAGCTGAATAAATTAACTTGTCAAATTCAGGAAGCTGCTCAGGAAAATTCCTTCTTTGAACTCAATGTAACTCCTAAGTGGAAAACAGTATTACAAGATATTTATTTCCTGCCAAATTAGAGGGTGCTGTATACTCTGGGAAACCAAACCTAACACCAGGTCCTTTTGCATTTCTCGCAGAATCTACCATTTTGCTGTGATATAGGTGTTTTCTGCTTTATGAAAATATATGGCATATAGAAGAAATGCTAACCTGATTGTATGAAGTATACCGGCAACTTCCCAGGGTATACTCTCCCTGTCTCTAATTCTTCACATTGTGAATGGGGAGAAACATAGATGCTTCCAATTTCAAGACTGTTAAATATATCTGGGACCTCAGTAAATGCCAAAATTGAGGGGAGAGAACGAAAAAAAAAGATGGGAAAAACTTTTATGTAAAGATGTAGCATCCTTAATTGCAACAGATTACATTATTCCATCTCAGAAGCCTAGATGACTGGTGAAATGAGACTGAAGATGGAGTTGAGATTCCCCAGCAACAAGAAAATGTGCCATAATTCTACGTGTCACAATCTGTTTCGTTAGACAATACTATTTAGCTGCAGCGTGATTATGTGTACGTGAGACTGCTTGTTCCGAGTTGAATTGCGTCCCTCCAAAAACGATGGGTCGGAGTCCGTACCCCCAGTACTTCAAAATGTGATCTTTTCTGGAGATAGGATCTTTATACAGGAAATCAAGTTAAAATGAAATCCTCAGGGTGGGCCCTAATCCATATGACAAGTGCATAAAAATGGAAAATTGGACACAGAGGCAGACATGCATAGAGGGAAGATGATATGAAGGGACTTAGAGAGAAAATGGACATCCTCAAGCTAAGCAGAGTGGCCTAGAACAGAACCAACCCCGCTGACACCTTGATTTCAGACTCCTAGCCTCCATACCTGGGAGCCGATACATTTCTCTACTTTAAGCTACCCAGTCTGTTGTACTTTTTTCAGTTAGTCCTAACAAACTAATCAGCTGTTACACTACAGAAATTTAGAATTCTAGATTGGAAGAGGCTTTAAGAAATCACTGATTCTGGTTCCTTCTTTGCACCCTTGGCCAATGTCTAAGACATTCACATCAAAGAGAGGTTCATTTGCCCAAGAAGGAAAAAAAAACAATAATGTGCATTGTCTTAAGTGAATAGTCGAGAGGTTTTTCAACCTCTTAAGAAATTATTTCTTATGATTAACCATAGCCAAATATTTACTATAAATATCAGCCCATTTGTTTTTGCTTTTTTCTCTATGAGAGACGGATAACTGGTCACCAGTAGTATCACAAAATCATTCATATGTCAGAAGGCATACTGCAGTCTTCTTTAATGGAATAAAAACGAATTCCTGCATATTAATCCTCAAAAGGTCCACTTTCCATTTCTTTAACAGTTTAGTTTAGTCACTCTTATCTGAATTATCTCCATTAATTTTCTCACATAATTTTAAAAAACTATAGCGGCTAATCAAAATCTAGGTATGTGTGCCATTTACACTGTAACATATCCCAGAAACACAGTCTTTCCCTCTCCCCACAATGCTGCTACAGTATCTTATTATCTTGTAATCTTTCTTTTTCTTGTTTGAATATCCAGCTGTGTATTCTCCATCTTACATAGACATTCTTGCCCTTGGTTGTTTATCCCTATTTTTCAGGATCTTTTTTTCCTGCTTAGTAAAGATTATTTCAGATGTTACAACAGTTCTTCAAAAAATGGCATTGGCGGAATTTAATATATATAAATCTCACTGTATTCTTGTTTGCTATATCCAGTAAATCACTCATTCATTAAATATTTATTGATTGCCTATAACTCGCAAGCATATTTCCAGATACCGTTTATAAAAAAAAGCACTCTTCTTGTATTCAAGAAACCAATCATCACATATAGAACAGACACACACATACATAGTAAAAAAAAAAAAAAAAAAGTGTGATGTAAATAATAAAGTTCAGCTCTCTGCCTGAAAGTAATATGGCTAAGATTATGTACGCAATACCTAACTTATAATTGAACTGCATTTCAGAGGTTCACTTAAAATTAAGTTAATTTGAAATCAAAGTGAATTTTCTGATAGAAACACCATCATAAATGATGATCAGGTCCCAAGTCAGCCCACAGACTCTTTAATCCACAATGTAACTACCCTATGTTATTAATTGTACTTTATTTATTTATTTTGAGACAGTCTTGCTCTGCTGCCCAGGCTGGAGTGCAGTGGAGTGATCTCAGCTCACCACAACCTCCACCTCCTGGTTCAAGTGATTCTTGTGCCTCAGCCACCTGAGTAGCTGGGATTATAGAGATGCACCAGCATGCCTGGCTAATTTTTGTATTTTTAGTAGAGATGGGTTTTCACCATGTTGGCCAGGCTGGTCTCTAATTCCTGGCCTCTAGTAATCCTCCCGCCTTGGCTTCCCAAAGTGCTGGTATTACAGGCTTGAACCACTGCAATCAGCCTGTGTTACTAATTGTAGTTTAGACGTGAATCATCTTGTTAACAAAGTATATATTTGAGTTCTAAAGACACTCAGGGCACATTTCTTCTCCCATTCTACTTTAATCAATTCTAGAAGTCACTGGGAACTTGGCTTCTGCTCCTTTAGAGATGGAGGCAGCCAATCTCATTTCCCAACATGGCCTCAGCAGTGCAAGAAAAGAACCTCTCACACTTAACTGTTAGGAGGATAGGGGTAGAAGCTCTGTGGCGGGAGTTGTGGCAGCACAATAAAGATTTGATGGCATGGATTCTTACAACAGCAGCAAAAAGGATGGAGGTGATCATATTGATGGCAATATTGGTAGCAGAGAGGAGATGGCAAGGTGTCTAGTCAGCATGGGAAAACTTCCGTGTGTGACTAATTCATAAAGGGTAGAAGGAAAAAGCCAAATACATAGAATCTGAAGCCAATTTCTTTAATATTTGTATGAATTTGAATGAACTACTTAAACTTTTTATGCATTTCTATACATTTGTTAGTTGTGGATAATATTTCTTTCAGAGGATTGTGTTGACATAGTTATATAATAGTACCTAGCTCATGTCTAGCACATGGGAGGTGTCCAATTAATGCCATCAAACTCAAGTCTGTGCTTTGTATCCTAATTTGAGAATGTCATGTGGGAAAGAATCAATGGCCTTGCATGAATTGAATTGATTAAATATGTTTTTCCCTTTTTCAATGAAACCCATTAGGCCATTAAGCTGACGCTGAATGAAATTAAGTTACACTGGCATGATATGCTGTTTTCTTTTCTTTTTTTTTTTTTTTTTTTTTAAGAGACAGATGTCACCCAGGCTGGAGTGCAGTGGTGTGATCTTGGCTCACTGCAACCTCCGCTTCCCGGGTTCAAGCAATTCTCCTGCCTCAGCCTCCCGAGCAGCTGGGATTACAGGCACATGTCACTGAGCCTGGCTAATGATATGCTGTTTTCAAATCCACATTAATTAATATTCATGATTCTATGCATCTATATGTTTTATAACGGCTGTTAGATCATTTTTTTCCTAATATATATTTTAAATGACAATGCTAAAATGACCAATCTACTATTTGAAGGGGCATCTTTTTTACCTTTTAAATACGTGCATATTTGTTCTTTTCCAGTCCTTAGGAATATGAACTGATCCATAATTTCTCAAATTAGAAACAGTGGATCTCTAATATTTGCCAGTGCTTTATATAACCAAGTGGCTGGCTGCAGGCTCTGCAAATTTGTTTCTATTTTCTTTTCTAAAGTCATCTCTCCCTTTATTTTCTTAAGTCATCCCTCTCTGCATTTGAAGCTTTATCTGCTTAACTAGACCTCAAACACAATAGGCAAAGAAGAGGACTCAAGAAAATGTTAGACAATAAAGGGAAGCTCACATCAAAGGATTTGTGGGACTCTGTTATATTTTATTTTCCCTTTGTTGAAACACATTGTCAAAAGTTTTCCAATGAAGACCAAGTGGGAGGACTGCTTGAAGCCAGGAGTTCAAGACCAGCCTGGACAACATAGCAAGTCCCCTGTCTCTACAAAAAAAAATTTTAAATAGCCAGGCTTGGTGGTATGTACCTGTAGTCCCAGCTACTCAGGAGACTGTGGCCAGAGGATTGCTTGAGCCCAGGACTTTGAGGCTAAAGTAAGCTATGCTGGCACCATTGTACTCCAGCCTGGCAGCCTGGGTGACAAAGTGAGACCCTGTCTCAAAAAAAAAAAAGTTTCCAATGAACAGTATCTTGTTGTTGTTGTTGTTTTAATATGCTAAGGTGCTTTATTGCTATGATGCTGGAATTGAGAAGGCCAGGCAGCAGACTTGACTTAATCACATTATTCTTCCTAAAAAAAATTGGTCCAGAGAGATAAAAACGGAATAAACAAACCTTAATATCTTAATATCTGATTCACATATAAAGCCCATCTACTTTAGCTAGTTGATTTGTTTTCAGTGTAAACTATATTACCTCTGTATTTGAAATCAAATAAGTACTAAAACCAAATTTGGGGAGAGGAACATTTTAATTTTATTTTCAATTCTTATTATAGTTTGGGGGACTTTATTTGATAAGTATTCAAGTTGTAGTAATTGTTTTAGCTGCATATTTTACCGTGATCCTTTTTGTTTCTAAGTAGTGTCTTCCATAGCTAATCATTATGACCTCGATATTAATCCAGTTTATTTTCTGCTTAACTTTCTGCTCACAATTTGTTTTAAGCTATGCTGTAAAGAATAAATTCAAGTTGGAATTGTTTGATAAAATAAAGCAAGTTTCTCACTAAAGGAAAACAATAAGTATATTTAATTTGTGTAACAGGATGCTATAAATTATGTGGCCTTGGTAGACTGAATTATCTATAGGGAAAAGAGAGGAAGCCATGGAGAGACAGGACTGGGGATAGGGCCACTCGCCTGGCTGAAGGGCTGGGTTAGTCTAAGTTATAGTACCTAAGGAAGGTGCCATCCTGGTTGGGTTCACCATACAAGAGTTCCAATGAAGTTGGTGGGATGAGGCAGTAGGAGCATTTAGCCCAGTGGTTCTCGACACTTGGCTACACATGAATATCATTTGCAGCCAACAGACACATGAAAAAATGCTCATCATCACTGATCATCAAAGAAATGCAAATCAAAACCACAATGACATACCATCTGATGCCAGTTAGAATGGCAATCATTAAAAAGTCAGGAAACAACAGATGCTGGAGAAGATGTAGAGAAATAGGAACGCTTTTACACTGTTGGTGGGAGTGTAAATTAGTTCAACCTCACATCCAGAGACTGTCATTCAATTCATCTGGGGCGTAGTTTTGGTGTCCAAAGCACTCCCCCAAGGAGATTCTTAACCGACAGCCATAATTGAAAACCATTAATTTTATCAGGTGTTGTGATAGAGCAAAGACATTAGACACGCTGAGTTGTATGAAAGATGACATGGGCCAGCTGCTTGGATTATGATGGTGGAAAGATACCTAGAGCTAAGGATGCTGGGTTGAGCAGTAAAGTTTTTGTTCTAGTGAAACAATCAAGAAACCAAGTGAGCAAAGTAGTTACACTGACTGAATAAATAAAACAGGTGATGAGATAAATTATGAAATTTATAATAAGTGAGTGGTTACACACTAGACAGCTACAAAGCTCAGGGGAGTAAAAATCATTGAGCAAGTGAAGAGGCTTTTGGACATATTTAGCTACCATCAGAGTGCTTATTAAACTTCATTAGTCAGTGAAAACTATTCCCCGAAGATATTTTGAATTTATTCCACTGCTACTGCCCCTTAGGAAAAAATGATTATATAATTAATAAAAACAAAAGCTGGACTGTGAGAGAATAAGTGTATGTGTAAGAGAGTGTATAAATCATGATGTTGGTTTTCTTAGGAGGGAGGTTAGTTTTGATTTCATAATACAAACTAATGGAAAGAAGAGCAAACAGGCAAAAATAGCCTATTTTTAGTACCTTCATTGTTTGGAGAAATCTGTTTCATTGAGTCAGTAAATGTCAAGTGTCTACTATGTCCCAGGTATTGTTTTAGCCACTGGAGATAAAGCCGTGAGCAAAATATAAATGAGCCCTATCATCACAAAACATATATTATTATATTTTTGACATACTTTACAAAAATCAATAAAATAATTACGTTTAAACAAATAGAGAATCCGCTTCTGAACAAGACTAGGTTGGTAGGAAATGATATGTAACATCCAGGTCAAGCAATATTCTTCTCTTAATCCTTTAGCTAGAGTTGGGACTGTTTTATGTGTCATTATTTGGTAGATTGCATCCCTACCCTTTCACCCCGTCATACTTATTCACCCCAACCTTCTCAGCACACACAACTTGATTTTTCTAAAATGAATAATCTTGGTCCCAATCTGGGTTTGCATACACTTTTTTTTTCAGTTTTTATTATCTTGATGTTTGTCATTGGATTTATTTATTCACTTATAGGAATAAATGTAATTTGAACCACTATATTATCTTCTTTATACGTTGACTCATATCAGACCACTGGCCTTGACATCAAACCAACTTGGCAGATAGCAAAAATAATATAACATGGACAAAGTTACGTCTTTCATAGTTTGCTTTAAACTAGAGTCTTGGCAACCAAATTGAAAATACTTGAATAGTTTCAGGGTATGAGATTAAAATACAGATTGCTCAAAATTGATATTATTGAAATAATACAAATATATCCCATAGCAATATTTGTAAATATTCATGATGTGTCAAAATAAAAGCAGCTACCATTCCCATAGGGACAAATTTGTTACCAAAAAGGACAGTATTTCCCTTAGAAAATGGGAAAATGGAACCACTAAATACAATTAAGCACACCTATTCTAGAAAGTTTATATTTGCTCCAGTGTATTATCACATTTTTAATGCTGATTAAGTACACAAATACTAAATACTGTATTGTTTAATTGTGGTTTCCCACCAAGAACTCTAAGTCAAAATGGTAATGGTTCCAGTATTCTAGGATCTCTGAAAAACCGGACAGCTAAGGGTACTCCCCTTTAGAAATGTTTAACTATCTCTTAAGACATTCATTTGATTAATTAAAGAGCTTCTGCATGGCAAAAGAAACTACCATCAGAGTGAACAGGCAACCTATAGAATGGGAGAAAATTTTTGCAATCTACCCATCTGACAAAGAGCTAATATCCAGAATCTACAAAGAACTGAAACAAATTTACAAGAAAAACACAAACAACCCCATCAACAAGTGGGCAAAGGATATGAACAGACACTTCTCAAAAGAAGACAACTATGCAGCCAATAGAGACATGAAAAAATGCTCGTCATCACTGGTCATCAGAGAAATGCAAATCAAAACCACAATGAGATATCATCTCACACCAGTTAAAATGGCAATCATTAAAAAGCCAGGAAACAACAGGTGCTGGAGAGGATGTGGAGAAATAGGAACACTTTTACACTGTTGGTGGGAGTGTAAATTAGTTCAACCATTGTGGAAGACAGTGTGGCAATTCCTCAAGGATCTAGAACTAGAAATACCATTTGACCCAGTCATCACATTACTACTTTATGTAATTATATAAATCATGCTACTATAAAGACACATGCACACGTATGTTTATTGCGGCACTATTCACAATAGCAAAGACTTGGAACCAACCCAAATGTCCAACAATGATAGACTGGATTAAGAAAATGTGGCACATACACACCATGGAATACTATGCAGCCATAAAAAAGGATGAGTTCATGTCCCTTGCAGGGACATGGATGAAGCTGGCAACCATCATTCTCGGCAAACTATCACAAGGACAGAAAACCAAACACCACATGTTCTCACTCATAGGTGGGAATTGAACAATGAGATCACTTGGACACAGAGCGGGGAACATCACACACTGGGGCCTGTTGGGGGGTGGAGGCCCGGGGGAGGGATAGCATTAGGAGATATACCTAATGTAAATGATGAGTTGATGGGTGCAGCAAACCAACATGACACATGTATACCTATGTAACAAACCTGCACGTTGTGCACATGTACCCTAGAACTTAAAGTATAATAATAAAAAAAGATGTTCATTTTATCATATGAATTTTCTCTTTAAATTGAATCTTTAAAACCCATAATAATCAACAAATCTAAAAATATTTCAAATAATATTTAGAAATTTATGGTAGCAAAATGTATTTATTCTTATTTATAAATGTACCATGAGTCATGTTTTAAAAGTCCACAAGAAATTTAAATATTTGACATTGAAATATTTCTTTATAATGTAACCCCTGTGCATCATATAGTAAATTAGCTTCCAGATTGGTAATACTAATATTTTCACTTCTAAACCAATTTTAATTTATATTACAGATGTTTCTCCAAAGTACCACATACTCAACCACTGCCAAGACCCTCATACACTGTAACAAACAGAATCATTTTAATAATATTAGATAGCACACTCTACAAATCATGAGTTAGACTAATTCCATGGGGATATAGAGGCTGTAAATTAGAATATTTGCTTTGCATACCACACAATACATTATTATACTATACATTATCGTACTGGATTAACTTTTAGTGAAAAACAAACAATGGTGCTTTACAAGCAAATTAATCAATGAAATACATGTTTTAACTGAGAACAGCCTTGTCTCTTCTGAAAAAGTGTTGGAAACAGATTCAAGTAAGTAAGCATAATATTTTAACGAAAGATTCAAAAGCCATGCCATGTGCAGAACTAACTGCAAAACCTTAGTCAAATCACTGCATTCTTCCTTCATTCACCCATTCATAAGCCACTGATTATATACTGTGCCAGGAACTGTGCTAGTTTCTGGGAACACAAGAATGAGTGAGACAGAATTCCTTACCTTGCAGAGTTCACTGTCAAGTGGGAAAGCAGATCAGTTAAATAAAATATTTACAATATAGATATCACTCAATATTTGAAGTCCTACCCTCTAAATATTTGGTATAGTTAATTGCAAAAAAAAAATTGTTTACTCAAAATTCACTATGTGAATTGTAAATTTACTATAAGGACCTCAAAGGCACTCCAACTAAAATGATTACCTTGCACCAGCGTCCTTTCCAGAAGCTGTAAAATATACAACAGTATCTCCAATGTTCTCCTGATAGGATTGTATCTGTGTTCCAGTTGTTTTAACCTGTTGTACATTATCAGTATCACTTTTCCCACCCTTTCTTGGAGATTTTAACAATTTGGAAAATGCAAGCAGTGGCACCGACATTCTTCATTTATATCACAGCACTTGTTTTTTTACATTGTAGAAAGAAACATAATTGGAAAAACCTGCTGTATTAGTCTGTTCTCACCCTGCTAATAAAGACATACCTGGGACTGGGTAATTTATAAAGGAAAGAAGTTTAATTGACTCACAGTTCCACATGGCTGGGGAGGCCTCACAATCATGGCAGAAGGTGAAAGAGGAACAAAGTCACGTCTCACCCGGCATCACGCAAGAGAGCTTGTGTAGGGGAACTCCTATTTATAAAATCATCAGATCTCGTGAGACTTACTCACTACCACGAGAACAGTATGGGGAAACTGCCCTCATGATTCAATAATCTCCACCTGCCCCTGCCCTTGACACGTGGGGATTATTACAATCCAAGGTGAGCTTTGGATGCAGACACAGCCAAACCATATCACCTGCTATTCAATATCATGGGCTATTGCCCCAAAACACACCTGAGTTAATCTAGTATTGAATTATTATGTGTTATGCTTCTGGTGTTTTAACTGCTTTATGTTATGCAGACATCTTGGTAGATTGTAATTTAGGCATTTAAACAGGTTTTTATGATATCTGGGGAAACTAGAATTTTGGATAGTAGCTAGAAGTGCATTATTATCTTTCCTACTGAAAATAATGAAATATAGACTTCTATTATTTGTGAACTTAGACACTTACAATATATTTTGATAAAAAATTAGAATCAGATTGAGAGGCCTGAATTTGAGCCTCTATCTGTGATATTAATACTACCAGTCTTATTCTTTTATTGTTTGCATTTGCCTAGTATCTCTTTACTTATTTCTTTATTTGTCACTTTATTTTTGGAGAGTGTCTTATAAAAAGTACCTTTTACACAAACTGAGGATCTTTCTTCTTTTGCTATGGCAATTTAGTACATCAGCATCCAAGTTAACAGGTAAGATATTTCTTATACATTAATTTTATTTTTAGAATTTCTTATATTTCGCAGATTCTTTTTCCTTCTCTTTCAGATTCTTTACTTTGGCTGGATTGACAAAAGTTCCTTTCAATGCAGTCCCCCACACACCAACTGCTGCAATCATTTGGAATTTCAGGGACTCTTACATGTTCACCTTTCAACTCTGAGGGCATCTATGCCTGCTTATTGAATGCTTGTAAACCCTGATGTGTAAGAGAAGTTGGCTGATGTCCAAATTGCTGGATCTTTAACTGTCCATGTAGTTAAAAAGAACAATGTCCCAAATGTACACATTCTTCCTGAAGACTCACAATCACAGCTGTATCTGAGCTCATCTGCCAGCCCCAACAATCAGGGTTATTTTAGTGGTTAGTTGTCTAAAATGTAGTAAGCAATGAGATGGGAGGAAGAGAGTACCAGAAACATATACTCAGGCTACAATTTTCTTTATTAGTTTTAGTTTGTATTGGATTGTCATGTTCTTAGCCCTCTGGCACTAAAGTTGTACATTTCAACTTTCTCAGGTCTCAGTATCACAGAAAACAAATAGCAAATTCTTCTCAATTCTAAGTGCTGTAAGGAGACAGAATGTTGAGTTAAATTTTTATTAGTTTTTGCTATTTCAAAATAAAACAAGAATAATACAGTCACTCCTATTGAGAATACATTTCTATTCAGAATGCCAAAATAATTTTAAGTCCTTATATTTATTCTTTATAGCAACATTTATATGCATTCATTATTCCAAGTATATTCCCATAGTAACTCTGTGAGAAAAGAAATAGTCATTAAGTCTACCTTACAGGTAAAGAAACTGAGGCTGAGTGATTTTAAATGACTTGTCCAGCTCATATAACCAGAAAAAGGCAGGCACTGTTTAGGTATTATCATGCTAAATTTATAATCTTTTCCCTATATACATTGTATCCTAATACATAAAGCCACTCACATCAGATACAACTTGATCACTTTTCCCTCCGCATTTTTGGGGATCTAGAAAGAAAAATAGAATAAAGATACAGAAAAAAAAAAGCCTAATACCTGATTGGGACCACTAAAGAGCAATCAAACTTGCAATCTCCCCCAAATATGAGTGCTTCAAGTAAGTCTTTTGACGTAACTTTCTGCAGGACACACATAACTTTCATACTATGAAACTAACACCCCTGTGTATTCTACTTCACTCATTTCCCAGTCATTTGTTTTAGTCATGTAGACACAGTCTGAATGTCAAGCGATTATTTAAAATGCTCCAAACCCCTGAAGGCTTCCTAGACCCTTTGTTTTCAGTTGATAAAAGTGTTTCTGAACAATCTGTTGCCCCCAAGCTTATTACACGTAGAGAAAGAGCAAAGATAGGTTCACTGAAGTGAAAAACCTAATAAAGTAGAGGATTTCAGAGCAAAAGAAAACTTCCAGAGAGGGTGTCATAGTCAAAATTGAGCATAGGTAGGCTGGGAGAAATGACCAGTTGACAGGCATTTGCTATGGTAACTCTTATTGTATATTTTTAGGTCAGGCCCAAGTCAGCTACCGCCGCCATTTACCCACAAGGTAGAACTAATGCCTCACATTTATATGGTAATAAGACTCTTCACAGCAATCCCCATGTCGTAACTAATTTGATACTCACAGCAACCCTATGAGGTAGGCTAAGTAATAATTATGCTAATTTTGAAAGGGCACAAAGAGGTAAAGTGATTCTTTCTAAAGTTACATAGTTACTTAATGCCAAAATTAAATGTCCAATGATTTTCCCACTATGCCACATTCTGTGATTATGAAAACTTTTTATTCAAGTACAGTTGTCACTTGATATCTGTTGGGGATTTGTTCCTGGAACCCTCTGGGATACCAAAATTTATGAATGCTCAAGTCCCTGATATAAAATGTCATACTATTTGCATAAAATCTAACCACATCTTCCTGTATACTTCAAATCATCTCTAGACTACTTATAATACCTAATACAAGTCCTACACATCTCTTCATTCATGTGGATTCAGCGTAGTACTCATCACATGGCAAATTCAAGTCTTGCTTTTTGGAACTTTGTGGATTTTTTTTTTTTTACTCAATATTTTTGATCCATGCTTGGTTGAATACATGGATGTGAAACCCACAGATATGGAGGGCTGTCTGTACAACCTTTTAATGTACAGTAAAGTTTTCAATATGTATGAAAATAACTAACATGAAATTTATATTGGTTTGTAGCTATTTTTGTTGCTGGAGGAGGTGGTGTCTGAAATATTCTTTTAGAATATTTGACCCTCTCAAATATACCTCATTTCTATAATAATCTCAATAAGTTGAATATAAAACTTTGAATCCTACAAATAGAGAATACAAATAACCATAAAACATTTAAATAAATGCTTTTGTTCACAAAGTTGTTAATAATAATGGTAATAATAATAAATAAAAATAATAAATTACTTCAATTATTCTAAGCTATTAGAGATTATATTAGCTCATTCTCCTAAACTACAATTTAATAAATTTAAAAGTCAACAATAAGAAGACATACCGTCAGACCTAAACACATAAAAACATTTTGTTAAATAAGCACTAAATCAAAGTAAAAATAAAACATAAATGATTAATTATTTACAAAATGATAAAAATAGAGATGGCATATAGAGTCAGCTGAAGTAAGAGAGAAATATTTAGTATTACTACTTTATTGCTTAAATAAAGACTAAACACAATTAGCTAAACATTAAACTTCAAAAACTAGTGAAAGAATAACAAAATAAGCCAAACGAAAGTAGAAGGAAAAAAAACTAAAAATATAAACTTGGAAATCAAATATAAAACACAATTAAATAGTGAAAAACTGTGTAAGTAATGCCAAACTATACTCATATGAAGAGTGAATATGATGACAGGAGGAAATGACCACTGAATAAAAATATTTTCCAGTTCAAAGTAACCAAAATTTATAATGGATAGAGTATTTTCAAGCTGTGAAATTTATAAATTCTTTAAGTCAGAGTACATGTACCATTTCACTTAAAACATATTTTCTTTCATTGCTATCACTAGTCAATCTGATATCCTGACCCCAGGTAGTCATTTTCCTCTTTAGGTACAGTCAAACTGGGACACAATTTTCATTTCAGAAACACAAATTCAATTTCTGACAGAGCACACTATTGCAAATAGCAGCCCTCATATTACCTCAATAGCTTAAGTTTCAATGAAATAAGTTTGTTTCAGCAGCTGTTAAACTTTGACCTACTGCATCCTTCATTTTGACCTCTGCTAAGAAAAAAAAAACTGGACGAAATTAATAAGCTGAAACCTCTAAGACATGTGACACTGATAAGGTAAACTATAGAAATAAGACTATGGCTGGGCATGGTAGCTCACTCTTGTAATCCCAGCACTTTGGGAGGCTGAGGCAGGAGGATCCCTTGAGCCTAGATCAATCTGGGCACCATGGTGAGACCCTGTTTAAAAAAAAAAATTAATTAGCTGAGCATGGTGGTGACTACCTGTAGTCTCAGCTACTCAGGAGACTGAGAAAGGAGAATTGCTTCAGCCCAGGAGTTAGAAGTTATAGTGAGCTATGATCACACCACTGCACTCCAGCCTGGGATACAGAGTGAGATCCTGTCTCAAAAAAAAAAAAAAAAGAGAGAGAGAGAAGAAGAAGAAGTGAAAAAAAAAGAAAAAAAAAAGATTATGTAAAAATAATTTTTAAATGCCTCATTTAGGTTTTACTCTTTCTGACTTCTTTCATGAGGAGTGCGAGGTGGGATTCTCACTAAGAATGCAAATGGGTTCAATGCACAGGACATTTATTTCATTCTCAACAAATATTAATTCTCCATTCCCACCTAGAGGATCAAACAAATGGGAATACACTTCTTCATAATGCTATAAAACATCATTTTCCTAGAACTTGATATTCAGTTGATAATACTAATTGGCGATTATTTCATATTTTAATCTCTATATTTGAACCTCTAACACCTCCTCCACCATCTTCAAAGCTTCCCATGAAGAAGAATTTTAGTTGATAGAACCTGCTTCATGAGAGAAATGGGAGGAGAAGAAAGGAGGGCAGAAGTTCAGGGGGAACTTCTTGCTTCTAGGAACTTTCAATCTCCTTCAGTTCAATGTATTCAGCATGTCAAAGTACCATAATTTTGGGTATTGTGTTCTGAGGCCAACATTAGAGAGGTTTAAATTCTTTAAAGAAGTTTGCTGCCTTTTAACCACAGACTCTGCCTTCTTGTTGAAACTGCTAATAAATCTACTTAAGAAAAATAATGTAATAGAGTTTTTCCTATATCTTTATGTTGCTTTCAATCCTTCCTCCAATTTCCAACTTCTGAGAGGAACATGCTAGCAACAGCATTCACATCCCATGATGCAAGCAATTTTATTCTCAGCCGTAGGTGTTTCCCACCCCTAACTCTGGTCATACATGCTTAATAACTTGGTTATCTCAAAGTTTTCAGGAAAAGCAATTCCTACCACAACTCATAAAACATAGGGGACCACTGCCTTTTAATATTAGGTATGACTTCCTTGAAGTAAAACAGTTTCATACTCCAAAACTGATCAATCTTAGCACAGAGAAAACATGAAATGAGCCAGAAGCCTTGAGTTCTTATCTTCCCCTTCAGTATTTTGAATTATGTATTTTTCTCTCCATAAGTATCCTCCATCCACTCCCATTATGTGGGTATTTTCTCTACATTCTTTCCCATTTTAACCCGATGCCAGGTTACTTAGCTTGATGACAGGAGTGGGCCTTGCCATCCTCTTGACTTGGAGAAGTTAAAGGGGAGTGAAAAATCTTATTTGCTAAAAATATAAGTCGGAATGCTTAGAGATCAATTCACAGTAGTTAAGTGTACCAAAGAAGTATCTTTCTCCTCCAGGGGGAGAAAGAACTATAGAATTAATCTCCATTGTTAATTGTGTAAGTCTTCCCACTGCTTCCACTTTAAAAGAAAAATATTGAGTCAAAAGAATGAGATATCATCTGCTCAAACTAGTGGGTTACTTGTCTTACCTAATCTGAGTTTTTATGAACATAAATATGGAAAAGATAGTTATTGAATGTATTTTTAACAGTGCCACCCAAATGTTGGGTATTCATATAATTCTAACATTGTGCCTATTGGTCCAACTGTTCAGTGGACCCTTGCCCACTGCAAAAAGACATGAGAATAAATTTGCCCTTCTGATGAATCTAACCAATTACTACTATTCTTCTCTCTGGCTTGATACTACAAGAGCCCTGGAGAGATATATGATTATTGTTACAAACCTAATGCTTTCCATTTTCTGAATTGAAGCAAAACCCATTGAATTTGCAGAGAATGTCCCCAAAGCAAAAAAGTAACAGCTGGGCCCTCTTTGGTAATGGGCCTGCAGCACTGAAAACAAAATCCAGCATTTAAATGGCATAAATGAGTGACTAATAGGGCTTGATGTCTCACAGAGTACAGGAGTCATCCATCAGTAGTGATTTCTTTTTTATCATGATGAGAGTAGTATGTGAGAGGAATTCTAGGGCTCTGCTTCAGAAAATGTGCCTCTTGTGTTCATTCATATCTCTTCAAGAATCAAAGAAATAAGAATAAGAAATGAGTCAAACATCCATATTATCTACCAGAAAGAATGCCTATAATCACATTATTTAAAATGACTTTAAGGCATTTAGGCATTATTTTTAGGCGTGGGTAACCACAACTGCTGTTGCATACAAATTTTTTCCCAGTTCTTGGCAAAAAAAAAAAAAGCATTTTTTTTCAAACTAATATCTTTTAAATAGTTATTAAGTTCTCAAACTTGAACATACATCGGAACTACCTGGAGGGATTATTAAAACACAAATTGCTGGGCCTAAGACTGAAAGTTTCTGATTTGATGGGTCTAAAGTGGGAAGCAAGAATTTGCATTTCTAACAAGTTCTCAAGTAATACTGCTACTACTGGACCAAAGCCTTTCAAGGACCACACTTGGAAAACCACTGGATTAAAAGACGTCATTGATATTGCTGGGGTCCAGAAAACAATCCCTTAAAGTATCGTGCTTTGGCATGCTGAGTGCTTTGAACTAAAGGAGATTGGAAGGCCTCAGAAACAGCCTCAGAAACAAAATATCTCTCTGACCTTCTCTCGCCCTTCCATTTCTTCCTTTTTTTTTTTTTTGCCCCCCTGAAGCAAGTCATAGTAACCAGAATTCCTCCTTCCCAAGGCAGAGCATGGAAACTGCAACACCTTGTCCCCGAAAGCAAGCCAGAAAACCTAGAAAAGTGATTCTATTCTTTTTTTCTTGAAGGCTTTCATTCTAGAGAGGTCCTGCCACATATCTCGGAGGAAGAAATGCTACACAGAGAAACCAAGAAGAATGTGAACAGACAGGTCTTGCTGAATCTGCCTCCCCCTCAGTCTATTACCCTTAGAGCATACCCCCTTGTCCAGTCACATTTCTACATGGCTATCTGTACTTCATTAAATTATCAAATCAGAAACTTTAGCATAAAAAGTTTTCCCTGGGTTTTGTGGTTTTCATTTCTGAAGTCTCTCGTGTCACATAAAACTTGAATTAAATAAATTTGTATGCTTTGTTAATCTGCCTTTTAATATAGGCGTGTCAGCTGTGCCACTTATGGCACCCACTTATGGTGGGTGAAGAAAGGGATCACACCTTTCGTCCCCTACAATATTAATGGGAATAATAATAACAACTTGTAATGATCTCACACAGCACCATACTCAAAATAACTCATAGCAAAATATGTCTTCTCGTGTGTCACCCTGAATACAGACCGTCCCTGACTTACATGGCCAGCTTTTAATTTTTTGACTTTACAATGGTACAGACTTTACAATGGTACAGAAGTGATATGCATTCAGTAAGCTCCCTGATTCACAATGGGCTTTTTGGGATGAAACTCCCATCATAAATTGAGAAACACGGGTATGTTTTTCTGGTGGAAAAAGGAAGAACTCACTATTCCCACTTTAGACATGAGAAAATTGAAGCCTCGCTCATGTAATTATTTGTGGGGAAATTCTAGAATATGATAGTGTCTGCTGTCTAAGTTCTGCGCCCCCCACCCCCTACCGTAAAAACATGGAAGTCTTGAAGTTAGTAAGAAAACACTTCATTAAGGGGGACTATTGTAATAGAGGCAGAGGGACTTTTGCAGTAGGGAAACACTCAAAGACCAAGCTGAGCCAAGCATATAAGCAGAAATTGCTGGACAGATAGCTGGGAAAAGGAGAAGGGGGAGCAAGGTGAGGTTCAAAATGACTAGGAGGGTATTGAAGCTTAAACTACATCAAATATTTCAATAACAGGAAGTTTGAGGCAGGAGATATTTGCACACGGGGTGGAGGTCTGGGCCAGAGATGGAGCAAACAAGTAGCAGTATGGGAGATTCATAAGTTCAGGGCCTAGACGTCCTGATCAAAACAGCCTAAACTTACATCCAGCATAAAGTTTGATCAACCTTGTCACTCTGTAGCTGACTGGGCTATCTGTGGAAGTAGAAGTCGCAATCTTCTATTTTATAATAAGAATTACTGTTGTCTCTACTTAAGGGTAAGAACTTTATTGAATCATGGAACTTGGAGAAACCAATCTTGTACTTGGCATTCTTTTTATTTTGTCTCCTGTTGTGTAAACATAGTTTTGAGGAGAAAATAATATATCTATTGGCTATCAGCAAGTCAAGTTCCCACCTGGATTTTTCTTTAAGAACAATTTAACAAAAAACAAGAGGAGAAGTAGTAGAATAAAATAGTTTTGGTCAAACCATATATTTGAGAAACTTTTCCTATAGACCTAGATTTAACTAATTGATGATCAACAGTCACTTATGATAAAAGCTTTCAGGAAAAGCAACTCCTACATATTTGCATATAACCCTTTACAAATGTGATTCTATGGGTATTTACATGAAGTTTTGCAATCTAGAGAAGTCTCAAGTTGGAAACAATTCGAATGGTAGCTTTAAAAGTACAGCAAAATTCTCTAAAACTACTGAAAAATGTAAACATTCATGACCTCTAAAGGCCCCAAATCCTGATGATTATTTCAGCTTGGCAGTTTTCCCAACGGGTTTTACTATGGTCATCAGCATCTATCATGTCAGCAATCTAAATGAGCATGCGAGCAATGTTGCAGTCTGGTTCATATACTATCTATACACAGTCTGAATACAGACAATACAGACACACAGCATCTGCCACATTTGTTCCTCAGCCCCTTTGTGATGTTGTCAAAAAGGATAAAAAAAAAAAAAAAACCACGGAGAAATTGGAAAGAGCCAGTACATTCTCTTAAGGTAATCATTTGATGCATTTTTGATACCTCAAGCTGTTTTCTTGTGCTTAATTATAATTTACTCATTAATCGTGTATGGCATATCATTTTCTAGAACTCTGTATACAAAGAAATAAATACTAGAATAAAAAAATTGTGTTCTCAGATGAGTTAGTTCCTGGTTCTAAAAAAGTTAAGGCCATAAGTTGGATGTTCCTGTGGCTCAATTAAATATTCTTTGATTGCCATAATCATGAGCAAACATACTGAATGTTTACTCCTGTAAATCGTTGGACTAGACATACAGAACAGAGTGTCTTATAAGGCACACAGATATAACACAAATTATATATATAACAATAAAAATGTTTTAAAACTGTGCAAATAATCTGATAAATATCTGTTCACATAATGAGTGCCAATTTAGCAGTACAGACAATAAATGCTCCCAGAATTTCAAAGGTGAAAGGCATTATTGAATTGACCTAATGCTTCTGGGAAGAGGTTGGGCACATTTAAAGAACATTTGTAACTTAAATAAATTCATTTTAGATCAGAGGCATAACAGATCAGGTCAATAAAGGGAATAAAGACTACACTAGGCAGCTTTTGAACCAGTTTGATTCAAGGGGAGCATTAACATAAAAATGCACGGAAGAAGAGCTGAAAATGCTAGCTTCTATAGCGCCAGGCTATTGTCTACACCCTGATCCTGGCCAACTTCTGGTCTTATTAGAGATTAATGGCATGATATGTCAGTGTTGGGGCTGAGGACACACCACCTAAAAAGATGACAGTAGGGTCTGGCATGGTGGCTTATGCCTGTAATCCCAGCATTTTGGGAGGCCAAGGTGGGTGTATCTGCTGAGCCCAGGAGTTCAAGACCAGCCTGAACAACATGGTGAAACCCCATCTCTACTAAAAATACAAAAAATTAGCCGGATGTGGTGGCATGCTCCTGTAGTCCCAGCTACTTGGAGGCTAAGGTGAAAGAATCACCTGAGCCTGGGAGGTCAAGGCTGTAGTGAACTGCAATCGTGTCACTGCACTCCAGCTTGGGTGACAGAGTGAGACCTGTCTCAAAAAAAAAAAAAAAAAACAGGAGACGAAAGTATGCCACCCAAAATATATTTTGTATATTTCTAGCTGTTTATTTTGAGAAACTGCAGACACAAGAGTAGCTCTGAAAAACTGTTCTTTTGTAAAAGAAATTTATATTTATTAAAGAAATCTGCATTTGTAAATGTATCTGTATCAGAAAGAGGGCTGCTCCCATGGCAATTTTTTTTAACCTGAAAGATTTTTTAACTGCATAACAAGGCAAACTTTATCCAGCATACATTTTCTCCCTTCACCCTCCCATAACTTCTCTTCACCCCTACCACCACAATCCCCAATCCCCTATTCCTTTCCATTGCATAGGGGGCTATATAAGCTTCAATCATCCGGCCCTTCATTAGGTCTCCTATTTTTGCAAAACCCCTGTACATATGTACATAATTAAATGTTTTTTCTCCTATTAATCTGTCTTATGTCAATTTAATTTGGAGCCCAGCTAAATAACCTATGAGAGTGGAGGGAGGCTGATATGGTTTGGCTCTGTGTCCCCACCCAAATCTCATCTTGAATTATACTCCCATAATTCCCACATGTTGTGAGAGGTACCCAGTGGGAGATAAATGAATCATGAGGGCGGTTTCCCCCATATTGTTCTCATGGTAGTGAAAAAGTCTCACGAGATCTGATGGTTTTATTAGGGGTTTCCACTTTTGCATCTTCCTTATTCTCTCTTTGCCTGCTGCCATCCGTGTAAGACAGCACTTGCTCCTCCTTGCCTTCCACCATGATTGTGAGGCTTCGCCAGCCATGTGGAACTGTAAGTCCAATTAAACCTCTTTTTTTTTTTTTTTTGGAAATTGCCCAGTCTCAGGTATGTCTTTATCAGAAGTGTGAAAACGGACTAATACAATAAATTGGTATCAGTAGAGTGAGGCATTGCTGAAAAGATACCCAAAAATGTGGAAGCAACTTTAGAACTGGGTAACAGGCAGAGGTTGGAACAGTTTGAGGGGTCAGAAGAAGACAGGAAAATGTGGGAAAATTTGGGACGCTAGGCCTAGAGACTTGTTGAACGGCTTTGAGAAAAATGCTGATAGTGATATGAACAATAAGGTCCAGGCTGAGGTGGTTTCAGATGGAGATGAGGAAGTTGTTGGGAACTGGAGCAAAGGTGACTCTTGTTACGTTTCAGCAAACAAACTCGCAGCATTTTACCCCTGCCCCAGAGATCTGTGGAACTTTGAACTTAAGAGCAATGATTTAGGGTATCTGGTGGAAGAAATTTCTAAGCAGCAAAGCATTCAAGAGGTGACTTGCGTGCTGTTAAAGGCATTCAGTTTAATAAGGGAAGCAAAGCATAAAACTTCGGAAAATTTGCAGCCTGACAATGTGATAGAAAGGAAGATCCCATTTTCTGAGGAGAAATTCAAGCTGGCTGCAGAAATTTGCATAACTAATGAGGAGCCAAATGTTAATCCCCAAGACAATGGGAAAAATGTGTCCAGGGCATGTCAGAGGTCTTCATGGCAGCCCCTCCCATCACAGGCCTGGGGGCCTAGGACAAAATGGTTTCCTGGGCCAGGCCCGGGGTCCCTGTGTTCTGTGCAGTCTAGGGACTTGGTGCCCTGCGTCCCAGCCACTCCAGCTGTGATTAAAAGGGGCCAAGGTACTGCTTGGACTGTTGCTTCAAAGGGTGGAAGCCACAGGCCTTGGCAGCGGCCACGTGGTGTTGCGTCTGTGGGTGCACAGAAGTCAAGAATTGAGGTTTGGGAACCTCCACCTAGATTTCATAATATGTATAGAAATGCCTGGATGCACAGGCAAAAGTTTGCTGCAGGGGTGGGGTCCTCATGGATAACCTCTGCTAGGGCAATGTGGAAGAGAAATGTTAGGTTGGAGCCCCCACACAGAGTCCATACTGGGGCACCGCCTAGTGGAGCTGTGAGAAGAGGGCCACCGTCTTCCACACCCCAGAAAGGTAGATCCACTGACAGATTGCACCATGCACCTGGAAAAGCTGAAGACACTCAATGCCAGCCCATGAAAGCAGCCAGGAAGGAGGCTGTACCCTGCAAAGCCACACAGTACAGCCTCAGCGTGACCTGGATGTGGGACATGGAGTCAAAGGAGATCATTGTGAAGCTTTAAGATTTGACCGCCCCACCAGATTTTGGACTTGCATGGGCCCTGTAGCCCTTTTGTTTTGGCCAATTTCTCCCATTTGGAATGATTGTATTTACCCAATGTCTGTATCCCCATTGTATCTAGGAAATAACTAGCTTGCTTTTGATTTTACAGGCTTATAGACAGAATGGACTTGCCTTGTCTCAGATGACACGTTGGACTGTGGAGTTTTGAGTTAATGCTGAAATGAGTTAAGACTTTGTGGAACTGTTTAGAAGGCATGATTGGTTTTGAAATGTGATGACATGAGATTTGGCAGGGGCCAGGATGGAATGATATGGTTTGGCTCGGTGACCCCACACAAATCTCAACTCGAATTGTACTCCCATAATTCCCACGTGTTGTGGGAGTGACCCAGTGGGAGATAATTGAATCAAGAGGGCAGTTTACCCCATACTGTTTTTGTGGTAGTGACTAAGTCTCACAAGATCTGATGGTTTTATCAGGGGTTTCCGCTTTTGCATCTTCTTCATTCTCACTTTGCCTGCTGCCATCCATGTAAGATGGGACTTGCTCCTCCTTGCCTTCCACCATGACTATGAGGCTTTCCCAGCTACGTGGAACTGTAAGTCCAATTAAACCTCTTTCTTTTGTAAATTGCCCAGTCTCAGGTATGTCTTTATCAGCAATGTGAAAACGGACAAATACAGAAGCCATCTCTCCACTTCCCCACCACTTCAATTACTAGGTAAGTGACCGAACCTCTTTCTGCCTCCATTTCCTAAAATAAAACCCACATACAACACTAATAGCAACAAGCAAATAATAGCACCAATTTCCTAAGCCTATTGTGAAGGTTGAATAAAAAGAAAGCAAACAAATAAATAGCCTAGCCTACTATATATTAAACTTAATTTATATTTTCCTATAACTATTTGTCATTGGCAACAAATGGTAGAGATAATAAATCAGTCGCATATATCTCACCAGAAGAAAAACATTTCAAAATACCTGACTTGCTTAACAGTGATACAGTAGTCATTATCTTCACTTCCAAAACATAGTCTTATTTCACTGGAGAAAGGGAAATACCAGTTTCAGTTTCAATTATGACTTAAGTTTTGCAATATAATTTTTTTTTTTTTTTGAGACAGAGTCTCGCTCAGTCACCCAGGCTGGAGTGCAGTGGCACAATCTTGGCTCACTGAAAGTTCCACCTCCCGGGTTCACACCCTTCTCCTGCCTCAGCCTCCCGAGTAGCTGGGACTACAGGCGCCCGCCACTACGCCCAGCTAATTTTTTTGTATATTTTTAGTAGAGACGGGGTTTCTACTAAACCAGGATGGTCTCAATCTCTTGTACTCATGATCTACCCGTCTCGGCCTCCCAACGTGCTGGGATTACAGGCGTGAATATATATATTTTTTATATTGCTTGACCATGATTTTTTATTTTGGTTTAAATGTATGAAATTCCATTTCATAGATTCTCAGGACTGAAAGAGAACTTAAGTGTTATTTATATGCAACTCATCTTTGTATTTTTCATAAAACTAGGGAAATTCAGACCATTCTTTAATACAAATCTTGAACAGTTTTATCGACCTGAATGCATTTTGACAGATATGGCAATGCCAGTGCACCTCTGGAAAGTAAGCTTCGGTGGCCTCAGTTCTCTTAGTTCTGCAATTCATTAAAATTCCTCTTTATCCGCAGCTGGATTTAATGTGGAATGAACCTAATTTTATAAAACTAACAACCATGCCACAGTCACTCTGCATGGCTGACAGTATATACATATTTGTAATTTGGCTTATCCAGTGAGAACATAAACTATATAATGCTATGGGAATAGCAAACTAGATGCAGTTTTATGAACACACCTTCCCTTGAGCCTCCCTGGTCCTACACATTTTGTTTTATCTCTGCTAAAATGATCTACAGCCCTACCCCGTCCCAACTATTCCCCTGACAATTCTCTAAAGTCTTTCAAGCCCCACCAGACTCTCTCAGGCCAAGTGAAGTGTGCTCCTTCTGAACATTCATTGTACTTTCTATATCTTTAGATATATTGCTAGTGGTGTATAGACTAAATAGACTGTGTCGTTAACTGATTACATGTCTATATCCTCCTTAAGAAGTGATCTCTTGGGGTATCAGGTTATCTTTGTGTCTTAACACCTAGTACAATGTGAAGGAAACCAGAGTATGCCACCCCAAAATATACTTCTTTGGCATATTTCAAGATGGCTGTTTAGAGGGGCTGCAGACAGGAAATAGTTTTGAAGAGCTATCCTTTGTGGAGGAAATTTGCATCTGCAGAACCATTTCTACATTATCAAAGTGGATGCAAACAGGCTTTCTCTGAGATTCCCTTATTTGCTGATATAGATTGGATACTTGTCCCCCACCCAAAATCTCATGTTGATTGGATACTTGTCCCCCACCCCAAATCTCATGTTGAAATGTAATACCTAATGTTGGAGGTGGGGCCTGGTGGGAGGTGTTGGGGTCATGGGGGCAGATCCCTCATGACTTGGTGCTGTCCTCGTGGTAGTGAATTCTTGAGAGATCTGGTTGTTTAAAGTGTATGGCACCTCCCCTACCCACTCTCTCTTGCTCCTGCTCCCACCATGTGATATGCAAGCTCCCTCTTTGCCTTCAGCCATGAGTAAAACCTCACTGCGGACTCCCCAGAAGCTGAGCAGATGTCAGCACCATGCTTCCTGTACAGCCTGAGGAACCATAAGCCAATCAAACCTCTTTTCTTTATAAATTACCCAGTCTCAGGTATTTCTTTACAGCAAAGCAAGAACAGCCTAATACATTTGCCTTTTCCAGATCTAGGAAACATTTACTCACAGGAAAATGACATTAAAAGTCTGACACTTTTAAAGTTCTGACAGAGAAACTTTTACTACAGGCTACCATCTATTCTTTCTAAGGGCTGTTTCCTGTGAAGTTTCATTTGGATAATATGACAGCTTTTGCTCACCATGCCTTTCCTCCCTTCTCCCTCCCATAACCTGTCGCTATACTTCAAGCCTGTATTCCTTTCTATGTAGTATAAAAACCTCACTCATCTGGCTCTTCCTTGAGTCTCATATTTGCAGAACTCTCATGTCCATATACATGTTAATGAATTTGTATGCCTTTTCTCCTGTCCATCTACTGTCAGCTTATTTCTCAGACTCAAACGTCAAACCTCAGCAGGGAGGGAAAACGCCTTTTGCCCCTACAAATGCATGGCATATTGTAAGTGCTTAATGTAGGTTTTATGAGTGAGGGAAAGAATGAATGAATTGATAGAATCAAAGTCACTTTCCATTTCAGTTGTTGTCACTTTGTTCTCTGCCATTGCCTTCACCCAAAATTCTGGGCTCTGACAGTAAGGAAACTGGGAATAGGGAAGGTGTATGTCTAAAAAACTACCCAATGCTACAGGTAAACATAGAGCTCAGGCCGGCAAGGTGGCTCACACCTGTAATCCCAGCTATTTGGGTGGCTGAGGCACGAGAATCGCTTGAAACTGGAAGGCAGAGGTTGCAGTGAGCTGAGGTCATACCACTGTACTCCAGCCTGGGCAACACAGCCAGACCCTGTCTCAAAATAAATACATAAATAAATAAAAAAAGAAAATAGAGCTCAAACTGCATACCCTGCTGTCACTAAGTGAGTAAGAGCGTCTCCACATACAGCCCTAATATTTAAAGTGTGCGAAGAGATCCCCTGGCACTTTCCATGACAGATCTCTTTAGCAATAAAGATGTTTATCATTGACATGGGAATTATTTATATTTGAATACTCCATCAGAATAGGAACCAAAAATTCACTGTCCCCTTGCTGTAGTCCTGTCACAACATATGCAGGAAAACAAAAAGGACAAAGAAATAACTACTGTTTTCTTCTTGGTTAAATATATTTTCACTCTTGGTTTATCTTATCAAAATCAGAATTCTCTCTGTGTAATGAGGAACATGCCATTAAGTTCCTGTAAAGCTGAGGAAGGGTTTCATGCTACAATGACTTCTTCAGTCATCACTAGCTGCTGACAGTGAATACCAACAAATTCAGAGGCACAATGGAAGGGACATTGATGTAGCAAGCTAGAAAGATAACTTTAATTGCTGTGAGGTTTCATACTGATTGTCAGAAAAATCAAGATTCCCAGCTGATTGAAGAGCAGATTCTGCAATTTCAATAATAAAACTTCTCTACCATTGGAAGCTATTCACAGTGTCACCTTTATTAACTTTTTTATAAAAATAAAATCATCACGGCTGCTTTGTAAGGTAGGAAGGATAGGTAGCATTATCCCTTGGGAGAACATACTCCTCTTCCCCAAGAAACTGATGTTCGATCTTTGTAGAGGAGTTCTGGAATGTTTGTTTCAAATGTTAAAATACTCCCAAGGATTTTAAGAGGGAAATAGAAATCCACAGGACTGCTTTTAAAAATGTGATTATGTATTAAAGTCCTGGATAGTCTAGGACTGCAGGTGAAAGTGGTCTAGAGGAGGCTCATGGTAAGGCTTAAAATGTATTTAAGAGGAACTTGAGATGGAAGACAAGGCCCTAGAGGAATCAAGAGAAATAGAAGATCTAAGGGCCTGAAAATAAGACAGAGAAATGGAAGTAGCACTTGAGAAGGGCCTATCAAGTACCCTGGCCTGTGCTAGGTACTTTCCATACCTGTGAAAGTCTTATATACATATAAGCACTCATATATATAAAGACGCCAGTCTTTATATACAAGCACTCATGTGTATGAAGACACCCGTCCATATACCCTCCTAAACTTCTCTTTCTCAGGTTAATCTCTCGCAGTCCACAGTTCTTTCTCAAGTGATATGATTTCTTTATCATACTCGGTTCTGTTTATCCTTCAATAAATACAGCTCTATTAAGCCAAGAGTTTTGTTAAAATATATAGCTCAGAACTACCAACAATGTTTCTGACCCATTCTGATCAGTTAAAGGAGGCTCATCCCCTATTCTTACAGAGAAGAAAACTGAGTGCCAGAGAAACAAAACAACTTATCAAAGCTTACACAGCTAATAGGTGATTGATCCAGGACCCAAGATCTGAATGAAATTAAGAAGGTCTTATAATGAGCCAATGAGAATCCCTAGGACTCCAGGAAAGTGAGCCAAAGGATTTAATAATGATTATTCTTATTGATGAGTATATTTTATTGCTGAAGAGCACATGGTTAGAGCAAGGATTTAGACCTCCATGATTAAATAGTTTGGTTGCCAGTGTTCCTTAGCTTTTAATTGAGTTTAATTATTTGCCCAGTTGGTGTACAGTGGAATACAATACAGCATGGTGTCTTATAGTGAACAGAGAAACAGAATACGGATTTAAAAAAAAAAAGAGTGGGTGGGTGCCTAGTAGTGGCACCAGGGTTTCTCTCTTTTTACGGGGAAACCTTCTCTTTTTATATTTAACGGCTCATGGCAGCGAGGAATCTACCAGTGTGTGAGATCAGGCGTCAGAGGGCCATTAGGTAAGAAATGAAGAAACAGGCACAAAGAGTTGATTTGCCTGAGATTACAACTTTAGTTTAAAATCTTTGCTGAGATTAAATTCAGAGTCTCTTGATTCCCAGTCCTGTGTTTATTTCAGGATTTGGTTTCCTACCCTCTCATTCACCTCTATGTATAGAGGTATTAAAGAGAAATATATTTTTCACTCATAGGCAGGGAGCTAGCTTTGCATCTGAGCCTGTCTAACGTAAGTTTGATCATTGTATTATTTTCCATTAAAGTTTTTGAAAAGGGCAGTTCCCGACCTCCTGCTCCTGCCAGAGGAATGTCTGATGATATATTATGAAAACAACATTCCATTGATTGGGAAACAGGCTCTCGGTGAATTTCTTTGGAGAAGAAGCCAGAATGATAAGAAATCCTCAAGGAATGTAGGATAGAAGTCATCCATTTTTTGAAAAGAACAGATATCACTATTTGCTGTTCACTGGCATTTCATATATTTGTTTGACAGAGTAAAGAGAGGGCATACAAACGAAAGGTCATTTTAAAACAATGAATAGTTTTGCAAGAATTACATTCAGAATTTGGATACTTTTAAAAACACAGTAAAGGCCAAGTTATTGCCCTCAAGGAGATAAGCATCTAGGAGGAGAGAAAAATGCAGCCCCTCTTGGGATTTGTGACTTGGGCTTGTTCTTACGTCACAAGTTATCACAGTCCCATTTTTGAGCAGTTCTTGTTATTAAGTATTCATTCTACTGATGTGAAATCTATACATAATTTGGATCTATAGCTGACTTCTTTTCTCTGGATGTATGCGAAATATTTTATCCCTCATTTGCATTTACAGCACTCATATATATAAACACACCAGTCCATATACTCTCCTAAATTTCTCTTTCTCAGGCTAATCTCTCTTAGTTCTACAGTTCTTTCTCGAGTGATATGATTTCTTTATCAGTCTTGGTTCTGTTTATCCTTCAATAAATACAGCTCTATTAAGCCAAGAGTTTTGTTAAAAATATATAACTCAGAACTACAAACAATGTTTCTGACCCATTCTGACCAGTTAAAGGAGGCTCATCACCTCCATGGGTTTAATAGCTTTTTCTTTCTTTTTTCTTTCTTTTTTTTTGAGAGTCTTGCTCTGTCGCCCAGGCTGGAGTGCAATGGTGCAATCTCGGCTCACTGCAACCTCTGCCTCCCAGGTTCAAGTGATTCTCCTGCCTCAGCCTCCCAAGTAGCTGGGATTACAGGCGCCCTCCACCACGCCTGGTTAATTTTTGCATTTTTAGTAGAGATGGGGTTTCACCATGTTGGCCAGGCTGGTCTCGAACTCCTGACCTCAAGTAATCTGCCTACCTCAGCCTCCCAAAATGCTGAGATTACAGGCGTGAGCTACCGTGCCCGGCCAGCTTTTTTTTCTTTTGCATGCCACTTCCCACTGCTACTTTAAATGAGCTTAGAGTAATTCTAATATTCAATTTTTTCCACATATACTGGTAAAAGAATATGTACATTTCATTATTTAAACCTAAGGGCAGGACTTTATATTTATCTCTATAGCATTTAATTTTCTTGATCTCACAAAGTGTTAGTTAAGCTTGAGGGAAATCAAAATATTTTACCCCAAAATATACTTCTTTGACATATTTTGAGATGGCTGTTCAGAGAGCACCAAAAAAAAATACCCCTGCAAAGCTGCAAAGCTGTCTTTTGTTGAGGAGATTTGTATCTGTATAGAATCTGCATTGAGGCAGCCACGGTTTCTCTGAGGCCTTCCCTTGTCCAGATCTAGGAAAGATGAGAGTCTGATACTTTTAAAGGCTTGAAAGAAACACTTACCTCCTATTCTCTCTGAGGGCTGCCACCTGTGAGGTTTCATCTACATAACAAGACCACCTTTGCTAGCCTGGCCTCCTCTTCTTTCCTTCTCATAACCTGTCTTGACGCTATAACCTGTTTTGGGCCATGCTCTGGGCCTCTATTCTTTCCGTAACCTCAAGATGGTAAGTATATAAGCTTCTGCACCCCATTGAGGGGTTAGGGTAAAAAACTCTGGTTCTCTTCCACATGTATGGTAGTAATTTTGTATGCCATTTCTCCTATGAATCTTTTGTGAGTCGATTTTTCAGCAAACCTTCAGAGGGTGAAGGGGATGCATTCCCTTGGCCCTTACAGCTCTTTATGGATGCAAAGAGATGGCCAAACTAAAATAATAGAGACAGATGTAGGTTACCTTAATAACTGGTGGTATTTTATAAAGGCGCGTGAGCAAGTAAGGGAGAAAAGAAACTGTCTAGTTGCTGCAGTGGCATTAGTGACTGAAGTCCAGTGAACATCTCACAAGTGAATGTCTACTGTTCTCTATAATAGTGCTTCAATGTAATAGTGACTCAGCTCTTCTCTGCCTCTGCTTCCACTGCTCCTGAGGCTCCTGCTTTCCCTCTACTCCCACATTTAGACTCGTTACAAACAATGGAGAATCTTATTGGTTCAGCAAATCAAATATTTTAGAGAATCTTTATTAGTTCATATTATGATCCAGCCTCCCTCACAGATTGCTGTCCAATTTTTAGATTGCTGCCTTTGTTTCAGATGTCAGTATCAGGTCAAACCTGCTGTGGTTTAGTGTAGCAAGCCCATGAGTTACAAATTATGGCAATATAATTTCACAGGGAAAGGCTCAGAAAGAAGCTACTGGCCTGGCAGGCTTCAATACTTTGACTCATTTTTGTCTAATTAAACAACCCAGCACACATAAAAGCTGAAATCTCTGTTAATTTTAATGGTTCTCTATTTTGCTTTTCTGTCATTCAAAATCATCTTTTTTTGTTATTTTAGTCAGGGATCATTTGGTAACAAGGAACAAAAACACAACCAAACTAATTTAAGTGAGTTTAATCAAAAGGGAAAATTTATGGAAAGGATATAGGATTATCTCACAGAGAATTAAGAATAGAAAGTGAACCTATACGTTATGACTTTCCCAAACTGGAAAGCTACCAGAAACCATCTCTCATCTGTTTTTATTTTCTCTCTCTCTCTTTTCAGACTGGCTCCATTTATACATGGACCCTAATAACAGACCAAAAATAATGTGTTCAGTACCATTCCAAATTAATATCTATAGCTAAATGATGCAGCTGCTTCAGACTTCTGATTTATCCAGCCCAGTCATTGGATTGATTTCTCCTGAATCAGGTCCAGTTATCTGTGGTAAGAAAGTGGTGAGGTCTCAGAATATAAACATGGCGGCCAGGAGCCATCCTTGGGGGGAGAGTAGTTCTCAGAGAACAGGGAGAATTCCAAGATCCACCAAATACATCTTGCCCTTTTCAGCTTAAAGAATATTTTTCTTGACATTTCACCACTGCAGATTTACAAATGGTAATTAAGCACATGAAAAGATGATAAACATCATTAGTGATTAAGGAAATGCAAATTAAAACCCACAAACTCACACCTATCAGAATAAGGGACGTCTTGGTGAGTATGTAGAGCAAAATAATACAGCTGCTTTAGAAAACAGTTTAATAGTTTCTGATAAAGTTAAATATACGCTTCATAAATAGATATGAAGACATGTCCTCAGGAAAAAACCTATACATGAATATATATAGCACCTTAATTCATAATCACCAAAGTAGAAATAACCCCAAATATACACTAATTGGTGACTGGCTGAGCAACATGTGGCATGTTTAAAAAATGGAATGCTATTCAGTAATAAAAAGGAAGAACCTACTGTAATAAGAAAACCATGGATCAATCTCAAAAGCATTACACTAAGTGCAACAAGCCAGATTAAAAAGGCTACATGTTATAATTCGTTTTTACAATGATCTGAAGAAAGCAAAACCATAGGGATAGAGAACAGATCAGTGTTTGCTAAGAGCTTGGGATAGTGGATGGAACTGACTACAAACACGCAAAAGAAAATCTTTTGAAGTGATAGAAATATCCTATATCTTGATTGTAGTGATGGTCATTTAACCTTACCCATTTTTCACAGTTCACAGAACTGTACACCGAAAAAGTTAGAATCTTATTCCATGTAAATTTTGCCTTGATAAACCTGATATAAGAAAAATATGATTTTCCTTGACAAGGAAGTCAGAAAGAAAGAAAAATACAGTGTTTATTCTTGCAGATTAATAGAATGTCAGTTCGTTTAATATCATTATGCAAAGGGGATTGTAATCAGGCTTCACAGTTTCAGCTGCGATCTCTCTGCTGGCCTCAAACATGTAAACAACCCACTAGATACCCAAACTTTCAGATTTCTACCACAACTATTTCTTTGTTCATTCAACACTTAAGCACATACTAGAAATATCATGAGTATTAGATTGTTCACTAGCTCTAACTTGGACAAGGGCTGTACCTGTGTCTTCTGTTTCTTCTTTTTTTTTAAGAGATGAGGGTCTCGTTGCAGTGGCGTGCATGATCATAGCTCACTGCAGCCTTGAATTCCTGGGTGATCAACAGTATTCCTGCTTCAGTCTCCCAAGTAGCTGGGACTGCAGGCACACCCCACCACACCCAGGTAACTTTGTTTTGGTTTGTAGAGACGGGGGTCTCACTTTGTTGCCCAGGCTGGTCTTTCCTGGCTTCAAACAATTCACTCACTTTGGCCTCCCAAACTGCTGGGATTACAGGAATGAGCCACTGTGCCTGGCTCTTCTGTTTTTTCTAATGCTGACCTTGTACTTACCTACTCTCATATCCAATCTCAGCAACTCATTTTTCCTTTAGCCATTTTATCTCCCATGAACAGGATATAGAAAGAACCCTACTTTAAGATTAGAGCAAAAGTGCAAAGTAAATATAAGGGTTAGAGAAATAATAAATAAAGGTTTTTCCCAGCACCTCATTTACCTCATAAAATAAGGGTAATTGATGGTGATTTTTTTGGTAAAATATGTTTTCATATCTAATTATATCATATTCACTTCTGAAGGAGATTTTTTTTTTTTTACTGTCTATGGAATCCAATACAAACAATATTGCTCTGAGTTCTAGAACCAAGCACTACTAATGCATTTGCTGTTTTTAATGTTTGCTTTCTTTTTAGTCCTTATTCTTGTGGGAGGCAGTATGTACTAAAATGTATTTACTTTTTTTGAATAACTGCTTCTACTCTCTTGAAATTTTCAATTTCACAATTTACAATAAATGTAAGCAGCTCCTTGTAACAAATTCCTTCTTTTGGAAAACAAACCCATATGTGCAAAAGCTATTTTAAAAAGACATTAAAATGTTATTAGGTGAACATTTTATGTTTATGAACTGAAATGATAATTATCTATACTCTATTTCCTGCACTGACATTTAGCATTGTTGAGCTTGATGGTATTGAGTTTATTTACTTTCAAAACTCCATAATAGAGAAGGCTTTAGCAACATTTTAAAAAAGAAGAAAATGAAATAGCAAATGTAATGTAATTTATAGGTACTATTCTATTGGCAATAACCTGTTTGTCTTTTGATATATTTTCTCATACAAAAGCAAACATCTGGATATTCAGGTAAGCAGAAGATAATAACTAGTTAAATAATGAATTAGAATCTATTTATACTTCAAATAAATAACTTGATTATTTAGCTAGCAGATTATGCCTTTACTAGCTTTATTAGGAGCCATTGATAATGATTTTTACGTGCATTTTCACAAATGAGATGTAATTTCTTTCATAAGAAAAATGCACACTTTAAAAGGAACCCGTTTGCAAAAGTTGAGTGCCAAACCTGCTATCACTTACTTAGAGAATAGGAATTTGCTAAATATGATATTATGATGGTGATGAATAAAGTATGACAACTAGATCATGGCCTTGGAAAATGAAAAATAAATCAAAAGTTAATTTGTGAATTAACTAGTTGTTCTCTGCATGTTGCAGATATTCCTATTTCTCCCATTAAAATAAGATCATCTGTAGTTTCAGCATACCCCATAGCAATGCCTACTAGCTGGAGGCTGAACACAGAATGTGTGCTTAGTTCATTCATTCATTCTCTCAAAATATTTATTGGACACTCACTATGTGCTAGATGCTAGAGATAAAGCACTGAAGAAACAGTCCATGTTTTGATGCGGCTTACATTTAGCAAATGCACTTAACTGAACCACTGTTTTTCTCCTTAATTATTATAAAGTGAACACTAGTAACCAGCACTCAAATCAAAAATAAAATATTGCCAGAACTCTGAACATCTTCTCAGTCACAAACCCTTCTATGTCCAGCTCCAAAGATAGCCACAAAGTTGACTTTTATAGAAGTCATGATCTTGCCTTTCTTTATACTTTGATTATAAAGTTATATACAGTTAAGCATCATGGTTTATGTTTGCTTACTTGTGAAATTTATATAAATTGAATCATTCAGTATTAGATTTTGTGCCTGGCCTCCTTCATTCAATTTTATGTTTGTTACGTGTGTGAATATAGATTATTTTTGTTGCTATTGAGTATGATTCAGTATTTTTAAATGACTATGCCTTTCTTGGCTTAACTTTTGTCAATATAAAATTAATCCATGTATATTTCTTATTTTTTCCATGATAGGTGCATTTTACCTACTCTAGAACTTCACATAAATATAATCATAGAGCTATATTCTAGCTAATTTCTAGAATAGGTAAAATGCACTCTTTCGTATCCGGTTTTTCCCCTCAAAATAATTCTTTTTGAAATTTATTCATGATCTGGTATGTGTTAGTAGTTCACACTTTTTAGAAAAAACTTGATTTCTGAAAGTACCTAATAGTAGCTCATAGGCCACTGGGGCTCTGTTCATTATTTTTCAGTTTTTATTTTCCCTCTGTTCTTCAGATTGGATAATTTTTATTGATGCATCTTCAGTTTGAACAACATTCTTATCTGTTTGACTAACTTAATAATTCAAATTAGAAACATTAGAAGTGAATTTACACACATTGGTTTAATATGAGAAAATTTACATGTTTTAGAAGGTAATCATTTTGATATTGTAGGAAAGTTTAAACTTTCCCTCTAAAGATTTGATCATTGAGTCTGCTAAAATAAACTGACAATAAACAGATTAACAGGATAAAAACCATTTTAATTATGTGCATGCAGAAATGAACCTAATAAAAAGATACGAGTCTTAAAGAAGGGGCAGATGAGTGAAGTTTTTATAACATAAAAGAATAAAGTCTTGAAGCTTTGTGGGAAAGTGATCACAAATAATGGAAGGGAAAGGAGAGAAATTGCATGGTGAATAAAGGTTGTCTTATTTTGCAGATAAAATCTCTCAGGTAACAAGAGTTGTTTCAGAGAAGCCTCCAGAAGAATAGGCAATAGCCTGTCTGGATGTGGTGATGACTTTTAATCTCCTCTTTGGTAATTAATACCCCTGGTTGTTTGAGATTCCTAGGGAGGGAGTTCAAGACAATTGCATTCCTTTTGAATAAGGGAAGAGAAGACAATTTCAGAGAGATCCCCTCCCTGCACTTGCGGGCAGAAACAAAAGAAGATAAGAGAGACCTTGAGGCCGGGCGCGGTGGCTCACGCCTGTAATCCCAGCACTTTGGGAGGCCTAGGTGGGTGGATCACCAGGTCAAGAGATGGAGACCATCCTGGCCAACATGACGAAACCCCGTCTCTACTAAAAATGCAAAAAATTAGCAGGGCGTGATGGCGGACGCCTGTAGTCCCAGCTACTCGGGAGGCTGAGGCAGGAGAATGGCGTGAACTCGGGAGGTGGAGCTTGCAGTGAGCCGTGTAAGTGAGCTTGGAGTAAGAATGGAAGCCAGGTAAATGATCAGGATTAGGTTCCAATGAAAGATGATATTGGCCTAAGTTAAGTTCGTTTCAATGGAAATTGAAAAAAGTTCACAGTTTATGAGTCATTAAGGAGATAAAATGAAATGATTTGGCAATGACTAGATGCTGGTTATCAAGGATGAAACCCAGGTTTCTTTTTCTGTGTTAGTCTCTGTCCTTTAAGAGGCAAGTTGCCAGACTAAGAAAGGATGCTCGGTTTTTATCTAGATTTTAGTAAAGAGATCTGGCCTGGAGTTACAGATGTCAAAGTCATCAACATATGAATAATAATTGAAGTCAGAGAATTATATAAAAGAATCCAAGAAGAGTGTGTGAAGTGGGAAGCAGGGCTAACACAAGATTCCTAATATAAAAGACTGAACAAAGGAAAAAGCTTATACTGAGAAGATTGAAAACAAGTTGCTAGAGACGTAGAAATTATTTAAATCGGAAACAAAGGTGTATTAAATGCTATCAACAGTGTTAAAAATGGCAAGAGGTCAAACAAGACAGTAAGTAAAAAAATGTCATTGTATAATGGGAAAATAGTAGTATTCTGCTGGGCATGGTGTTAGAAATTGCAATGAAGAGATATGGGAATCTCAGCAGATGTTAGGAAGGTAAAATAGATTAGAATTTATTGAGAGATGAATATGAGAAGATGTGGAAACAACACTTCAATTTTTAAGAAAACTTTGATGAAGAGGAGGAAACAAGTAGCTGCAAGGACTTTTTTATTCTTATTTTTTACTTCTGTTCTTAAAATGGGAAAGGTATCATATCATAATAAAATTAATAAGTGAATTTAGCAGTATCTTCCAAATTAGATATATGTATTTTAATATTTTAAAGTCCACTGTATTCGTATATGCTAGCAGTAAAATATCTATTTATGGTAACAAAATATAAAATATTTAGAAATTAACCTAACAAATGATGTCCAAGATTTCTACCCTACAAACTACAAAATATTGCTAAAGAAATTTTAAAAGGCTTAAGTAAATGAAGAAATATAATATGTCCACGAATAAAAAGATATTATTTTAAGATGGGAATTTTTCCTTGATTAATCTATACATTAAATGCAATCACAATCAAACTTCCAGAAGGCTTAAAAGAAAAAAAAACTATAAATTGTCAAGCTGATTCTAAAATTTATATGGAAATGCAAAGTACCTGGGGTGACAGAAGAGAATATATCACCCCAAAATATGAAGGATTGTTGAGCTGAAGACAATCAAGAAGAAACAGATGCAGGAAAGCTCATGGCCCGGTGCAGTGGCTCACTCTTGCTATCCCAGCACTTTGGGAGGCCGAGGCAGGCGCATCACGAGGTCAGGAGATCGAGATCACGGTGAAACCCCGTCTCTACTAAAAATACAAAAAAATTAGCCGGGCGTGGTGGAGGGCGCCTGTAGTCCCAGCTACTGGGAGAGGCTGAGGCAGGAGAACGGTGTGAACCCAGGAGGCGGAGTTTGCAGTGAGCCGAGATCGCGCCACTGCACTCCAGCCTGGGCGACAGAGCAAGACTCTGTCAAAAAAAAAAAGAAAAGAAAGCTCCCTTTCCTCCCTCTGTTTGCCTAAAAGCAGGACATAGATTTACAAAGACAAATGGCCACCCCCTAAACAGGGAGAACAAAGGTTAACCACCAAAAACAAACTTTAGACCCTTATCATCTAGAGATAGTACTGAGACTGTCCCTATAAACTGTATAGAATGAATCAGAGAAGGGAGGGGGAGAAAAAAAATTAACCAAGCTTGCAGCACATTTAACATTAGTCCTGAGGTCAGCTTGCTCCCCAGCCTGCTTCCTCCTAGTCCTTTGCTGTCTATTGCCTCAGAATCACTGAGACCCTGTTATAAGATTATAGTTCCTCTTAAATACCCTAGATAATAACTTGAACATTATGAGGCATTGTTTCTGCTTTCAAATAATTTTTTAGGTTCTGCATACCAGTGACACTACTGATGTCAGCTGGTCTGAGGGACCCCAGGAGAGGCTGACTCACAAAAGAATGCAGTTTCCATATCCTCTTTAACCCAACCATTCAATAGCCCCGATTTTCCAGCCCCTTGCCCTCCATGATCCCTTCAAAAATCTCAGCCCAGAACTCCTTGGAGAGATGAATTTGATGGCCTTGCTTGATGCCCTACAATCGTCAAACTTCCTCTGCTGCAAACCCTGCTGTTTTGATGTAATTGGTCTGTTACTCTGCAGTGGGCATATAAACTTGTTGGTCCTGTAACAGTAACAGAGGAATCTACATTAACAAGCTTTACTAACTAGCCTTTATCTGCCATTTATTTGGTTTCCCGCAAGTTATTACCCCTAGAGAATCACACTCCTTTTCCTTTGTCTTGTCACTTCTCTAAAAACTTACTGTTTTTTTGTTGAAGATGATATATGTGCTGAAATTCAAAGCTACTTCTTTGAGAACAACCGCATTCCCTGGTGTTGCCATGTATATACAAAATATACCTGCTAATAAACATCTGTTTTTCTCTTGTTAATTTGTTTTTTGTTACAATGGCATGTTCCATCTAGGAACCTATGGGGATTATTCTTCCTCTACACTAGAAAAATAAAAAATTTTTGAAAAACAGAAGTTGGAGAACTTACACTACCTTATTATAAGACTTATTGTAAACCTATATTAATTCAGATTAGCATTGTTGAAATGATACACATATAGGTAAACGGTACAGGATGGAAGTACAGAAACAAATCCCACCCACACCCACACATACTATCAATTTTCATAAAGGTGCCAAAGACATTAAGTGATGAAAGAGAAGTTCTTCACAAGTGGTTCTGATTCAACTGGACATCATGTAGAATAAATAAACATGGCCATTTACCTTACACCACATGCAACAATAAAATCTAAATGAATCATGTAACACCTAAAACTACAAAATGTCTAGAGAAAAACATAGGAGAAAATCTCTGTGACCTTGTTGTAGGCAAAGGTTCCTGTGCCAGAACACAAAAAACACAAACCACGAAGAAAAAGATAAAACACATATTTTAAAAATATTGCTACACAAGAGAAACCCTTAAGAAAAGCAAAAAGCCCCGTCTTCCACAATGGTTGAACTAGTTTACAGTCCCACCAACAGTGTAAAAGTGTTCCTATTTCTCCACATCCTCTCCAGCACCTGTTGTTTCCTGACTTTTTAATGATCGCCATTCTAACTGGTGTGAGATGGTATCTCATTGTGGTTTTGATTTGCATTTCTCTGATGGCCAGTGATGATGAGCATTTTTTCATGTGTCTTTTGGCTGCATAAATGTCTTCTTTTGAGAAGTGTCTGTTCATGTCCTTCGCCCACTTTTTGATGGGGTTGTTTGTTTTTTTCTTGTAAATTTGTTTGAGTTATTTGTAGATTCTGGATATTAGCCCTTTGTCAGATGAGTAGATTGCAAAAAGACACTGTGGCGATTCCTCAGGGATCTAGAACTAGAAATACCATTTGACCCAGCCATCCCATTACTGGGTATATACCCAAAGGATTAAAAATAATGCTGCTATAAAGACATGTGCACACGTATGTTTATTGCGGCACTATTCACAATACCAAAGACTTGGAACCAACCCAAATGTCCAACAATGATAGACTGGATTAAGAAAATGTGGCACATATACACCATGGAGTACTATGCAGCCATAAAAAATGATGAGTTCGTGTCCTTTGTAGGGACATGGATGAAGCTGGAAACCATCATTCTCAGCAAACTATTGCAAGGAGAAAAAACCAAACACCACATGTTCCCACGCATAGTTGGGAATTGAACAATGAGAACACTTGGACACAGGAAGGGGAACATCACACACCGGGGCCTGTTGTGTGGTGGGGGGAGTGGGGAGGGATAGCATTAGGAGATATACCTAATGCTAAATGACAAGTTAATGGGTGCAGCACACCAACATGGCACATGTATACATATGTAACAAACCTGCATGTTGTGCACATGTACCCTAGAACTGAAAGTATAATAAATACATATATATATATAAAGAAAAGCAAAAAGCAAACCACAGAGTGGAAGAAAAATTTTGTGACACATATAACAAAAAAAGAACTTATATCCAGAATATTTAAAGAACTCTTACAACTCAATCCAGAATATTTAAAGAAGTCTTATAACTCATTAGCAAAGAAAAATAACCCAATAAAAATAGATAAAAGGTATGAACAGACACTTCACAAAAGAAGATCTATGAACATCTAACATCTAATAAGCAGGTTAAAAATGTCCAACATCAAAGCTGGGAGCGGTGGCTCACGCCTGTAATCCCAGCACTTAGGAAGGCCGAGGCAGGGAGATAACGAGGTCAGGAGTTTGAGACCAGCCTGACCAACATGGTGAAACCCCATCTCTACTAAAAAATACAAAAATTAGCCGAATGTGATGGTGGGTGCCTGTAATCCCAGCTACTCAACAGGCTGAGGCAGGAGAATTGCTTCAACCTGGGAGATGGAGGTTGCAGTGAGCTGAGATCTCACCACTGCACTCCAGCCTGACTGACAGAGTGAGCTGTCTCAAAAAAAAAAAAAAAAAAAAAAAAAGTTCAACATCATTAGTTACCAGATAAATTTAAGTTAAAACTACAAAATTATCCCAAAATAAACAAACAAACAAACAAAAACCCACCCACTAGAATGGCTAAATTGAAAACACTGTACAAACTGTTGGTAAGGATGAGGAGCAACTGAAATCTCTTACATTAGTGGTGTTAATATAAAATAGTACAACCGCTTTTAAAAAGAGTCTTGGAGTTTCCTAAATAGTTAATTATACACCAACTATTTCCTCGAAAACATTTATCTAAGATATACACACAAAGACTTGCATCCAAATGTCCATAGTTGTTTTTATTTGTAAATAGCCTCAAACTGGAAACAATCTAAATATTCATCAATAGATCATGGATGGTGGTATGTTCATATGACCAAATACACCTTGGCAATCAAATGGAATGAACTACTGACACAAGAAACAACTTGGATAAATCTCAAATTATAATGTTTTTCTAAGAAGCCAGGCCCTCACCCCCTACTTTAAAAAAGTGTGTAATTGTGATCTCTTTTATATAAACTTTCAGGAAATGCTAACTAATCTACACTGAAAGAAAGAAGCTCAGTGGTTTCCTGAGGACACTGGTAAAGGGAGGCGATAATGCAGGAAGGGATAGATTTTTTTAAAAGCAAGCGGAAATTTTAGGAGTTGTTTAAAATGTTATCTTGATTGTGGTGATGATTTCACAGGTGTATACATATCTTAAAACTAATCAAATTGTGTCTTTTAAATATATGAAGTTAATTGATGTTAATTATATTTCAATAAAATTGTTTAAAGAAATATAGATATGCCTATATAAACATTGGAAAAGACTGGTACTTCTAAGAAGGGGGTAAAAACATTTTTATATGTAGCCGTTGATCATAAAAAGCAATTTCTACAAAGCGTGATCCAAAGATGATTTTCATTTTAATTTTCTGAATCCCTCCATGGTCAGTATTATGTCTCACTAGAATAAAACACATAATACCAGAAACAAATACTGGAATATAATATTGTTAAGAGCTTTATCTCAGTCCGGGTGCGGTGGCTCACACCTGTAATCCCAGGACTTTGGAAGGCTGAGGTGGGCGGATCACTTGATGTCAGGAGTTCGAGACCAACCTGGCCAACATGGTGAAATCCCATCTCTACTAAAAACACAAAAATTAGCCAGGTGTGGTGGTGCGCACCTGTAATCCCAGCTACTCAGGAGGCTGAGGCATGAGAATCGCTTGAGCCCAGAAGGCGGAGGTTGCAGTGACCCAAGGTTGTGCCACTGCACTCCAGCCTTCCAGCCTGGGCGACAGAGCAAGAACCTGTTCCCCTCCACCCAAATAAACAGCCCAATCTCTGTTGTCACAGACCATTGTCTATATGCACCATTTACTAGCTACACGATATTAGGCAAGTTACTTAATCACCCTAAACTCTCAAGTCTGAAAAATGGGACCCATTAACAGTACCTACCTCACAGGATTGTTAGAAGGAGTAAATTAGGAAATAAAGAATATTTTATGCAGGATAAATTGCAGTCTGTCTACATAAAGTGCTCAATAAATGCTAGTATTTAAAAAAAAAAAAAGCAGTCATGTGGTTGATACTTTCATTCCATGTGCTTATGGCATATTTCCTCAAAGGCAAACAAGGTACACTATTTAGTTGTTAGTAGGCAACAGTCTTTGTGTTTTTCTGAGTGGAAGTAGTCTTATTTGGAATCCAGTTATCTCCCCTTCCCCTCTACAAAATAGCAGCATTGTTGTAAAGGTCTTTGTCTAATGGCAAAATTTTCCTACTGAAACTTTTCTGTAAAACCCCATTTTGAAGTGTTCAACGGTGGCTTTTTTACAATATTTTCAACTATTTGTAGCTACTGATGGATAGAGATTACCCTTTAACTATCAGGACCCTCTACAGGTGTTTTCTCTAGTAGTAATGTAAAAAGACAACAAATATCACTATAGCCTTACAACATTTTGAGATATATATAATATTAATTATATTATAAATAATATGATTATAAATAACATAATTATATGATTATGTGATATATTAATTATAATTGTTATAATTATAATATATAATATATAATTTTATATATATATATTTTTAGAGACAGCATCTCTCTCTGTCACCTAAACTAGAGTGCAGTGGCATGATCATGGCTCACTGCAGCCTCAAAGTTCTAGGCTCCAGTGATCCTCCTACCTCAGCCTCCTCACCCTCTCAAGTAGTTAGGACTACAGGCCTGTGCCACCATGCCTGACTAATTTTAAAACTTTTTTTAGAGATGGGGTCTTACTATGTTGCCCAGGCTCAAGTGATCCTCCTGCCTCAGCCTCCGGAATAGGTGGGATTACAGGTGCAAGCCACAGCTCCTGGCTCAATTTTGGTAATATTTTATATCTGTTTCTTAAGATCTAATACACGTAGAGGCTGAGATTCCCAGTGTTGTTAGGCAACATTTAATATAGCTTACAGCCCCAGGCATTGCCTTCAATTTTTATTTACGTTCCAATCCTTAAGTTTGCCACTTACTGTGAAAAACAGTGTTCACTTCAGTGAATCAAGTTTTCATACTTCATTTTAATTCTCACCTTTCACTTGCAATTTCATTTTGAATCACATTACCTTCAGGTCATGTAATGTATTATCCAATATGTTTCACTTACGTAACCCAAAGTTCAGCATATATTCCTGTTATAGGCCATGAAGTTAAAATAAAAAGAATTGCTGACTGAATGAGACCCACAAAACTTCTTGCTACCTGAGATTACGTCAAATTTAATGGACAAAGCTGGCTGTCTTTCTCTAATCTGGTTAAGATCAATCAAGCAAAAGGTGTATTTGACTTCAATTTAATTCCAATTAGCCTTGTAATCACATTTTGGAGTTATAGTGCATAAATGAGCAGGGAAGGTTGGCATAACATTAAAAGCCTCTGTTTTGTATAATTCATTTTTAAATATTAAATATGTGCTTATTCTGCAGGAATTCTGCTTGTGTTTTCAAGATCCTATTTAAAAAATATAGATGTTTTTTGGGAAATAGGAAAATAAGAGGGCAAAGCCCATATTTCATAGTTTTCTGTACATTTATATGGCTATAATAAATATGTATTAAATGTTTCCTTATGTGAGCATTTCCTAGCCCCATCCCAGAACCTCTGGAATCTCTCATTCACCTTATCTATGGCAGATGGATCCTTACTCTTCATAGGTCTGTGATGACCTGTAGGAAATAGAGGAGGAATGGATTGTATATACTAAGAACTCTCCATCCCCGCATTTGGCCCATACTCAATCATGCTACCAATTCTGTCAAGCTTTTACAGATATGAATAAGAGCCAAGGTTACTTTCCTGATATAAAGGGATAAAGAAAATAGCCATTGTATAAATTTTAAAAATGAATCTTTTCTTAAAGACAGGCCAGAAGCCAAAGAAAATCACCGGTAGTTGATTTGGACTTGCCATGATCTCTACTGCTCATCTAAATACCCAGTAGAGTGACTCAACTTTATAAGAAATAATAAATATTTACGTATGTCTAGATAAGATTTACAGTTTATGAGGCCCTGGCAATTAGGCAAGAAAAATAAAAGGCATTGAGATTAGAAAAGAAGTAAAACTATCTCTATTTACAAATGATGCCATCTTATATAGAAAATCCTACAAAATCCACTAATAAAAAAGGACCAAGCACAGTGGCTCATGGCTATAATCCCAGCAACTTGGGAGGCCAAGGCAGGAGGATCGCTTGAGCCCAGGAGTTCAAGACCAGCCTGGGCAACATAGGGACACCCTGTCTCTACAAAAAAATAAAAGAAAATTAGCTGGGTATAGTGGTTCATACCTGTAGTCCCTGTTACTCAGGAGGCTGAGGTGGTAGAATCCCTTGAGACCAGGAATTCAAGGTGACAGTGAGCTATGATCATGCCACTGTACTCCAGCCTAGCTGACAGAGACTTTATCTCTCATGAATAAATAAATAAGTTCAGCGAGGTCAGAAGGTAAAAGCCAACATACAAAAATCAAAGGTATTATTATTACTGAGACAGAGTCTCTCTGTTGCCCAGGCTGGTGTACAATGACACAAGCTCTGCTCACTGCAACCTCTGCCTCCTGGGTTCAAGTGATTCTCCTGCCTCAGCCTCCTGAGTAGCTGGGATTACAGGTGCCTGGCACCACACCCAACTAATTTTTATATTTTTTTTGGCTTATTATTATTTTTTTATTTTTATTATACTTTAAGTTCAGGGATACATGTGCAGAACGTGCAGGTTTGTTACATAGGTATACACATGCCATGGTGGCTTGCTGCATCCACCAACCCATATTTCTCCTAATGCTATCCCTCCCCTAGCCCCCAACCCCCTGACAGGCCCCGGTGTGTGATGTTTCCCTCCCTGTGTCCATGTGTTCTCATTGCTCAACTCCCACTTATGAGTGAGAATATGCGGTGTTTGGTTTTCGGTTCCTGTGTTAGTTTGCTGAGAATGATGGTTTCCAGCTTCATCCATGTCCCTGCAAAGAACATAAACTCATCCGTTTTTATGGCTGCATAGTATTCCATGGTGTATGTGTGCCACATTTTCTTTATCTAGTCTATAATTGATAGACATTTGAGTTGGTTCCAAGTCTTTGCTGTTGTGAATAGTGCTTCAATAAACATGTGTGTGCGTGTGTCTTTATAGCAGAATGATTTATAATCCTTTAGGTATATACTCAGTAATAGGGATTACTGGGTCAAATGGTATTTCTGTTTCTAGATCCCTGAAAAATTGCCACACTGTCTTCCACAATAGTTGAACTAACTTACACTCCCACCAACACTGTAGAAGTGTTCCTATTTCTCCACATCCTCTCCAGCATCTGTTCCTTCCTGACTTTTTAATGATCGCCATTCTAACTGGCATGAGATGGTATCTCATGGTTGTTTTGATTTGCATTTCTCTAATGACCAGTGATGATGAGCTTTTTTTCATACGTTTGTTGGCAACATAAATGTCTTCTGAGAAATGTCTGTTCATATCCTTCACACACTTTTTGATGGGGTTGTTTGTTTTTTTTCTTGTACATTTGTTTAAATTCTTTGTAGATTCTGGATATTAGCCCTTTGTCAGATGGATAGATGGCAAAAATGTTCTCCTATTCTATAGGTTGCCTGTTCATTCTGATGATAGTTTCTTTTGCTGTGCAGAAACTTTTTAGTTTAATTAGATCCCATTTGTCAATTTTGTCTTTTGTTGCCATTGCTTTTGGTGTTTTAGACATGAAGTCCTTGCCCATGCCTATGTCCTGAATGGTAATGCCTAGGTTTTCTTCTAGGGTTTTTATGGTTTTAGGTCTTATGTTTAAGACTTTAATCTATCTCAAGTTAATTTTTGTATAAGGTGTAAGGAAGGGGTCCAGTTTCAGTTTTCTACATATGGCTAGCCAGTTTGCCCAACACCAATGATTAAATAGGGAATCCTTTCTCCATTGCTTGTTTCTGTCGGGTTTGCCAAAGATCAAATGGTTGTAGATGTGTGGCATTCTTCCTGAGACCTCTGTTCTGTTCCATTGGTCTACATATCTATTTTTGGTACCAGTACCATGCTGTTTTGGTTACTATAACCTTGTAGTATAGTGTGAAGTCAGGTAGCATGATGCTTCCAGCTTTGTTCTTTTTGCTTGGATTGTCTTGGCTATACGGGCTCTTTTTTGGTTCCATATGACATATAAAGTAGTTTTCTCTAATTCTGTGAAGAAAGTCAATGGTAGCTTGATGGGAATAGCATAGAATCTATAAATGACTTTGAGTAGATTGGCCATTTTCACAATATTGATTCTTCCTATCCAGGAGCATGAAATGGTTTTCCATTTGTTTGTGTCCTCTCTTATTTCCTTCAGCAGTGGTTTGTAGTTCTTCTTGAAGAGGTCCTTCACATCCCTTGTAAGTTGTATTCCTAGGTATTTTATTCTTTTTCTAGCAATTGTGAATGGGAGTTCACTCATGATTTAGCTCTCTGTTTGACTATTATTGGTGTATAGAAATGCCTGTGACGTTTGCTTATTGATTTTGTACCCTGAGACTTTGCCAAAGTTGCTTATCAGCTTAAGGAGATTTTGGGCTGAGACAATGGGGTTTTCTAAATATACAGTCATGTCATCTGCAAACAGAGACAATTTGACTTCCTCTCTTCCTACTTGAATACCCTTTATTTCTTTCTCTTGCCTGATTGCCCTGGCAAGAAATTCCAATATTATGTTGAATAGGAGTGGTGAGAAAGGGCATCCTTGTCTTGTGCAGGTTTACAAAGGGAATGCTTCCAGCTTTGGCCCATTCAGTATGATATTGTCTGTGGGTTTGTCATAAATAGCTCTTATTATTTTGAGATACATTCCATCAATACCTAGTTTATTGAGAGTTTTTAGCATGAAGCGGTGTTGAATTTTATTGAAGGCCTTTGCTGCATCTATTGAGATAATCATGTGGTTTTTGACATTGGTTCTGTTTATGTGATGGATTACGTTTACTGATTTGCATATGTTGAGCCAGTCTTGCATCCCAGGGATGAAGCCGACTTGATCATGGTGGATATGCTTTCTGATGTGCCACTGGATTCGGTTTGCCAGTATTTTATTGAGGATTTCCACATCGATGTTCATCAGGGATATTGGCCTGAAATTTTATTTTTTGTTGTGTCTCTGCTAGGTTTTGGTGTCAGGATGATGCTGGCCTCATTAAATGAGTTAGGGAGGAGTCCCTCTTTTTCTATTATTTGGAATAGTTTCAGAAGGAATGGTACCAGCTCCTCTTGTACCTCTGGTAGAACTCGGCTGTGAATCCATCTCGTCCTGGACTTTTTTTGGTTGGTAGGCTATTAATTACTGCCTCAATTTCAGAACTTGTTATTGGTCTATTCAGGTATTCGACTTCTTCCTGGTTTAGTCTTGGGAGGGTGTATGTGGGGTCAAGAATTCATCCATTTCTTCTAGATTTTCCTTTTATTTATTTATTTATTTATTTTGAGACAGAGTCTCGCTCTGTCACCCAGACTGGAGTGCAGTGGCACAATCTCCGCTCACCGCAAGCTCCGCCTCCCGGGCTCATGCCATTCTCCTGCCTCAGCCTCCCGAGTAGCTAGGACTACAGGCGCCCACCACCACGCCTGGAGAATTTTTGGATTTTTAGTGGAGACAGGGTTTCACTGTGTTAGCCAGGTTGGTCTCGATCTCCTGACCTCATGATCCACCTGCCTCGGCCTGCCAAAGTGCTGGGATTATAGGTGGGAGCCACCGCGCCCGGCCACTTCTTCTAGATTTTCTAGTTTATTTGAGTAGAGGTGTTTATAGTATTCTCTGATGGGAGTTTGTATTTCCATGGGGATCAGTGGTGATATCCCCTTTATCATTTTTTATAGTGTTTATCTGATTCTTCTCTCTTTTCTTCTTTATTAGTCTAGCTAACATTCTATCTATTTTGTTGATCTTTTCAAAAAACCAGATCCTAGATTCATCAGTTTTTTCATCTCCTTCAGTTCTGCTCTGATCTTGATTATTTATTGTCTTCTGCTAGCTTTTGAATTTGTTTGCTCTTGCTTCTCTCGTTCTTTTAATTGTGATGTTAGGGTGTTGATTTTAGATCTTTTCCACTTTCTCCTGTGTGCTTTTAGTGCTATAAATTTCCCTCTAAACACAGCTTTAGCTTTGTCTCAGAGATTCTGGTAAGTTGTGTCTTTGTTCTCATTGGTTTCAAAGAACTTGTTTATTTCTGCCTTAATTTCCTTATTTACCAAGTAGTCATTCAGGAACAGGTTGTTCAGTTTCCATGTAGTTGTGCAGTTTTGAGTGAGTTTCCTAATCCTGAGTTCTAGTTTGATTGCACTTTGGTCTCAGAGACTGTTTGTTATGATTTCCATTCTTTTGCATTTGCTTAGGAATGTTTTACTTCCAATTATGTGGTTGATTTTAGAATAAGTGTGATGTGGTGCTAAGAAGAATGCATACTCTGTTGATTTGGGGTGGAGAGTTCTGTAGATGTCTAGTAGGTCTGCTTGATCCAGAGCTGAGTTCAAATAGTGAATATCCTTGTTAATTTTCTGTCTTGTTGATCTGTCTAATATTGTCAGTGGGGTGTTAAAGTCTCCCACTATTATTGTGTGGGAGTGTAAGTCTCTTTGTAGGTCTCTAAGAACTTGCTTTATGAATCTGGGTACTCCTGTATTGGGGGCATATATATTTAGGATAGTTAGCTCTTTTTGTTGCATTGGTCCCTTTACCATTATGTAATGCCCTTGTCTCTATTGATCTTTGTTGGTTTAAAGTCTGTTTTATGAGAGACTAGAATTGCAACCCCTGCTTTTTTTTTTTTTTTTTTTTTTTTTTTTTTTTTTTTGCTTTCCATTTACTTGGTAAATCTTCCTCCATTCCTTTATTTTGAGCCTATGTGTGTCTTTGCACGTGAGATGGGTCTCCTGAATACAGCACACCTATGGGTCTTGACTTTATCCAATTTGCCAGTCTGTGTCTTTTAGTTGGGGCATTTAGTCCATTTACATTTAAGGTTAATATTGTTATGTGTGAATTTGATCCTGTCTTTGTGATGCTAGCTGGTTATTTTGCCCATTAGTTGATGCAGTTTTTCATAGCATCGATGGAGTTTCTTCATAGTGTCAATGGTCTTTACAATTTGGTATGTTTTTGCAGTGGCTGGTACCAGTTTTTCCTTTCCATATTTAGTGTTTCCTTCAGGAGCTCATGTAAGGCAGGCCTGATAGTGACAAAATCTCTCAGCATTTGCTTGTCTGTAAAGGATTTTTATTTCTCCTTCACTTATGAGCTTAGTTTGGCTGGATATGAAATTCTGGGTTGAAAATTATTTTCTTTAAGAATGTTGAATATTGGCGCCCACTCTCTTCTGCCTTGTAGCGTTTCTGCAGAGAGATCTGCTGTTAGTCTGATGGGCTTCCCTTTGTGCATAACCCAAACTTTCTCTCTAGCTGCCCTTAACATTTTTCCTTCATTTCAACCTTGGTGAATCTGACGATTATGTGTCTTAGGGTTGCTCTTTCTGAGGAGTATCTTTGTGGTGTTCTCTGTATTTCCTGAATTTGAATGTTGGCCTGTCTTGCTATGTTGGGGAAGTTCTCTTGGATAATAAACTGAAGACTGCTTTCCAACTTGGTTCTATTCTCCCCATCACTTTCAGGTACACCAATCAAACGTAGATTTGGTCTTTTCACATAGTCCCATATTTCTTGGAGGCTTTATTCATTCCTTTTCATTCTTTTTTCTCTAATCTTGTCTTCACACTTTATTTCATTAAGTTGATTTTCAGCCTCTGATATCCTTTCTTCCGCTTGATCTATTTGGCTATTGATACTTGTGTATGCTTCACGAAGTTCTCGTGCTATGTTTTTCAGCTCCATCTGGTCACTTATGTCCTTCTCTAAACTGATCATTCTTGTTAGCAATTCCTCTAACCCTTTTTCAAGATTCTTTGCTTCCTTGCATTGGGTTAAAACATGCTCCTTTAGCTCAGAGGAGTTTGTTATTACTCACCTTCTGAAGCCTACTTCTGTCAATTCATCAAACTCATTCTCCGTCCAGTTTTGTTCCCTTTCTGGCAAGGAGTTGTGATCCTTTGGAGGAAAGAGGCACTCTGGTTTTTGGAATTTTCAGCCTTATCTACCTTTGGTCTTTGATGTTGGTGACCTTCAGATGGGGTTTTTGAATGGACATCTTTTTTCTTGATTTTGATGCTATTCTTTTCTGTCTGTTAGTTTTCCTTCTAACCGTCAGGCCCCTCTGTTGCATGTCTACTGGAGTTTGCTGGAGGTCCACTCCAGACCCTATTTGCCTGGGTATCACTGGCAGAGTCTGCAGAACAACAAAGATTGCTGCCTTTTCCTTCCTCTGGAAGCTTCGTCCCAGGGGGACACCTGCCAGATGCCAGCCAGAGCTCTCCTGTATGAGGTGTCTGTTGATGCCTGCTGGGAGGTGTCTCCCAGTCAGGAGGCACGGGGCTCAGGGACCCACTTGAGAAGGTAGTCTGTCCCTTAGCAGAGCTCAAATGCTATGCTGGGAGATCCACTGCTCTCTTCAGAGCTGGCAGGCAGGAACACTTAAGTCTGCTGAAGCTGTGCCCACAGCCGCCCCTTCCCCCAGGTGCTCTGTCCCAGAGAGATGGGAGTTTTATCTATAAGCCCCTGACTGGTGCTGCTGCCTTTCTTTCAGAGATGCCCTGCCCAGGGAGGAGGAATCTAGAGAGGCAGTCTGGCTACAGTGGCTTTGAGGAGCTGCAGTGGGCTCCACCCAGTTGGAACTTCCCAAGGGCTTTGTTTACACTATGAGGGGAAAGCTGCCTACTCAAGCCTCAGTAATGGCAGATGACGCTCTCCCCACCAAGCTCAAGCGTCCCAGGTTGGCTTCAGATGGCTGTGCTGGCAGTGAGAATTTCAAGCCAGTGGATCTTAGCTTGCTGGGTTCTGTGGGGGTGGGATCCAATGAGCTAGACTACTTGGCTCCCTGGCTTCAGCCCCCTTTCCAGGGGAGTGAACAGTTCTGTCTCACTGGTGTTCCAAGTGCCACTGGGGTATGAAAAAAAACTCCTGCACCTTGCTTGGTGTCTTCCCAAATGGCTGTCCAGTTTTGTGTTTGAAACCCAGGGCCCTGGTGGTGTAGGCACCCGAGGGAATCTCCTGGTCTGAGGGTTGCGAAGACCATGGGAAGGGCATACCATCTGGGCTGGAATGCACTGTTCCTCACAAAACGGTCCCTCATGGCTTTTCTTGGCTAGGGGAGGGAGTTCCCCAATCCCTTGCACTTCCTGGGTGAGGCAACGCCCCACCCTGCTTCGGCTTGCCCTCCGAGGGCAGCACTCACTATCTAACCAGTCCCAGTGAGATGAGTCGGGTACCTCAGTTGGAAATGCAGAAATCGGCCACCTTCTGTGTTGATTTCACCGGGAGCTGCAGACAAGAGCTGTTCCTTTTCCGCCATCTTGTCAGTCACCTAATTTTTATATTTTTTGTAGAGATGAGGTTTCATCATGTTGCCCAGGCTGGTCTCAAACTCCTGACCTCAGGTGATACACCTGCCTGGGCCTGCCAAAATGCTAGGATTACAAGCGTGAGCCACCATACCTGGGCGAAAAAATCAATTGAACTTTTCATATACTTGCAATGAGTAATTTGATGTTAAGAGAAGAAAACAACAGCATCAAAAATATGAAATATTTAAGAATAAATTTATCAAAAAAGTACAAAACTTATTCTCTAAAACTACAAAACTGTTTTTTAACTTTTCGGTTCAGGGGCACACCCACAGGTTTGTTATATAGGTAAATTGCATGTCACGGGGTTTGCTGTATAGATTTTTTTTCATCACTTGGATAGTAATCATAGTACCTAATAGGCAATTTTTCAATCCTCGCCCTCCTCCTACCCTCCAGCTTCAAGTAGGCCCCAGTGTCTGTTGTTTCCTTCTTTGTGTCCATGCGTACTCCATGAAAAACTGCAAAATATTGGCAAAAAATTTTTAAATAGAAACACATTGCATGTTCATTGATTAGAATACTTAATATTGTTCAGATGGCAATACTTCCCAATCAGTCCACAGATTCAACAGAATCCCCATAAAATCATAGCTGGATTTTTGCATAAATGGATAAACTGATCCTAAGATTCATATGGATATTTAAAGGATCAAGAAAAGCCAAGCTAATATTGGAAAGAAAGAATAAAGTTGAAGAATTCTTGCTTCTGAATTTCAAAATTTGCCACAAAACTACAGTAATAAAGAAAATGTAGTGCTGGCATCAGTTTAGACATATAATTCAATGGAATAAAATTGAGCATACAGAAATAATTGTGCATTTATGCACAACTGATGCTTGACAAAGGTGCCAAGAAAATTCAATGGGAAAAGAATAGTCTTTTCAACAATTGGTGCTGGGACAATTGGATATTCATATGTGAAAGAATGAAATTAAACTTACTCTTTACCACACCACACACTAAAATTTACTCAAAATGGATCACTGATCTAAACGTAGTAGCTAAAAATAATTTTTAAAAAAACTTTTAAAAGAAAACATTGGCATAAATTTTTGTGACCTCGAGTTAGGCAAAGCACAAGTGACATCTAGATATGACAACAAAACTTCAAATGACAAAAAAAAAGACAAATTGAACTTCATCAAAAACTTTTGTGCTTCAAAGGATACTATCAAGAATGTGAAAAGTCCACCCCAAAATGGAAGCAAATATTTGTAAATTACATATCTGATAAGGGACTTGTATGTAGAATATAAGAGAAACTCATGTCTCAATATTGTAAAGACAAATAAGCCAACTTTAAAAATGGCAAGAAATCAGAATAGATATTTATCTGAAGAAAATATACAAATTGCCAATAAGCACATGAAAAGATGTTCAACACCATTAGTCATTAGTAAAATGTAAATCAAAACCACAATGAGGTAACACATCCAGTAGGACAGTCATGATTTAGAAAAAAATAAAAGGAAAATAGCAAGTGTTGACAAGGATATTGGGAAATTGGAACCTTCATATATTGCTGGCGGGAATATATATACTAGTGAAGCTGCTATGGAAGATAGTTTGGTGGTTATTGAAAAACTTGAACACAGAATTAACATATTCTGTTAATGTTTTAACATATTCTCTTAAGCTATTTTACTTTTCGATATATATCCAAAAGAAATAAAAACAGATGTTCAAGCAAATATGTTTACCAGAATGCTCATAGTAGCAGTATTCATAATACACAAAAACTGGAAAGAACCCAAATGTTCATCAACTAATGAGTGGATAACCAAATATGGTATATCCATACAATAAAATATTATTCAGCCATAAAAAGAAATGAACTACGGATTTGTGCTATAACGTGGATGAACCTTTAAAACATTATGCTATGTGAAAGAAGCCAAAGATAAAAGGCCAAATATTTTATGATTACATTTATAAGAAATGTCTGGAATAAGCAAATCTATAGAGACAGAAATTGGATTACTGGTGCCAGGGATTGGATGGAGGGGGCAGTAAGGAGTGACTACTTAAGGAGGACAGGTTTTCTTTTGGGGGCTATGAAAATGTTCTAAAATTGATTTTGGTGATGGTTGTGATACGGGAGCGGGGCAGGGAAGTGCTGGGTGGAGAAGGATGGGTCCCTGACGAGGGCTCTACCCTCAAGCCTGTGTCCACGGACCTCGGTGAGGACAGGCATTTCTGTTTTTGTGCCCAAATGTTGCATTTCGCAAGATCACCCTGGTCCGCCATGCCCCCATCCGGTGCCTATAAAAACCCCGAGACCCTAGCGAGCACACACACAAGTGCCTGGATGTCGAGAGGAATGCACTGATGTCAGAGCACACCAACAGGCACCAGCAGATGCCGGAACAATGTGGAGTTTGGCCAGAGTGCTCAAAGGAGAGCCCGGCCGCTGAGCAGCCCCACTCCAGGGAAAAAACCACCTCCCACTCCATCTCCCTTCTGTCTCCTGCTACGAGCTACTTACACTCAATAAAACCTTGCACTCATTCTCCAAGCCCACGTGTGATCCAATTCTTCTGGTACACCAAGGCAAGAAATCCCGGGATACAGAAAGCACCCTGCCCTTGTGGTAAGGCAGGGAGTCTAATAGAGCTGATTAACACAAGCCACCTACAGGCGGCAAAACTAAAAGAGCAACCTGTAACACACGCTCACTGGGGCTTCAGCAGCTGTAAACCCTCACCCCTAGACACTGCCGTGGTGTCAGAGCTCATGCTCCCCGCAACCTGCCCATCTGCCTGCACCCTCTAAGGGTTTTGAACAGCTGGGCACCAAAGAAAAGAGCCACACCCCCATTGCATGCCCTGGGAGCAGGACAAGGGAACTTTTCCCACTTCAGTTGCACTACTCTGAATATGCTAAAAACCATTGTACTGTTCACTCTGATTGGGTGAATTGTAATGGTATGTGTATTTTATCTCAATAAAGCTGTTACTCTCCCCTCCAAAAAAGAAGGGAGGGAGGGAGGGAGGGAGAGGGAGAAAAAGGAAAAGAAAGAAGGAATGAAGAGAAAAGAGTTATTACAAGTTTTTCTTTTGGCTGGTGTCTGAGACTTGACTGGTAAAAAGTTTCTTACACTGATTTTTTTTCTTTTTTAAAATCCTCAAATGAGAAGCATGGCTCACTATGCCTAGACTGTTAGTGCAAATGCTAGGAGTTCCTTTTGATGGTCTGGAATTTTAGCACATGCTAGGCAGAAACTACCTAAATGATGAGACTCCAGTAAAAATCTGGGCACCAAGTCTGTAGCCAATTTTTCCTTGGGCAGAAACATCCCACACAAATTACTACATTTCCATTGCTGGTGGAAGTGCTCTCTGTGAGTGTTCGTGGGAGAAAGAATAAGGAAACCTGCACCCTTCTTCCTCCAGACTCCTCTTCTGCCTATTTTCCTTATGATCTGGCTGTGTAACTATAACACATCACTTTCAAAATTTTTAGCTGTGAGGAAAACAATATGCTAAGTTCCACGAGTCCTTCTTGTGATTCAGGGAACATGGAAGTGGTCTTGGGGACCCTGGACACAGCAGTGACTGTGGCGGGATTCACTAGAGCGACCCCTAACTTACTGAAATATAACTACAGAGCTATTTGAAAAAAAGTGTGGGAGGGTGATGACAAAACGTTTGTTCCTGGGTGGCTATGGAGTCATGCAAGGTATGAAATAGCAGCTAAGTTGCTGTCTTTGCTGAGAGGCAAAAGTTACCTGTGAAATTTCAAAATGATAGATCCAACCTCAGGCAAACTGGCTCCCCTGGATCCCCTACCTGCTTTCGGCCTTGCTAGATAAAGTGATGACAAAAACACAGATGGGGTGATGCCTTTGGTTTTTGTTCTTTCTTCCAGGTGGGAGTTTAAAAGACCCAAACATTCCCCAAAATGGGCTTTTTTTGGGGAGAAAAGTTAATAAACATTAGTTTGTAGTTTTCTTCTCCAGGTGGCAGGAGAAATGATCTGAAAACTCCTATAGGCGGGCATTGAGTAAACCAAGAATGCTAAAGATCTTCATTGCCCTTTTCTCCAAGTGGTATGAAAAAAGGTTAAGTTAGTTCACACGGCTGGAGCAATGCACTGGAGAAATCAGGAGAAAAAAAAAAAAAAAACGATCAAAAAAGAAACCACTCTAGCCTAGCTGCTACCACAGCTGCTGCACCCCTTCTCTCCTTCCCCATAACCTTCATCTTTTAATTGCTAAATTTACTGCTAGCTGTTTGAATAAACATGCAGTGAGATAAAAGGCAGGTAATGATTTTTAAGAATGGCTTTGTATTTTGTGGCTATGATTCTGGATGCATGAGAAAAACTGATGTAACATGTTATATGATTGCAATTTCATAAATGCTAACGGGAAAGCTGTACACACAAAAATTTAGTGGGATACAATGTCCTTGCTTTCTACTGCTGGCAGGTGCAATGGAATTTAAATTATTTGAGTATTGAAAAGAAAACAGTTCTCCATAAGTGATGATTTGTACTACGATTTTTTGTATATAGGAGCATCTGCAAAAAGGGAGAAAAGATAAGAGAGATAATCTTCACATGAAGATACACATTTGGAACTTTAAAAAGTACTTTTTGGTTTGCTAATGTGCTCTTATTAAACAGGAGGTCTGACCCCTGTGGCTGATGATTTTCCAGCCTGTTGTGCATATTTTAAAGGGAGTCAATTGGCCTGTAAGACTGATAATAGCAGGGCGCGGTGGTGCACGCCTGTAATCCCAGCACTTTGGGAGGCCAAGGAGGGCGGATCACTAGGTCAGGAGTTCGAGACAAGCCTGGCCAATATGGTAAAATCCTGTCTCTACTACAAATACAAAAATTAGCCGGGTGTGGTGGCAGGCGCCTGCAGTCCCAGCTACTTGGGAGGCTGAGGCAGAAGAATTGCTTGAACCCGGGAGGCAGAGGTTGCAGTGAGCTGAGATCGCACCACTACACTCCAGCCTGGGTGACAGAGTGAGACTCCATCTCAAAAAAAAAAAAAAAGACTGATAAGATAAAGTCGTCTTAGGAAAGACTTGCTTTGTTTCTTGCACTTGGAACACAGCTGTCTGGCCCTACAGTGTCTAGGCTCTGCTGTTGCTGAAGAAAACCACTGGCTTTTTGGAATCCTGGGTTCTCAGATCTTAATTTCCTGAATCTGACTCAAAACTGCAACCTCTTACTGTCGGCTGGAGGGTGTTTCAAACTCAGAGCTTTGCTAAGCTGAAAGCAGAGACTCAATGAACAGAACTCAGATGCTTGGACTTTTACAGATTTAGGAACCTCACGCCATGTGAGACCATAAACTGTGACAACATCATGGGTGGTGGCTGGACCCTCTGGGTCATGTGCAGGTGCCCTATCGAAAGGTCTTGTTCTCTGATGTGACCACCTATTAACAAAACTGAGCTGCTCATAGGCTCTGACACAGACTAACTGCGTTTCTAAGTTGTGATTTTTGAAAAGCTGTAATTTGGGGGAGGACACATTACCAACATGGTGGCCGCTCCATCCACTCCTAACAGATTGGACTTTTAGCTCATCTCAGGATGCCTTGCTGCTATTGACTCGTGTTCTTCAGCTTTCTGAATTTGTTGCAGTTGGCATCACGGACCAAGAGCCTGATGCTACTTCTCCCACCTTTCTCCTGATATACATAACCTAGTAAGACAGTTTGATTTTTTTTTTTTTTTTTTTTTTTTGAGATGGAGTCTTGCTCTGTCACCCAGGCTGGAATGCAGTGGTGTGATCTCAGCTCACTGCAACCTCCGCCTCCCAGGTTCAAGCAATTCTCCTGTATCAGCCTCCTGAGTAGCTGGAACTACGGGTGCCTGCCACCACACCCAGCTAATTTTTTGTATTTTTAATAGAGACAGGTTTCACCATATTGGTCAGGCTGGTCTCAAACTCCTGACCTCAGGTGATCCACCTGCCTCGGCATCCCAAAGTGCTGGGATTACAGAGGTGAGCCACCGCACCCGGCTGACAGTTTGATAATTAACTGCAGTTATCCCCCAAAATTAACTGATCTTTTATCAGCTACTCACTGAACAGATGATCAGAACAAACTAGATTGGGTGGGAAAAGGATTAGATACACTCATTTTGAAAGACAAAATTAGAAATTCAAAATTGAATCCTATTTCCTAACAGGATGTGTCATTTCAGTTAGGTTGTATAAAATGCTTTTCTATAAAAGTGGTTTTGTCTTTCTTGCATACAACCTTTCCAGATGAAATGTGAGATTTTTGCAAGGTTTTTTAGAAATGTAAGCTATGAATATGGAATGGAACACAGTGATTTTATCACAACAGAGGCAAAATAAAAACCCAGCATCTAGGGAGTTATGGGGAAGCGGTAAGGGCATTAATGATATTTGTTTTTCAAAACTGCTCCTAAAGGCTTTCCCCTACTCCCAAAGAAAAACTTCTTGCTTCCCTTCCAAACTGCTCCAAGCGCTTTGAATTCAAAATGACTGCTGAACCAACGATTGTCACATCTGCCAGTGCTCACTGAGACAACAGACAGTGGCTTCAGCTCCTGAACTTTCCACATAGAAAACCTCCAGCTGTAGGCCACACCCATTAGTGCAGTAGACTGGTGTCATGAACAAGGAAAACTATTTGAAACAGACCGCCTCAGTCCATTTTTTACTGCTAGAACAAAAACTCCTGAGACTGGGTAATTAATTAATATAAAGAAGAGACATTTATTTTCTCACATTTCTGGAGGCTAGAAAGTCCAAGATCAAGGCACCAGCACTTTCGTTTGTCTGGTAAGGACTGTTCTCTGCTTCTAAGATGGTGCCTTGTTGATGCCCCCTCCAGAGAGGAGGAATGCTGTGTCCTCCCAGGGCAGAAGGCAGAAGGACAGCCTAGTTTAATACTGCATGAAGCCTCTTTTATAAGGGCCTTAACCTCGGGGAGAGGAGGAGCCCTCATGACCTAACCACCTCTGAAAAGCCTGACTTATTAACATTATCACATCAGAAGCACCTGAATTTGGGAAGGGGACACATTCAAACCATAGCACTGCCTTTTAGGCAGTCTTTATGAAACTAAGGTCTGAAGTGTTTTGGACTGAATTACAAACCTTAGAGCAGAAGGCCCCATAGTAAAGGGGCCACAGGACCCTGTTAACCTGTGCTGCCTGACTAATGTATGTCCTGCTTGGGGTGATCAACCAGTGCAATCTCTTTGTTTCCAGGAGTATCACGTGTGTCCTCTGGGATTGTACTTTTGTGTGCACCCTGACTATCATGACACTGCCTCAGCGCTGGATACCTACCAGACTTGTGCTATGCCAGAATGGATGACTCAGGCGAAGTAAAAAAGGTTCATACAGAAACGTACGGATGAAGCCACTTGGCTTTCTAAGATAAATCTTTATGGTTAATGGGATTTGTTTTAACTAGCTAAATTTAGGACACCTGGAAGAAATAACTGGGGCCAACAGAGCAGATTGAATTCATCCTGCTACGTGGAGGGTTATTGATAGTAATTTTGCTGTAAAGATGGACTTGGCCAGGGGCCAAAGGGATAGACTGTGTGAAGAAATGATAACACAGCAGACCTGAAACTGCTTATTGTTAGAAAGGTCTGCTTACAAGATTGGTTCTTGGCTGATGTCTGGAAATTTGGCTTGTGAACAATCCCCTACACTGATAGAAGGCCTTCCCTAAGTGAGAAGAGTGGCTCATTGTGCCTAAACTGTTTGTACAAACAAAGTGGTTTATGCTAAACACCCACTCTCATTCTGGAAGTCAAGAATTTTTGTACGTGCTAAGCGGAGTGTGCTTGTGTAACCAGCCCCCAGTTAAAACCTTGGGCACTGAGTCTGTAATGAGCTTTCCTGGTAGACAACACTTCATGCATGTTATTCCAACTCACTCATTGCTGGAGGAATTATGTGGGTCTTGTGCAACTCCACTGGGAAAAGACTCTTGTGAGCTTGGGTCTGCTTTTCTTTGGACTTCACCCTTTGTGTCTTTTTTCTTTGCTGAATTTGCTTTATATCCTTTCACTGTAATACACCATAACCATAGATATAAAGACTTCCGAGTCCTGTGAGTCTATGTAGGGGCTCACTGAGCCTGGGAGTAGTTTTGGGGAGCACTGACAAAATAAGCAAATACAATTATTCTTCCCACTTTTATAGATGAAAAAAATGAAGGCTCAGCTCTACTTCCATTGTCAAGAGATCAGAGGTTTGGAGTTGGTACATGAACTCACATCTGACTCAATAAAGCCTGTGTAGTTTTCACTACACCCAAATGCCTTATTGTTCCTAGAGATGTCAAACCCTTCATATCAAGTTACCTTTAACAACATAATGACAATTGGACATTATTGTACATCTTTTCTCTTGCCCTATTTCCACTATTTAAATGCTAAACCTTTCTATATTCATCTTTCTCTTTCTGGAGGTAAGAAAACCAATTATGAAGACCTACAGAAGTAGGCTTATGATTAGACAAACAAACAAAAAAAAAGGAAATGAATGTTCTCTGAGTACCATATGCCAAGACACTAATCACAATAAGTGTCTTTAGAGTGTAAACTATGTTTTCTGTTTTACAACTTGAGAAACTGAGATTAAGAAAAAATAATTAAACTACCTGAGGTCATTACTGGCGGGTAAGTAGTGGAACCAGAACTTACGTCTATATCTGTGTGACTTCAATGCCCGTGCTCTTCACCACTATGCTCAGTTGCTACTTTGGACCCAATAGCTAAATGTAAACTACAATGACACGCTACTTTTGGCCTACCAAATTTGCAAATTTATGATCCCAGTAGCTGTCAGTCTTGGCCAGGGAGCAGTGAAAGGGCCATATTCACCAACCACTCGAAGAAAATGCTATTGCTACAAGTGTTCTGGAAGACAATTTATCGATATGGTAATCCTGTTTAATCAAGTAATTCTACACATGAGAAAATATCAGACATGTGCACATGGATTTGTAGACAGGATTATTGATCAAAATATTTGTCTCAATGAAAATCAGAATATGTTTAAAGGGCAATCAATAATGGGTTGGTTAAAATAAATTGTAGCGAGCCAGGCGCGGTGGCTCACGCCTGTAATGCCAGCACTTTGGGTGGCTGAGGCAGGTGGATTGCCTGAGGTCAGGAGTGCAAGACCAGCCTGGCCAACATAGTGAAACCCCTTCTCTACTAAAAATACAAAAAATTAGCTGGGCATGGTGGCGGGTGCCTGTAACCCCAGCTACTAGAGAGGCAGAGGCAGGAGAATCACTTGAACCCGGGAGGCGGGGGTTGCGGTGAGCCGAGATCGCACCATCGCACTCCTGCCTGGGCAACAAAAGCAAAACTCTGTCTCTAAATAAATAAATAAATAAATAAATGCACATACACACAAGGTAATGATCTGCAGCCATTAAAAATAACAATTGTTTTCAGGTATTTATTTTTAATTTTTATATTATTAATATATATGCTTTAAAAATCAAAATGATGTGGAAAGGCACACATTGGAAAGTCTTATACTCATGCTCTTCCATTTTATATGTATATATGTAATCTATCTTAATGTAACCACTCCCATGCAAATAACCCCTTTTAAGTTTCTTTTGAATCTTTTTTCATGTTTGTTTATACAAATTAATCCAAATATATATGTACATTATATTTCATATTTCCTTCTTTCTTACACAAAAGGGAGAAAAGTATCTATATTGTTTTGTCCTTGCTTCATTTTGCTTTGTTTTTACTTGACAAAAATATCCAGGAGATTTTTCTGGTAAATAGAGAGCTTCCTCAGTTTCTCAAAGCTTCATAGTATTCATTGATGTTTACTTGTGTTGTTTTCAGTCTTTTACTATTGTAAAAATGTTTCAAGGAATAATCTTGAATATACTTCATTTTGTATGTGTGCAAGTGAAGTAGCCAGATAAATTCCCAGAAGTGAGATAATTGCTCAAAAGCTAAATATATTTGTAACTTTAATAGACATTACCAAATTTTCCCCCATAGGGATTCTACCATTTTGTCATCCAACTAATAATTTATGAGAATGCCTGTTGTAATTTATTTTTATTTTTATTTTTTTGCCAAACTGCGAGGTAAAACTACCTTAGGTAGTTTTATTTTGCATTTCTCTTACTGAGTGTGGTTTGGCATATTTTCATATGTTTAAGAGTCATTTGTGGAGTTCTTGTTGTGTGTGTGTCCTTCGTATTAGTCAAGGTGCCCCAGAGAAACAGAACCAATAGGGTGTGTGTGTGTGTGTGTGTGTGTGTGTGTGTGTGTGTGTAGATAGGAATTTATTTTAATGAATTGTTTTACTTGATTTGTGGGGTCTGGCAACTCTGAAATCTTCAGAGCAGGCCAATGGAGTGGAGACTCAGAGAAGAGCTGATGTTGCACCTCAAGTCAGAAGTTATTCTGGAGTCAGAGTTTCTCTTCCTCAGGGGTCCTCAGACTTTTTTTCTATTAAGGCCTTCAACTGACTGGATGAGGGCCACCCATCTTATGGAGGGTAATCTGCTTACTCAAAGTCTACTGATTTAAATGTTAATATCTTCTAAAAAGTACCTTCAGAGAGACATCTAGACTAGATGTTTGACCAAATAGCTGGGTACCATGGCCTATCCAAGTTGACATATAAAAGTAATCGCCATATGTTTTGTCTATTTTTTTTGAAAACTGGGTTGCTGGTAATGTTTCATTAATTTAAAGGTGCTTTAGATATATCCATAAGAGTAGAATTCTAACTCTAGAAATTCTTTCAGTCTTATCTGAATTACACATTTTCACCAGTTCTTCCTGTTTTTGTGTATTGTGTCTTAGGCCATGCAGATATTTTTGTGGTTTTCTTTTGTTTTTCATTGTATGTGCATGCATTTTGAGTCATAGAATGAAAAGACCTTCGCTAAACCAAGGTTACAAAATAATTTCACTATGTTTTCTTGTAATATTTTATAATTCAAGAAAATAATTTTAAAATATATTTAAATATTTTAAAAATGTTTTATAACTTTATATATATTGTATCATATATATCTCTTAGAAGACATGATACATCCACATATATGTCTACATATATAATATATGATATATGTATGTATCATATACTATCTTAAATAATATAATGCATGCACATACATTTTATAATGTATGTACCTGCATGCATATGTGTATGTGTGTTGGTATAATTTTGACCCATTGTTAGTTTATCCTGGCGTAACGTATGAGGTGTGTGCCTGATGGTTGCTTTCACATGTCAACCTGACTGGGCCCCAGAACACCCAGATATTTGATTAACTGTTATTCTGGGTGTGTCTGTGAGCATGTTTGGGGATGATTTTAACGTTTAAATCGGTAAACTGAGGAAAGTAGATTGCTCTCCCTTTTTTTTTCCTCAGCTTTTGGAGGAACTTAAGATTGCTCTCCCTAATGTAGGTAGCCCACATCCAGTCCACCAAAGGTCTGAATGGAACAAAATGGCTAGGAGGGACTCTACCTGCCTGACAACCTTGAGCCAGGACTTTGGTCTTTTTTCCTGCCCTCAGACTCAAACTGAACATTGAATCTTCTTGCATTTCTAGTCTGCCAATTTTTGGACTGGAACTATATCATAGGTGTTACTGGGTTTCCAGCTTGTCAATTGCAAATCTTGGGTCTTAGCTTCCATAATTGCATGTCTCCCTCTCTCTCTTTCTCTTTCTCTTTCTCTCTCTCTCTATATATATGCTAATTGTTCTGTTTTTCTGGATAATCTTGACTAATGCAGCATGGATTCAACTTTCATTTTCCAGTGACTACACAATCATTCCTCATCATGTACTGAAAAGTTCAATCTTTATTACCACTAATTTAAGAAGCTGCCTGTATCATATGCTGAATTTCCATACATATATAAATGTAAATCTAGAATTTCTACTTCTTTTCCATTGAGGTATATATCTATTCATGAACCTGCGTCATGCTGTTCAAGTTATTAAGGCTTTAAAATAAGATTTTATATTTGAAAAGGATTGTTCTCCAAACTGCCTTTCTTTTTCAGAGATTTTCTCTCTATTCTTGGTTTCATTTTTCATTTGAACTTTAGAATCACCTCTCTAACTCCAAGGTGGAAGAAAATAACTTGCTATTTTTATTACGATTGTAATAGTGACTTATGAAAATTAAAATGTTGAATTTTTTACCTTCTATGACATTTCTTTCAATTTTGTTCATGTCTGCTTTTATATCCTTTGGGGGTGTTTTACAGTGAATTTTCTTCAAAAACTTTTAGTCTCTCTCATTTTCTTAGGTAAAGTATCTTCTTTGTAATTGTAAACTAGTCTATTCTTCTGTTTATATATTCTAAGTGAAGGCTTTTGATTTATTTACTTTAATTTTATTTATTTATATTACTGTTTATAGTAGTTATTCAATAGGTTATCTTTGGTTTTTCAAGTATAAACATTGTATGTAAACATACAATTTTATAATGGTGATAATTTCACCTTTTCGTTTCTGTGTTTTATAGTTCTGATTATCTTTACCAGTTGGATTTAGCTGCATTGGGTAATGACTTCTGTATAATGTTCAATAGTGATTGTACTAGTGGACATCCTGGCCGTATTTTTTAGTGAGAATTCCTTCAGCGTGTTCTCATTAAAAATGAAGCTTGCCTTTTCAACTCTGATTATATAAAATAACAGTAAGGAAGTAACCATCAATTCCTATTTTATAGAGCTTTATTTTTTAATCAAGAATTGTATTGGCCGAGCGCGGTGGCTCACACCCGTAATCCCAGCACTTTGGGAAGCAGAGGCAGGTGGATTGCCTGAGGTCAGGAGTTCAAGACCAGCCTGGCCAATATGGTGAAACCCCGTCTCTACTACAAATACAAAAATTAGCTGGTTGTGGTGGGCGCCTGTAATCCCAGCTGCTTGGGAGGCTGAGGCAGAAGAATTGCTTGAACCCGGGAGGCAAAGGTTGCAGTGAGCCGAGATCACGCCACTGCACTCCAGCCTGGGCGACAAGAGTGAAACTCCGTCTCAAAAAAAAAAAAGAAGAATTGTATTGAATTTTGTTAAGTGCTTTTTCGTCTTTTATGGAAATGACTACATAATCTTTTCTCTGTTTAAACTTATTGATATGATTAAATATATTCACATATTTATTAATATAAAATGTTATTTCCATTACTGGAATAAAACAAACTTGGTCATAATATAGTATTTTTTAAATGTGCTGCTGGATTCTGTTTGCTAACAGTTTATTTAGGATTTTACATGAATATTTGGTCTGTAGTTTTAGTGTTCAATCTTGGTCCTGTTCTGGAATCAATTTCATAGTAAATTCATTAAAAAGTAGAAATGTAACTTAGTTTGTTACATTCTGGATGAGTTACAGATATCTGGTTGAATTTTCCTGTGAAACCCTCTAAGTCTGGTACTTTTATTAGAGAGGATTTCTTTAAGAACCTTCTCTGTCTTTTATTTTTTGTTGTTGTTTGTTTGCTTTAAATGAAACTATTCTGAGATTACTTTGGGTACATTTTATTTTGGGGGGAGAATTTATCCATTTCATCCAAGTTTTCAATTGTATTTGCATGTACTTGTGGAAAGAAATCTATTCATGATTTTCTTTAATTTCCTCTTTTTCTATTATTGTTACCCCCTTATTATTCCTTATTTCTGCATTTTTGTTTTTTCCTTTTTTCTTATTGAGGCAAGCTTGTCTAGTGGTAATTGGTCATTGATTTTTTTCCAAGAACCAGGTTTTGTTTTTTCATGGATTAATTCTATTGTTTTTCCTGTTTTAGCATTTATTAATTACCTCTTCTGATATTTTTCTTTCTTTTTTTTGACTTTATTTTGTTGATTTTATTTTAATTTTTAGAACTATCTTTTCATTCTTTCTCCTTTATTGTTATATAGTATTTAAAGCACTGAATTTTTCTCCAATCATTATTTGAGCTGTATTGCATAGATTCTTAAATATAGTGTTTCTGTTTCACTCTTTTTTCAAAATGCGATACTTTTTGTTTGTACTTCTGTTGAAAAATTAATTTTATGAGAGGAGGTGTGTGTGTTTTAATTTATAGATGAAAAGGTCTTTTATTTTCTGACTTTGTTTTTAATTTCTAACTTTATGGTGTCATAAGAGAATATCTGTATCATTTATATCCTTTAAGAATGTATTTATGATATCTTAGTGAGCAAATAGGGGGTCCATGTGAATTGCCCATTTGGGGGTGATTATAAATATGAGACTGGGCGCAGTGGCTCACACCTATAATTCCAGCACTTTGGGAGACCAAGGCAGGAGTATCACTTGAGGTCAGGAGTTGGAGACCAGCCTGGCCAACATGGTGAAACCCCGTCTCTACTAAAAATACAAAAATTAGCCAGGCATGGTAGCTCACGCCAGTAATCCCATCACGTTGGGAGGGCTAGGTGGGCGGATCATGAGGTCAGGAGATTGAGACCATCCTGGCTAACACGATGAAACCCCATCTCTACTAAAAATACAAAAAATTAGCCAGGCGTGGTGGCACGTGCCTGTAGTCCCAGCTACTCGGGAGGCTGAGGCAAGAGAATCGGTTGAACCTGGGAGGTGGAGGTTGCAGTGAGCCGAGATCGCGTCACTGCACTCCAGCCTGGGCTACAGAGCGAGACTATGTCTCAAAAAAAAGAGTCATTCTATATTGTAGAACCACTGAGTTAAGTACATGTCTATCACATCTGCTTCATTAATTACGTCATTTGAGTCTCTTATATCCTTACTTGTCTACTCACCCTGTCTTGGAATTTGACAAATTAATGTCTTTTATTATTAGTGTATTTCTTGTCATCCCCTCTTTCTTTTAAAATGTATTTTTACTGATAAGTTTTCAGATCTGCCACCATGAAAACCCCCTTATGCTTCTTTCTTCCCTGCAACTCCTGTTTTGGCTTCTTATGGGCTCCCAATATAACCCTGCTGGTTTCGGCTGCTTTTTGCAGAATTTACACGTACTTTAGACTTCACAATTTTTTTCTTCTCTTTCCCAGTTTCATGAAAATATGGTTTAGAAGTTTTTCTTTCGTTCTCCTTGTTGCTTTGTCTTGTTTCAAGGAGAAGAATTGCGGGGACATTAGCATATTTTAAGAATAAGAATCCTATATCTGATCATTATCATTTAACAGATTGGAAAACTAAGGCTCAGAGAAATTAACAATTTGCCCAACACTATGTAGCCATATTGCACCTGTGGATTAGGACTTTGGCTAATATGTAGTCTATATATTTCTTTTTACCTTATAGCTTCCCATACAGACCACTCTTACGACCACCCAAGTTTTGAGTTAGACCTAAAATACGCCTTATTGATTTTTTTTTTTCTTTTGGTCCAGTGGGTGACATTGGAACACTTCCTTCATTTTGATTCAAGATTTGAGCCTGTTTTAATCTACATGCCTTTTGGCAGTCACTAGGAAGTCTACTTCAGGCACTTCGTACTTCATATTTTCTCTTGAGTTTTCAGTATTACCTGACTTGGGCTAAATAAATCTTGCAGTTACTTTGTGAATTTGGGATGTTTTTCCATGTTTCTTTCTGATGAATTGCACAACTCAGCATCCCCAAAGTGCCTGATTATAAAGCTAGTTTTCTGTTTAGATGGTGCTGAGATAGAAGCCAGGAAACAAAGAATGATAGGAACTTGTTTGTCAATACAGCTGGAGATTCTGGAAAAGAATCTAAAGCTAAAGCTGAGGTCCTCTTTGAAAACTTTGTCCCACACTCAGAAAATGAACTGGGCCGTATTTTGAAACATTGAAATATGGTTATATCAGTAATGAAGTTAGTATCTTCTCATCAGAAGTACCATGAGAATTCTTCCTTAATTTCAATTATTGGGTGTTAGTTTCACAATATAATTTTAAAGTGACAAATTTTTAAGAGCAATAATCTCATTTTGGGGAGATACAAATGCTTATCTAATTTAATTCTGCTGCCTTGTGAACTTTCTTAATGAAATTGCATATGTCTAATCAGAGAGAAAATGTGAGAGTGAAAGTATCAGTATATAAAGTTAATTAATATCACATAATTTCACCTAGAAATGGTGACAGTAAACTCTGAATATCAAAGAAACTAAAGACCATTTATGTTATTCATGAAAAAGATAATCTTTTTTCCTAACTTGGTAAGTAAGAGTAACAAATGACTACTTAAGGCAGGCTATGTATTGGGAGGAAAATGGTTTTCTTGGCCTTTCAATGTTTATTGTGGAAAATTTCTTTGATCTAGATTCCATTCCAGAGCTAATAACACAGATTGCAGGGTTTCTGTGTCATGCATTGGCACAGAATGACTAAGTCTTCTTAGTCTCAATAACTTTTTAGGCTTACCATTGGAAGCCAGCTCCCTAGTTTCATATATCTTAATTCTAGAAAATTCTACGGTAAGTTGAATTTTCAACTTTCAGTCTTAAACCTATGAATCACTTGCGTAAAAAATAAGGAATTACATGTGCAGGAGAACAGAAATTGAATCTTTTCTGGCAACTGTTGATTATCTTCATTGTCAAGCTGAGAACTTTAGAAAATATATTCCTTCAACACATTTTAGGAGGAATATATACTTCCAAATCCCAGCTCTGCCACTTACTGGCTATGATCTTGAACAACTTATTTCACCTCTCTGTACTTCATTTTCCTCCTCTATATACTTGTGACTGGTGATAACTGTATCTTTCTAGAGTTATTTTGAGGATTAAATAACCTAGTATTTAGAAAGCATTGGCAATTAAGAGCCTAATGACTAATTTCTCTTCTTTTCATTCTCTTTTAATTTCTTCTCTCCTTCATTATCTTGTGCCCAATACTGACTCTGTTGCTGCACATAATATTCATTCATTATCACACACCAACACCACCATGTGACCATCTCCTCTGCTCTTGGCCTCTCATGTCTGTCCCTTCTCAATAGATTGTATTTCTTATGTATCATTGCCATATATCACTGCAGGGGGCTGAAAATTAGATGGAAAAACAAATTCAAAACAAGTAGTTAATGAAGATTAACAACTTGGTATATGACATCATGCAGCTATGATTTACATTTCAGCAGATGCCTTCAAGAAATTCACCAAGGAAAAGACTAATGATGAGTCTTTTCAAGCATTATGGCTAGCTGCTAAGGAAAATCTTTCGGGCCAAAGCATTTTTTAAACCCATTTTAATGAGGTATAATTTACAAACAATAAAAATCACCAATTTTAAGTACATAATACAATGAGTAATAACAAGTATATAGTCATAGAGCCATCACTGCAATCAAGATGTAGAACATTCCACCACCACAAAATGTTTCTTCTGTCTTCTTTTCAATCAACCCCTTCCTTCCATACCTAGACCCTAGTAACCAATGATCTGCTTTCTGTCACTATAGTTTTGCCTTTTCTAGAATTTCTTCTAATGGGTATCATACATTATGCAGTGTTTTGTGTCCAATTTACTTGACTTAGCATAATGTGTTTAAGATTTCATCTGTGTTGCTGAATATATCAGCAGTTCATTTCTTTTTACTGTGAAATAGTATCTAGTATTGCATTGAATACATATCTCACAATTTGTTTATTTAATCACTACTTGATGGGTATTTGGGTTTCTTCCAGTTTGGGGCTATTATGATTAATGTGTGTATGAACATTCATGCATAAGCCTTTTGTATAAAAATTTGTCATTTTTCTTGGACAAATTCTTAGGTGTGGAATTGCTGTTTTGTATGGCAAGTTTATATTTAACTTTATAAGAAACTGCCAAATTATTTTCTAAAGTGGCTGTATAATTTTGTATTCCCACCAGCAATGTATGACACTTCTAATTGCTCTGTATCTTCATCAGTACTTACTTTGGTCACCTTCTTAATTTTAGATATTCTGATAGGTGTATAGTTCTATCTCATTGTGATTTTTATTTGCATTGCCCATTTGACTAATGATATCAAACATATTTCCCATGAGTTTATTTTCCATCTGAATATCTCTTTTGGTAAAGTGTCTGTTCAAATCTTTGAAGTAAAGGCATTTTTTAGTATTTGCTAACTCTGCATACAGGCTATGTTTAACCAGTCCTTGATACCACATGTATTATCCCAGTTCTTTGAACTCTTCCTCAATATTTAGTATAATGTGAGTTTTCTGGGGAAATGGTGAACAATTTAAATCATAAATTTGGGCAAAACCAAATAAATTGGAATTATATACCAAATCTTAGAGAAATAAATAATACAAAAAATAAATAAATAATTGTATAGAGAAAAAAACAAAAATAAACTCTAGATTCCCATCTTAATATTAAATTTACATTGCTATTAAGTTCTTATAATGGTATCCTTTCCAAACAAATGTTCTAGGAAAGAATGGCTGTACAGATAGGTGCATTAGACAGCAATCCTCTTGACGTATATTTGAGGGACTGTGAAAAGTCCTCAACATCAGCTATCTTACCTATTGTTCTCAAATTCCACAAATGAGAGATTAATTTGTTGTCGTCGTTGTTGTTATACAAAGTACTCTAATCAATAGCAATATTTTCTGGGAGGAAAAGATGGGCTCTACTATTTGATAAGCTTCCATTCAAAATTCATCAGATATTTATTGAACATTTAATATGTACAGAGCACTGCACTATGTGCTGGAGATTCAACGATGAAAAAGAGACCAGGTCCATGTTCTCCTATACGATTCCAATCCATCATTTGTTACTAGCTAATTTCTAAGTAAGGGAAGTGATGAGGAGTGAAATAGATGAATGGTGATGTAAAGAAAATGAAATTTCAGGACCCTTTAAATTTATTATGCCAAGGGAGGCATTAACCCTGGAGGCTGAGTCACATGTTTGCAACTTTTGTTTTATAGATTATAGATTAATTCGCTTCTTCATTGTTCTTGTTCTGTAAATGACTAGGAAAGACCAGAGACCAAACTTTCTCCCCTTCCAATCCCTGATTTTTGTTATAGATTAACTCCCTCCTTAATTGTCCTATACCTAACTCAAACTAGATGATGCAAAAGGCCCTAAAATGATTATATCTTCACTGTGGAATGCTAACTATACCTTTCTAGAAAGAAAAGGACCACCTCAACTAGTCAGATATTCTAGCTATGCACTAAGCCTTAGATAGAAAGATATTGAAATTCTGTTAAGCTTCTCTCAACTTTGTCTATATAAATGTTCGCAAACTTCTACATTCCAGGACACTGACGTCCATTCTTTGGAATCTGTGCTTTCTAAGTGGTTATCTCCAAACTTTGCACTTGAATAAACTCTCTTTAAAGTGAATTCTGATGCTTTTGATTAGTTTAGGCTGACAGTGATATATGTAGAAAAGAGATTCAATAGTACGTGTCCAAGGGTGTCAAAGGTAAGCGCTCATCCATTCATTCATTCATTGAAGATTAACTGATTTTGAAGCATTCATTTTGAAGCATCTCCTAATTATAAAGCAACATGAAGGGAAGCTTATTGAAGATTTGATTTGTGATGACAACACATAAGAGCTAGGTAAATGCATCATATAGTCAGTGCACTGAAGATCAATTACGGAATGTTCAGGACCACAGCACTGCACTCACTTTTCCCTTCAAATATATCTTCTACACTGTAGAAGAATGTCACTGCTTCTCTCTAGAAACTTCTATTACTGTTCTATTTTCTTTGAACTGCTTTACAAGGACAAGGCTATAACTTAAGGAAAGGAGGGTGGCCCAAAGGTAAGAAATACCTTAATGTGGCCCCACCAAATTTCACAATGCTCAGTCCACAGCACCTTTAACTACTTCCCATGAAGAGATCAGTTGTGAAATTTATCATGCTCCTTAAAATAATAAAAGGTACCCTTTCCTTCAACTTTTCCACTAAGTTTTCTTTCAGAAAGATTTCTTGTTTTACATAGAGGACCACTTGGCCTTTCCTCTAAGGGAAAAAATCCCTGTAGTTGAAAGAGCAGTGGGATTCTGGATGGGGGATCTGAATGCCAGTCCTAGCACTTTGATGAAACATTCACATGATCTTGGGAAAATTCGTTTTCTTCTCTAGTTTTCAGGTTCCAGATCTTTAAAATGAGGACATTGAACTAAACAGCCTCTTTTGTCACTGAAGGCACACATCCTGAATGCTCACATTTAAAAAAAAAAAATCTGTACTTTAATCGTCCCCACTTAAAATCAATCCATCATCAGCCGGGTGTGGTGCTCATGCCTGTAATACCAGCATTTTGGGAGGCCAAGGAGGGTGGATCACCTGAGGTCAGGAGTTTGAGACCAGCCTGGCCAACATGGTGAAACTGAGTCTCTACTAAAAATTCAAAAATTAGTTGGGCGTGGTGGCACGTGCCTGTAGTCCCAGCTAGTTCGGGGGCTGAGGCAGGAGAATAGCTTGAACCTGGGAGGTGGGGGTTGCAGTGAGCCGAGATGGCGCCACTGCACTCCAGCCTGGGCAACAGAGTGAGACTCCATCTCAAAAAAAAAAAAAAAAAAAAAAAAAAAAAAAAAAAAATCAATCCATCGTCAATGACCTCCTTGTATAGTACCATTTTTAAGGTCTTGAAGAAGATATAAGTAAATCTAAGACTTAGATATTTGTCGAGAGGAAATTATAGTTTATTTGCTATTCAAAGAGATAAACATGTAGGAAATGAGAAAGAGGGAGGAAGATAGCTGAATTACCCAATTTCCTAAGAGCTACTGTACTAGACATATGCATACTCCCTTAACTTCAATGTCTCATATGGACCTACCCTCTTTCTCTAAAAATTGCAATTTTTCTATCTTGGATTCCTTTTATTTTTCTGTTTCCCACAACAGTCTGTGAATACTGGAACTGTGAAAGTAGCCAGATAAAGGTCTAAAGGCAAAACTTCTTATAATTCAAGAACATTAATTATTTCATGAGATTTTATTGAGGAAGCATCAGAAATAAACCATCAGAAGCCTATTCTTAACCAGGTAACCAGGATGCCCATGCGCTTGTGTCCCAACATCCAACTCTGCTTTTTTTTTTTTTAAGTTAGGAATTCAGTCAACCACTTTGGTAGCTCCAGCCTGCTAATCTGTCACATCAAAATTACAAGGTGGTAATTACTATAAGACATATATCCTAGTTATGATGAGGGTACAAAGAAGGGATGGCTTTGTATTCAACTGACTTTTTCAACCATTCTTATCAACTTCTATTGCTTTTTGCAATCCTTTTGCATAGCATCCAGCTTCAGCGGGTCAGTTACAGAACAAAACAGTTTAAATTTTTAAGAGAACACAAAGGAACTTCATATCCACAGGAGAAGGCAATGAATAATAAAGTGAGTTTCAAATGTCAGGCTTACCATCTATTGGCATTGCATGTTGTTTTCTAAATGTACTTTGTATTCAATCTTAAACTGTCTAAATAGGTTAAGAAATGTGCTTTTCATTACATCTTAAAGTACCCTGCTTCTCAGGCAATCTAATTTCTACTTATAATAGAATATCAATTTTCATCTTGAAATTGGAATCTGAAGATTGGTCAACAAATTAAAATGGTTTGTCTTAATTGGCAGTGATTTTTTAAAGCATTTTTTAATTCCATATTTTTATGAAAGACCCATGGGTAAAAATTTTCTGGCAATAGTAGATAAAGAGTCATCTTTTTGCTTTAACATAGGTTTTTCTATTAATTTTATTTAATTCATCAAATATTTTTGAGAATGTACTATTGGAAAAATTCTGTGCTAAACATGCTATTTCACAGAAGGCTTGTTCTTAAGGAGCTTATACACAATCAAAGAAATAGAATTGTAGAACTGCATGACTCTAAAAATCTTATCCGGTCAAATAGCCTAATTTTCCAGATGAGCACATCTAATATTTGGTGAGTACTTTGCCTGTGCCAAGTCATGTTTCAATTTGCCTTAATAAACTCACTTAATCCTCCCAACAACCCTATAAGGTAGGATTATTATCACCATTGTGGCACATGTAAGTAACTTACCTAAGGCCGCTTATGTGGTAAGAGGCAAAGCCAGGATTTCTATCCAGGGAGGATGGACTCATATCCCATACTTCTTAATAAATTGCACTAAAAACTGAATTGAGGAAAACAAAGCCTAAAGAATAGAAAAGACTTACCCAAGATCATGAGCTCTTTAGGGTCAGAGGTAAGATTGAAATTCAAATTTCAAATCTTTCAGTAATCTACCAAGTGTGGTCCATTATTCCATGCTAAATTAATAATTCATGTTCATGCAAAATGGAAAAAGAGCAAACTTAATTTACATGATTGTATTTATTCACTGGAGAAACCAAACATACATAAAAACAGAACTAATGGACAGCATAGGAAATATACTGAGCTGTGTAGTTAGTAGTAGACTTCTTCTTTTTTACTTTTTCTATCAGTATAACTCATTGGTATCTTTTTTTTATATACTTTAAGTTTTAGGGTACATGTGCACAACGTGCAGGTTAGTTACATATGTATACATGTGCCATGTTGCTGTGCTGCACCCATTAACCCATCATTTAGCATTGGGTATATCTCCTAATGCTATCCCTCCCCCTTCCCCCCACCCCACAACAGTCCGCGGTGTGTGATATTCCCCTTCCTGTGTCCATGTGTTCTCATTGTTCAATTCCCACCTATGAGTGAGAACATGCGGTGTTTGGTTTTTGTCCTTGCGTTTGCTGAGAATGACGGTTTCCAGTTTCATCCATGTCTCTACAAAGGACATGAACTCATCATTTTTTATGGCTGCATAGTATTCCATGGTGTATATGTGCCACATTTTCTTAATCCAGTCTATCATTGTTGGACATTTGGGTTGGTTCCAAGTCTTTGCTATTGTGAATAGTGCTGCAATAAACATACGTGTGCATGTGTCTTTATAGCAGCATGATTTATAATCCTTTGGGTATATACCCAGTAATGGGATGGCTGGGTCAAATGGTATTTCTAGTTCTAGATCCCTAATAGTTTGTTACTCATTGGTATCTTTTTAAAGGGGATGAGCATGGCTTCTTAAAGTAACAGCATTCCTGAGTTGGACAAATATAAATGCTGACCATAGCATGATTTTGACAGCAAGGTCTGCAGTGCACAGAGAATGCACTTCGCAAAAGATCCACAAACCAATTCAGACATTAAAAAGCTATGATTGATATGCAAAAAGTTGCACTAATTCTGTACTTACAAATTCAAGTACATCTATAAAATGCAAAATAGAAAGCCATCTTAAGGGGAATGTTTTTAGAAATGTATGTGAATGAAATCAAGAAACTGTCAGAGCACTTCACATCACTTGGTATCTAGATAACTCTTTGGACAATGAAGTATATAAAATCTTTCCTGTTTTAAGAGTCCAAGGCAAAGTAGTTCCAGCTATTGCTCTGTTATGTAGCCAACAGCATAATATGAAGGTTTACTCATTTCAATATATCTGGGATTGACATGCATATTCCATAAATATTTTTTAATGACCCTCATCAAAAAATGTGAAGACCATGTGTTTTTCAAGATCACAATAAATAAAAAGTTGGTGCAGCTAATGCCTTTGGTGTTAAATTACAATATGGTAATGTATGTAGCATTCACAGAGATATAGTCACTTCTTGCTGCAAAGACATGATACAAATGCATTTTGGGAGAGGAGCAATTCACACAAACCAGGAATTAGCATCTACAGCATATGTAATTTTAGGACAAGCTATTAAAAGGAAAGAGTTGTCAGCAGATTCCTCAGGGTATGTTCCAGGAAGATAAAAGCAGGTAGAGGAAAGTTGGAGTAATTTTCTCTTAAAATTTAGGAAGATATTTTTCTCATTTTGGAGGCATGGGGCAAGGGTGAGATGGAAAAGAAAATGAAGAGTTGATAACCTAAGGTGTCCTTAGTCAACTTCCATATGTTCATTAAGCCACTCCAGTAAACTAAATCCTATCAAGTACTAAAAGATAAAAGTAAAGTGTTGGCGCTATGGAAAACATGAGTACTTTGTAAATATTGCAATGACAAAATAGTGCTGCCAATCTGATGAACTTTTGGTGCTCTTGCTGAGGTGAAGGTTTTTGTAGAGTCACTGCTGAAATGCGGTGGCGGATGCTCAAGTGATAATCATTACTTATTAAGGTGTATTCCAAGTAAGAGTCTTCAGTTCAGCATTTTTGTTGGCTCTAGGAGATGCTGCTTTTTTCTGTGATGGTATACTTCAATATTAGCCTGATTATGGACTTAGTAGAGAATGGATTTGCCAAAAGACTTTAAGATGTCCTTCATCATTTCAGTGTATTAGGTAGCAGAAGGAACAAATAGAAATAAAGCAGCAGTACATATAAATATTTCCTTCTTATATAACTCTTCAATTCTTGGGGAATTCACCCCACCTTATACAAGATGTTTGAAGCCTGACATCCTATTTTCCATCCAAAGTCAGGTCTCCCTGGGTTTGTTCACCAAGTTCCTCTTAGAATGTCAAGGAGCTGTTTACTTCCAGTTACATGCTATTTTTCTCAGAGGTGCACGTAGAGCACTGTATCTTATAATGAGCACTTCTTCATATATTGAGTCGCCAGATGTGCAGTGTTCAATTCCATTTACTCAGGCTTATGACTAGTCACTCAACAATAAATATGGAACAGCTATAGTCAATGTTGATGTCCTGCTTTGTCTGCCACTACACATACCAGATTATGTTGTGCTACCAGCCTTGAAGAGCAGCAGATGAACAAGGATTCAAGTCTTGGGAAACACCAAATGTAAGAAGTAAATTGAGCTAGAAAGGGAATCTGAGGAGAAGCACTCAGAGATAGAAGAAGGACCAGAAGAGTAGAGTAAAAAATAGAAGTCAACAAAGACAGCATTAGTCAGAGTGATTTAGAGCAGCCATCTGTAATTATGACAGTTCTTTGAAGTCTCCTGTTGCCCTATATATTTTTGCAATCAGTTGATTGTTTTTTCTGTCCAAAACTCATGTGGAATGTTAATCCCCAATGTGGCAGTATTGAGAGATTGAGCCTTTGAGAGGTGATTGTGTCATAAGGGCTATGCCCTCATGGATGGATTAATCCATTCATGGATTAATGAATTAATAGTCTATCATGAGAGTGGAACTGGTAGCTTTATAAGAAGAGGAAGACAGGCCTGAACTAGCATGCTCAGCCTCCTCACCATTTGATGCCTTGCACCGCCTTGGAGCTCTGCAGAGTCCCCACCAGAAAAAGGCCCTCACCAGATCTGGCTTCTTGACCTTGGACATACCAGTTTTCAGAACTGTAAGAAATATGTTTATATTCTTTAAAAATTGCCCAGTTTCTGGTATTCTGTTATAAGCAAACTAAAATGGACTAAGACAAATTTCATACAAATTTTGTGTCTGACTGCATAACTATTTGTTTTGATAGAAAATAAGTTTCTTGAGTCTGTGCAAAATTGATGAATCTGGAAGATGCATCATGCTTATCCAAGTTTTTACACATCCTCTGGCACACTGACAGGATGAGAACATGAAAGCCACCATTAAACTTGACAATTGAGATGATTTTTAAGAGAATGATGTCAGTAACATGGAGGGACAGACCTAGAATCTAGGGACATTGGCAAAAAAAAATTGTAAAAATCCAGGACATACTGGTTGTTTAAAGAAACTTGTTAGTAAAGTGAAGAAGGAAGTGAGGATGGTGTTTTGAATACGGATCAAAAAAAGATATTCCTAAGAAAGGGAAGGCTTAATCAGGGAGCCTTAACTAAGAATTCATAGTCATTTCACAATTTCTTATTTATAAAACACTTCTCAGTATGGTTTAAAGTATTTCTTAGCTCTATCTCAAAATCCTAAGACAATAATCACAACTCTTGATTAGTTATTTCTAATATAAAGAATGCCAAACACAATCATTTTTAACAATGTGCATATGCTTATCTTCAATGAGTTTAAACATTTTGAAAACAAGAACCTTATCTGAGTTCATGGACCTTGAGATGGAATGAGTTAGGTTAGTATTTTTGGGTGTCTACTATGTTACAAAACCTCTGCTGTGTATTTTACACATATTGTTGGATTGAGTATTCAAAATTAACCTATAATATAGACATTCCTGTACCCATTTTATTTATTTTTAATTTTTACAAATACATTATATGTATATATATTTATGGAGTATATGTTATGTTTTGACACAGGCATACAATATGTAATAATCAGGGTAACTGGCGTATCCATCACTTCAAGAATTTATCATTTATTTGCGTTAGGCATATTCCAATTCCACTCATTTAGTTATTTCAAAATATAAAATAAATATTGTTCACTATAGTCACCATGTTGTGCTATCAAATACTACATCTTATTCATTCTATCTAAATATATTTCTGCACACATTAACCATCCCCACTTCCCCTGGCCCTCCCCACTACCCTTCCTAGTCTCTGGTAACTGTCATTCTACTGTCCTTTTCCATGAGTTTAATTGTTTTAATTTTTGCCTCTTACATATGAATGAGAACAGGTGAAATTTATCTTTCTGTGCCTGGCTTATTTCATTTAACATAATGACCTCCAGTTTCATCCATGCTAAGAAAATGGATGCTTAGAGAGATGAGGCAACAGCATCTGCAAATCCTGACAATGGCTAAGTAAAAAATGTGGCAAAATGTGACACTTCATGCCAGTACCATCTGTCTCCAAAACTTACGTTTTTCCCATGACACCGAGAAAAGATGGTGAAAATCACTCAAGATTCTCTGGAGCCTAATGTGGGAAATGGTTGGATATTTCTTAGCATGTCACTCTATTTAGCAGTAGGAATCTTCTAAGCTATCTTCATACTCTTTTGAAATTTAATTTTAGTATGATATTTGTTGAAATGATTGATTCTCAACTTCTATTTGATCATCAGTTGATATGAGGAAATAGTGTAAAAAAAAAGAGCTACAGTTGATATTAATAGACAATATGGTTTTGCTCTGTGTCCCCACCCAAATTTCACCTTGAATCGTAATAGTCCCCATGTGTCAAGGGCGTGACCAGGTGGAGGTAATAGAAATATGGGGATGGCTTCCCCCGTACTGTTCTCGTAATAGTGAGTGAGTTCTCACGAGATCTGATGGTTTTATAAGGGGCTTCCCCCTTCTCTTGGCTCTCATTCTCTCTCCTGCTGCCTTGTGAAGAGGTGCCTTCTGCCATGACTGTAAGTTTCCTGAGGCCTCCCCAGCCATGTGGAACTGTGAGTCAATTAAACCTCTTTTCTTTATAAATTACCCAGTCTTGGGTATTTCTTCATAGCAGTGTGAGAACAGACTAATACAATGGAGTATAAACTGCATTAGCATCCCTTTCCCATCTCCAGTGAGCACTCTTTTTATATCTGTGAGTCCTATATGTAATTTTCCACTCCCGGTTTAGTCTTTGCCAGACCCTAAGACTGTGAAATACCTCTAAGGTGTCAGATATAGGGAAAATATATAAAACCATGCAGTTTATATTGGTGGTATGAAAATTATGATAACAATGTTAATATCAGTAAAATTGTTATTAAGTACCGTGAAGGAAAATAGTTTGTTATAAAACTGTGTAACATGGGACTCTGCCATAGTTTAGGGGTAGGAGATTCTGAAAAGACTTCCTAGAGGAAGTAATATTTAAGCTATATCTAAAAAATGGAAACTGAGAAGTGAAGTAGGCAGAAAAGTGTGGGTCCATGTTCTGAACAAATGAAATAGTTTAATTTACGGTTCCAAGAGAGCGAAAATTATCACATCAATATATTCTCAACTTACTATAGCACATTGTTACTAAGTATGTTGCATAGGACAGAAGCAACATAAGACCACTTCAGTATCATCTACAGAAATCTTTCTCAGGCTGGCACCTGTACATGAATCCCTACCCATCTTTGTACATCCTAGTTACATCCCACATTATACTCTCATATTTATTTTTATCTTTACAGATAGTCCATCCCCAGTTAGAAACAGTGTCATGAGAAAAATGATCTATGTGCATTCTGAAAATCCAGATAGTCTAGAATATGACATCTCTCCAACTGCCTAGTTAGCAATAGACTAAAAGAAGGTTAGTGGATTTGGCATTGCACAGGCCCAAGCTAGAGCCTTAGTGGACTATTAAGAGCATTACCACCCGGACAGATCATATGACATTAATTTCTCTTTCCTCATGTTTAAAGATCAAAACAATAATACTTGCCTAATGGGGTGTGTGATGAGATTAAATGAGATAAATTATTTAGGGAAATAAATGATATTAATATTAGAACAAACCCTAAAGCCTGTCACGGGGTTTTGTGAGCAAACCAGCCTGACTACTAGTATCCTGTATGTTATTCAGTAAATCACTAAACTTTCCTAATGATCCCAGATATGTCAGCTATTTCTTTTATTAATATGAGTTACAAACTTTTTTTTTTTTGAAATCCTGGGATAATTTATCATAAGAAATAGAAAACAGGAGGCCACTGTGCTCAGGAACTGAAAGTTCTGCCTGAATTATCTTAAGTAATGTATCATTGAAAAGTAGAATATTCTATCAGTAGATATAAGTTGGAAACTATTTCCAAATTCTTGATATAGAGATTTTTTCTTATTTTCTTTTGTCTTTAGTCATATTCCTTATTCAGATTTTCCAGCTTATAGAAGCCAAAGCCAACTTTTCTAATCTCATTAAAGAAGAATAATGAATAAAAATTGAACTGTAAGCTAATGCATGTAGAAGAGATGTGGCCAGGTCATTTGCAAATGGGTAAAGGCTAAGTATGTTCAGGGTCATTGAGACTTTTAAAAATCCATTAAGAAATATTGAAAATGTTCTTTTCAGAGTCAGTTTCATGGGATTTTTTAAATTACCATATTTATCATATATATCATGGTTAATCTTTTATTTAAACTGGAAACAAAAAGAATTTTAGGGTATTAATAATCACCAGAAGCAAATCTTATAGTGAAAGCATCTCTTTGGCTCCACAAACTATTCTAGGTGACTGATTTCAGGGGTTTAGACAGCTAATGAGTTAACTTTGTGAATCCTAAGAAATAAAGTGGTGTTAAGTTTCTGTTACTCAGGCAGAAATTGTTTCCTTTCTAGCCTCCTGAATTAAAGTCAGAGGAAAAGTGGTATGTTCTAGGTGACTATGTAGTTTAAAGGGTTTTTTTTTTTCAAATCTAAAAAGTGTTTACTGAAATGACAAAGAAATAGACTAAGAGCAAGAAGCCTGGTGGCTACTCATAGAATCATTATTTTCTTACACTTCATGTATCCATTTTAAATTCATTAATTAATATTAACAATTAATAACTCTCCCTACAAAACAATGAAATTTTTTCTAGATTTCTCAATGCTAGAAAGAAAAACAAGAATGTCAAAATAGCATAGCAACAAATCATTGAAATACACGTGCCCACTAGCACTAAATATTACTGGACATCAGCTAGATAATAGCTCTTATCCTGTAAAGCTTGTGAATACAAGCGTGATTCAAAAAATCCTGCATCCTTAAATTTAGATCATGAACATATTGGATAAAGACTTTCTATAGACTATTTGGCATTATGCTAATGGCCTTAGCAATATTTACTAACTAAAAAGTAATTTACAGCAAAGCTTTTAGAACAAAGTTCCCTTCTACTCATATCCCTTTTAAATTATTTTTCCAAAATTCATGTTAAAATACAGAACCAGGCTGGGCATGGTGGCCCATACCTGTGGTCCCAGCACCTTGGGAGGCCAAGATTAGGGGAATGGCTTGAGCCCAGGATTTCAAGACCAGCCTGGGCAACAGAGACCTTGGTCCCTACAAAAAATTAAAAAATTAGCTGGGCATGGAGGCTGAGGCAGGAGGATCACTTGAGCCCAGGAGTTTGATTCTGCAGTGAGCTGTGATTGCACCACTGCATTCCAGCCTGGGTGACAAGGTAAAACCCTGTCTTGAAAAGAAAGAAGAAAAAAAGAAAAAAGAAAAGAAAAGAAAGAAAGAAAGGAAAGGAAGAGAGAGAGAAAGCAAGAAAAGAGAGAAAGAAAGAAAAGAACCGTAATAAGTAGTCTAAATAAAGGCTTACCAGGGTCTGAATTTGTCATTGATAGAGATTTCTGAGATAGAGAAACAAAGATCTAGGAGCTTTTTAAAAAGATATCGAAGGCACGTGTAGAACAATACAGTTGGTGACCAAGAATCTTATACTCAACTGTTGTTCTGTGCTAACATATATTCAGGACGGATTCACTTGTTTTTTATTGCGTTTTATTTATCAGGCTTTCCACATGGTTATAATTAGATTTTTAGATTTCTATCTTTTTAAATTAAAAAAATTTAATTATCATAGAAAAACACCACAAATTGTGTGTAATTGGCTAGAGGATTTTGGTATAGTGTTTTATGAAGGTAGCAGAATAATCATGTGTTATGAATGATGTCATTGTTCATTAATCAGTGAAAATTTTGCCCATTAGAGGCATAGTTCCATCCCAGCCTCAGAATAGAGTTCTTAAATGGAGGTAAAACATTATAAACCAAAGAAAAAAAGAGTTGAAAATAATTTTTGCTGACACCTCTGTCAACTAAAACTTGATTCTTCCATATGTGATTTTTGTTCCTCTTAGCATTTTCTCTCAATGCAAACTTAAACGCTGAGTCTCCAAAGACAAAAATGAATGGAATAACTTACTTTAGGAATATTGATTAATTTTAATTCTTTAATCCAGCCAACTTGACTGGATTAAGGAATTAAAATTAATCAATATTCCTAAAGTAAATTCTTCCACATGCTAAGTTCTTATTAGCATGTGACTCTGAGTGGACTAGGTGGGAAAGATCTACCCTTTTCAATCCAGTGGGGACCAGGAGAGAAAAAAAACAGAAGAAACATGGAGTGTAATCTATCTGCTAGAGCTGGAATACACTCTTCCTTTCCTGTCCTTGGACAACACAACTCCAGGCTTTCTGGTCTGTGGACTCCAGGACTTCCACTTGTGCCCCCCGCCCCCCGCCCCAGGTTCTCAGGCCTTCAGCCTCACACTGAGTGTTACACCATCTGCTTCCTTGGTTCTGAGGTTTTTGGGCTTGTACTGGGCCATGCTACCGGCATCCCAGGGTCTCCATTTTGCAGATGACCTGACATGGTACTTTTCAACCTCCATAATTGCATGAGTCAATTTCCCTAATAAATCCCCTGTCATATATCTACATATATATTCTATTAGTTCTGTCTCTCTGGAGAACCTTGACTAATACAAATATGGTCAACATAAGTGATAATGGTGGCAAATGAAAAACACATATAATCCTTTGATTTTAAACTTTATGTAGAGTTGCCTTAAATAGCCATTACTTTTGCTTCTGTAGATATTTCTTCATATGATTATAAGGTATAAGTGGAATCATCTAGTACAAGACGATTTAAAGTGCTTCATCGTATGTAAATCACTTTAAAGGCATTAGTGAGCATGGCTAAATGCTCACTAATTATCTCCAAGTTTATGTGATACTTGTTCTACATAAATCATTTTATTAATACAATATTTGGGTGCTTTCAAATAATCATCCCTTTGGTTGTATTGACTCTATCAAGATTTTTACCTTCTTCTTACAGCAGAAGTCAAATTATTCAGTTGGTTGAAGAGCATAGGTGCAGGGGATGTAGCATATTTTAGGTTCCACTCCTTCCTGATGTATGTTTTGGCTGTCTTTTAGTCTAGCACTCTCAGCTTAACCACTTTGACATTTCTGTGATGCACTATCCATGAATTATTTATTTTTTATTTTATTTTATTTTACATTCCAGGATACACATGCAGGATGTGCAGGTTTGTTACATACATAAAAGTGTTTCATGGTGGTTTGCTGCACCTATCAACCCATCACCTAGGTATTAAGTCCAGTATGCATTAGCTATTTATCCTGATGCTCTCCCTCCCCCTGCCACTCCAACAGGTCCCAGTGTGTGTTGTTCCCTCCCTGTGTCCATGTGTTCCCACTGTTCAGGTCCCATTTATAAGAGAGAAAATGCAGTGTTTGGCTTTCTGTTACTGCGTTAGTTTGCTGAGGATAATGGCTTCCAGCTCCATCCATGTCCCTGCAAAGGACATGATCTCATTCCTTTTTATGGCTGCATAGTATTCCATGGCATATACGTAACACATTTTCTTTATCCAGTTTATCATTGATGGGCATTTGGGTTGATTTCATGTCTTTGCTATTTTGAATAGTGCTGCAATGAACATACATGTGCGTGTATCTTTATAACAGAATGATTTCTATTTCTTTGGGTATATACCGAGTAATGGAATTGCTGAGTCAAATGGTATTTCTGTCTCTAGGTCTTTGAGGAATTGCCACAGTCTTCCAGAATGCTTGAACTAATTTACATTCCCACCAAAAGTGTAAAAGCTTTCCTATTTCTCCACGGCCCCTTCAGCATCTGTTGTTTCTTGTCTTTTTAATAATTGCCATTCTGACTGGCATGAGATGGTATCTCATTGTGGTTATGATTTGCATTTCTCTAATGATAAGTGATGTTGAGCTTTGTTTTCATATGCTTGTTTGCTGTATAAATGTCTTCTTTTGAGAAGTTCTCTTCATGTCTTTTGGCCACTTTTTAATGGGGTTGTTTGTTTTTTTTTCCTGTAAATTTGTATAAGTTCCTTGTAGATGATGGATAGTAAACCTCTGTCAGATGTATAGATTGCAAAAATTTCCTCCAATTCTGTAAGTTGTCTGTTCGCTCTGATGATGGTTCCTTTTGCTGTGCAGAGGCTCTTTAGCTTAATTAGATCCCATTTGCAAACTTTTGCCTTTCCTGCAATTGCTTTTGATGTTTTTATCATGAAATCTTCGCTCATGCCTATGTCCTGAATGGTATTGCCAACATTTTCTTCTAGGATTTTTATAGTTTTAGGTTTTACATTTAAGTCTTTAATCCATCTTGAGTTAATTTTTGTAGAAGATGTACAGAAGGGGCCCAGTTTCAATTTGCTGCATATGGCTAGCCAGTTTTCCCAGCACTATTTATTAAATAGAGAATCCTTTCCCCATTGCTTGTTTTTGTCAGGTTTGAAGATCAGATGGTTGTAGGTGTGCAGTCTTATTTCTGAGATCTCTATTCTGTTCCATTGGTCTATGTGTCTGTTTTTGTACCAGTACCATGTTGTTTTGGTTACAGTAGCCTTGTAGTATAGCTTTAAGCCAGGTAGTGTGATGCCTCCAGCTTTTTTTTTTTTTTTTTTTCCCCTTAGGATTGTCTTGGCTATATGGGCTCTTTTTTAGTTCCATATGAATTTTAAAGTAGTTATTTTTCTATTCTGTCAGGGGTAGTTTAATGGAAATAGCATTGAATCTATAAATTACTTTGGGCAGTATAATCTTTTTCACGATATCCATTCTTCCTATCCATGAGCATGGAAGGTTTTTCTATTTGTTTGTGTCCTCTCTTATTTCCTTGAGCAGCGGTTTGCAGTTCTTCTTGAAGAGGTTCTTCACTTCCCTTGTTAGCTGTATTCTTAGGTATTTTATTCTTGTTGTAGTAATTATGAATGGGAGTTCATTCATGATTTGACTGTCTGTTTTTCATGTATAGGAATACTTGTGATTTTTGCACATTGATTTTGTATCTTGGGATTTTTGCTGAAGTTGCTTATCAGCTTAAGAAGCCTTTGGGCTGAGATGATGGGTTTTCTAGATACAGTATTATGTCATCTGCAAACAGAGACAGTTTGACTTCCTCTCTTCCTATGTGAATACCTTGTATTTCTTTCTCTTGCCTGATTGTTCTGGTCAGAACTTCCAATACTGTGTTGAATAGGAGTGGTGAGAGAGGGCATCCTTTTTTTGTGTTGATTTTCAAGGAAAATGCTTCTAGCTTTTACCCATTTGATATAATATTAGCTATGGGTTTGTCATAAATGGCTCTTTTTATTTTGAAGTAGGTTCCATCAATACTTAGATTATTGAGATTTTTTAACATGAAGGGATATTGTATTTTATCAAAGACCTTTTCTGCATCTATTAAGATAATCATGTGGTTTTTGTCTTTAGTTCTGTTTATATGATTAATTATGTTTATTGGTTTGCATATGTTGAACCAGTCTTGCATGCTGGGGACAAAGCCAACTTAATTTTGCTGGATAAGCTTTTTGATGTGGTGCTGGATTTGGTTTGCCAGTATTTTATTGAAGATTTTTGCACTGATGTTCATCAAGGATATTGGCCTGAAGTTTTCTTTTTTTGCTGTATCTCTGCCAGGTTTAGGTGTCAGGATAATTGTACTCTCATAAAATGAGTTTAAATCCCCACCTTTTTAATTGTTTGGAATAGTTTCAGAAGAAATGGTACCAGCTCCTCTTTGTACCTCTGATAGAATTCAGCTGTAAATCCATCTGGTCCTGGACTTTTTTTTTTTTTTTTTTTTGCTTGCTAGGCTATTGATTACTGTCTCAATTTCAGAACTTGTTATTGGTCTATTCAGGGATTCAACTTCTTCATGGTTCAGTCTTGGGAGGGTGTATGTGTCCAGGAATTTATCCATTTCTTCTAGGTTTTTTAGTTTATATGTGTAGAGGTGTTTGTAGTATTCTCTGATGGTTGTTTGTATTTCTGTGGGGTAAGTGGTGATATCCCCTTTATCATTTTTTATTGTGTCTGTTTGATTCTTCTCTCTTTTCTTCTTTTTTAGTCTAGCTAGTGATCTATCTCTTCTCTTAATTTAAAAAACAAGCCTCTGGATGCATTGATTTTTTTGAAGGTTCTTTCATGTTTCTATCTCCAGTTCTACTCTGATCTTGGTTATTTCTTTTCTTCTGCTAGCTTTTGGGTTTGTTTGCTGTTGGTTATCTAGCTCTTTTAGTTGTGATGTTAGGTTGTCAACTTGAGATGTTTCTAGCTTTTTGATGTGGACATTTAGTGCTATAAATTTCCCACTTAACACTGCTTTAGCTGTGCCCCTGAGATTCTGGTACAGTGTCCCTTTGTTCTCATTGTTTTCAAAGAACTTGATTTTGGCCTTAATTTCATTATTTATCCAGGAGTCATTCAGGAGCAAGTTGTTCAATTTCCATGTAGTTTTATGGTTTTGAGTGAGCTTCTTAATCTTGAGTTCTAATTTGATTGTGCTGTGGTCTGAGATACTGTTTGTTATGATTTCAGTTCTTTTGCATTTGCTGAGGAGTGTTTTACTTCCAGTTATGTGATCAATTTTAGAGTAAGTGTCATGTGGCACCGAGAAGAACGTGTAGTCTGTTGTTTTTGGGAGGAAGTCTGTAGATATCTATCAGTTCCACTTGATCCAGAGTTTGAGTTTATGTCCTGAATATCCTTGTTAATTTTCTGTTTTGATGATGTGTCTAATATTGACAGTGGAGTGTTAAAGTCTCCCACTATTACTTTGTGGGAGTCTAAGTCTCTTTGAAGGTCTCTAAGAACTTGTTTTATGAATCTAGGTGCTCCTGGATTGGCCAAATGTATATTTAGGATAGTTAGCTCTTCTTGTTGAATTGATCCCTTTACCATTATGTAATGCTTTTCTTCCTCTTTTTTGATCTTTGTTGGTTTGAAGTCTGTTTTGTCACACACTAGGATTGCAACCCCTGCTTTTTTCTGCTTTCCATTTGCTTGATAACTTTCCTTCCATCCCTTTATTATGTGTGTCTGCATGTGAGATGCGTCTCTTGAATACAGCAAACCAATGGGTTTTGACTCTACCCAATCTCCCATTCTGTGTCTTTTAATTAGGGCACTTAGCCCATTTACATGTTTTTTTCTTATTTTATTTTATTTTTTTCAGATGGAGTCTCACTCTGTCACCCAGGCTGGAGTGCAGTGGCACCATCTCGGCTGACTACAACTTCTGCCTCCTGAGTTCAAGCAATTCTCCTGCCTCAGCCTCCCAAGTAGCTGGAATTACAGGCGCCCACTACCACACTTGGCTAGTTTTTGTGCTTTTAGTAGAGACGGGGTTTTGCCATATTGGCCAGGCTGGTCCCAAACTCCTCACTTCAAGTGATCTGCCTGCTTCTGTCCCAAAGTCCTGGGATTACAGGCATGAGCCACCACACCCAGCCAAGCCCATTTACATTTAAGGTTAAAATTGTTATGTGTGAATTTGATCTTGTCATCATGATGCTAGCTGGTTGTTTTGCAGACTTGTTGATGTAGTTGCTTTATAGTATCATTGGTCTTTGTACTTCAGTGTGTTTTTACAAGGTCTGGTAATGGTTTTTCCTTTCCATATTTAGTACTTCCTGAAGGAATTCTTTCAAGGAAGGCCTGGTGGTGTCAAATTCCCTCAGCATTTGCTTGTCTGTAAAGGATTTTATTTCCCCTTCCCTTATGAAACTTACTTTGGCCAGGTATGAAATTCTAGTTTAGAAATTATTTTAAGAATGTTGACTATTACCCCCAAATCTCTTCTGGTTTGTAGGGTTTCTGCTGAGAGGTCCACTGTTAATCTGATGGGTTTTCATTTGTAGGTGACCTGGCCTTTCTCTCTGGCTTCCCTTAACATTTTTTCCTTCATTTCGACTTTGGAGTATCTGATGATTATGTGTCTTCGGGTTGATCTTCATGTGGAGTATCTTACTGGGGTTCTCTGCAGTTCTTGATTTTGAAAGTTGGCCTTTCTTTTTAGGTTGGGGAAGTTCTCCTGGATGATATCCTGAAGTATGTTTTCCAACTTGGTTCCATTCTCCATCATTTTCAGGTACCCCAATCAGCCCTAGGTTCAGTCTTTTTACATAATTCCATAGTTCTCAGAGGTTTTGTTCATTCCTTTTCATTCTTTCTTCTCTAATCTTGTCTGCCTATCTTATTTCAGCAAGATAGTCTTCAGGGTCTGAAATTCTTTCCTTTACTTGGTCTATTCAGCTATTGATACTTGTGGTTGCATTGTGAAGTTCTCATGTTGTGTTTTTCAGCTCCATCAGGTCATTTATGTATGTTCCTCTCCAAACTGGTGATTCTGATTAGCAACTTTTGTAATGCTTTATCGTGGTTCTTAGCTTCTTTGAATTGGCTTAGAACATGTTCCTTTAGCTCAGCAAAGTTTGTTATTACCCACTTTCTGAAGTCTACTTCTGTCCATTCATCTCTCTCAGCTTCTGCCCAGTTCTGTGCCCTTGCTGTAAAGGTGTTGCTATCATTTGATGGTGAGAAAGCACTCTGGCTTTTTGAGCTTTTAGCACTTTTTCATTGGTTCTTTCCCATCTTCATAAGTTTATCTAGCTGCAATATTTGGGGCTGCTCACCTTTGGATAGGGTTTTTGTGGAGACTTTTTTTGTTGATGCTGCTGTTGTTGTTGCTTTCATTTGCTTCTCTTTTAACAGTCAGGTCCCTTTCCCATAGGGCTCCTGCGCTTTGCTGGGGGTCCACTCCAGACCCTATTCACCCAGGCCCCTCCCACGCCTGGAGATATAACCAGTGGAGGCTGCAGAACAGCAAAAATGGCCACCTGCTTCTTCCTCTGGGAGCTCCATCCCAGAGGGGTACCAACTTGATGACAGCAGGAATGCTCTTGTATAAGGTATCTAGTGACCTCTGTTTTGGGGTCTCGCCTGGTCAGGAGGCATAGGATCTGGGACCCGCTTAATGAAGCACTCTGTCTGCCCCTTGGAGGAGGGGGTGCACTGTGCTGGAGGCAATCCCACTTGTCTGGACTGCCCAGATCCCTCAAAGCCAGCTGGAGAAAACAGTATGTCTGTTGATCCATGGAGACCATGGCCACTCCTCCCCACAGAGGCTCGGTCCCAGGGAGATCAGAGTTCTGTCCCTAAACTCCTGGCTGAAATTGCTAAAATTTCTGCAGGGAGGCCCAGCGTAGTGAGGAGGGATGGGTCAGAGTCCACCCTAAAGAGGCAGTCTGGCCACTGTCTGCCACAGCCACTGTGCTGTGCTGTGGGGAATTCCTCCTGGGTCCAAAGTGTCTAGTCTCCCCAGCACTGGCAGGGGAAAGATGGCAGACTGGAGCTGCAGTGATGGCTGTCACCCCTCCCCTGGGGAGCTCAGCTGTCTTAGGCAAAAGACAGCCACAGTGATGATGGCTGCCCCTCCTCTGTGGAACTTGGTAGTCTTAGACAGTCTCCAGCCAGGTGGTCTCTGAGAATCTGCACAGCTCTGTGCTTGGGACCCAAGGCCTTAGTGGCGTGGGCTCACGAGGGGGGATCTCCTCTGTGCAATCCATTGGTTGGGTTGCACAGATTCATGGAAAAAGCATTTTTTTCCTGGGGATGGGGGGTAGCATGATCACTCACCTCCTCCCTTGTCTGGGAGTGAGAGCTTCCCTTGCCCCATGTGGCTCTCAGGTGGGTCATCACACCACCCTGCTTTTCCTTGCTCTCTGTGGGTTGCGACAACCACCTAGTCAGTCCTAATGAGAGAACCTGGATACCTCAGTTGCCAGTGCAGGATTCACTCATCGTTTTGGTTCTTCTTTGTGGGAGCCACCAACCACAGCTGTTTCTAGTTGGCCATCTTGGCCCTTCTCCCTAAAATTTGACCACGATTTATTAATATGGTCTTACATCAATAGCCTTGAAAATAATAATTATTGGGAACCAATTAACGTTTCTTTTTTGAAAACTTGTCCCTGTAGAAAAAAAATGTCCTTTATTGTTTTTTACAGCCAAACTAGGTATTGTCTTTGAAAGATTTACTTTAGCTATTAGGAAATGAATAATCTTTTGCACTTCAATTTTTCCTTCAATAGATACTGTGATGGTTTGTTTTATGTGTCAACTTGGCGAGACTACAATACCCAATTATTCAAACACTAGGTGTTGTTGTGAAGGTATTTTAACGATGTGGTTAACCTTCGTAATTGGTTGACCTTAAGAAATATTATCCTCAATAATGTGGGTGGGCCTCACCCAGTCACTTGAAAAGCCTTAAGAGAACAACTGAGGTTCCCTGAGAAAGAAGAAATTATTCTACAAGTATTCTATCAGCTTCTAACTTAAAGTTTCCAGCCTGCCAGGTTTCCAACCCACACGACCCGTTTTTTATTTTCCAGACTCCACAATTGTGTAAACCAATTCCTTGAAATAAACTATTGAAATAAATTACACACACACACATGCGCATGCACACACACACAAAATCCACTGGTTTTGATTCTCTGGAGAACACTGACTGATACAGATTTATTGTAGCAAAACACTTTAGTACGTATAGGACTAGCCAAATTCCTGGCAATGGTGAAATAGAATATGGTTGCCTATATGTAGCTATGTTCTTTGAGTGTTGTAATGACGATGTAAATACCTATAAACCTGTTACGATTATATCCTGCATATACCACTGGGACACCAAGTTTCAAATTCCAAAAGGAAACGCATTAAAGCTACAAGACACTTGTAGAATTACTATAATAAAAAAGACACACAAAGCCAAGTGCTGGCGAGGATGCGAAGGAACTGGAACCCTTACGTATTGCTAGGAAGAATGTAAAATGGTGCAGCCACTTTGAAAAACAGTTTCAGTTTCTAAAATCTTAAACATCGGGTTAGCATTTGACCCAGCAATTCTACTCCCAGGTCTCTACCTAAAATAAATGAAATCATTTATTTACACATTTACACGAGGCTTGTATAAAAATGTTCATAACACCTTTATTTTCAACAACCCCAATCTGTAGCCAATCCAAATGTCCATCAACTGGTGAATAGGTAAACTGTGGTACATCCAAATAAGCAGTAGAAAAGAATCAACTGCTGACATCCACATGCAGGAGTGTGGGTGAACTTCCAAAACATTATTTTAAGTGAAAGAAGGCAGATGTAAGACAACATATTATATGATTTCATTTATAATGCAGTTTTAGAAAAGGCAAAATTACAGAGAGAGAAAGCACATCAGTGGTTGCTTGGGACTGGAGATGGGAGCAGGAATGGACTACATATAGGTACAAGTGAACATTTTTGCATGATAGAAACATTTTAAAACTGAATTGTGGTGATGATTGCACAGCTGTAAAAGTTTACTAAAAATTATTGAATTGTGCACTTATAATGGGTGGATTTTATGCTATGTAAGTTATACCTCAATATAATATCAATATACATCTTAAACAATTTTGTTAGAAAATAGGAATTAAATACTATAAAGATCCCAAACTAACTGCAAATATGAATTCTCTGAATTTCAGCATTTGCAAGCTTGTCATTTTCACTAGTTAAAATAATGTATAAAAGTGATCTCTATAGAGCTCATTAACCACATTTCCTCTTCTTTCTGAGTACATAACTGGACTGCATTTCCCAGCCTCCTTTGCAGTAAAGTGTGGCCATACAAATGATTTATAACCAGAGGTGTGTAAAGGAAAATAATGTATGGTCTTTCAAGCTTGACCCATTAAAATACTGTGCTTGCCATCTTCCATTCTATTTTCTAGTATGCTGTCTGTACACTGACTCCCAGGGTGACCTTGGGAATCATCTACTGAAGATTCAGAGTTGCTAGCAGCCTGTGCCCCTGAATAACTGTGTAGAGCAGAAGTCCTCCTACCCCATCACCCTCCACAACAGGAATTCAGTAAACAAATACCCTTTTGTGTGAAGCCACTGAAATTTTGGGGTTGGCTTGAAACAGAAGTTAGCCTATTTGAACTAAAAATTATCACATTGATGTCGTTCTCACAAACATCTTACTAGTTCATTAAATGGAGAGACCAGGGATTAGCCCTCCTATTCCATCTTCCCATTAGAAATTTGATCTAAGATTTCCAATGCCATTTAAAATAAGAGTAGAAGGCTTTGGAACTACGGTTTTTAGCCTATTTATCTTTACCTCCATCTTCTAACATAACTAAAAAATTTTAAATAAGAGTTATTAAATTCCTTCCAAAGGCAGTTCAGCTTCCAAAAGAGTTCTCAGGTTAGAGAGCAACTCTTTAACAATAGTGTAGACCTCATTGTTCAGGAAGCATCCTCTTTGTTGAAAATATAGCAATAAGACCAATAGCAATAATTTAGTTGTATAAAAGACAAATTGAATTTTAAATTCAAAACATTCAAAGTTTGGCTTTGAAGATCTCTCAAAATCCCATTAAAGATGCATAGAATCTCCTATCAAAACAGCACTTTATAAAGTGGATAAAATGGCTAGGATGCCAAGGATATTTCATTTGAATATTTAAGATGATTGATTCATAGAAAACCAGAGCTATTGTGAACATTAAATATCATCTAGATAACTCCCTTTAGCTTAGAGATTGGGAGTCTGAGCTGCAGAGAGACTGAGTGATTGGCCTGAAGTCACACAGAAAGTGGCACATTCAGGACAAGAGCTCAGATCTCTTGATTCTATGCACTAGCCTTAGAATAGGAGGCCAACTTCTGAAGATTCTACATGAGTGAGAGAAAGAGAGACAGAAAGTGAGTGTGTGTGTGTGTGTGTGTGTCTGTTGTGTGTGTGTTGTGTGTGTAGCCTGCACATGGAATTTAAATTAGAAAGAAAAAATGATAGCTTGTTGGTTGTTTCATACAGTAAGAGAAACTAACCAGACTGAGCCCCTTAAAATACCTTATCAAGTGGGAAGGCATTCATGACATCCTGGCTGATTTCAGATAATTTTCCTAGTCAATATTTTGTCCTATCAGAAAACATAATATCTTATTATAAGAAAATGAAGTTTCCTTTACCGACTAGTTTTATGTAATTAGAATTGTGAGCTTCTGACTAAAAAAAAGGGCAGATCTCTTTCCCGAGAGCAAGACATTATTTAGAAGCCCCTAGATCCTCGGAATTATTTTTTCCCCATAACAGCTCGGCAGAGTAATTTCTTGGAATTCTTAATAAAAGTTCCTAATCTTTACATTTTCAACAACATTTCTTATTCTCAAGATATAATATTTACCACCCAGTACAGTAATGGTGATTTAGTGGTCCTTTGTTAACCAATCTGGAAAGAAAATGACTGACAGTATAGCAAAATATAGTGGAAAGTGCTATAGATAAGAGAGAAGAGCCCAAGATTTTAATAAACTACTAAACTGTTTATTGGCTGTTTTGTCTTGGGTAGGTTATGATGAGAGACCAAGTACACCCTCTCCAAAAATAACTATGCCTGAATCTCAGAATTTGTGAATATGTTATCTTACATAGCAAAAGGGAATGTGTTTTGGTAATTAAGGGTACAAATCTTAAAATAAGGAGATTTTCCTGGATTATCTGGATGGGCTCAATCTAATCACATGAGCCCTTAAAAGCAGAAAATCTTCTCAGGCTAAAAACAGGAAATATAAAGCAGAAGGAGAAATCAGAGAGATTTGAAGCTTTAGAAGGACTCAACCCACCATGCTGACAGTGAAGATGAAAGGAGTCACGATTCAGGAAATGTGGATGGTCTCTGAAAGATAAAAGCAACGTCTCACCAGCAGCCAGCAAGGAAACGGTGACCTCAGTCCTATAGTTATATGGAATCCTGCCAACAGCTGAAATTAGCATGAAAGAGAATTTTCCCCTAGAACCGTCAGATAAGAACACAGACCAGCTTACACTTTTGATTTCAGCCTTTTGAAACCTGGAGCAGAGAAGCCAGTCAAGACTACCAGGACTTCTGACTCACAGAACTGTGCGATAATAAATTTATTTCATTTTGAGCCACTGAGATTTTGGTAATTTGTTACCCAGCAATAGAAAACTAATGCAGTTTTTTAACATTTCCTTCCTTATTTTCTTTTTGATTAAATGCCTTAACTTCCAGTTTTATTTGAGTTATGACACAGGTGGAATTTTCTTTAAAATAGTCTTATGATATAATAGAAGAAGAAAAGGTTTGTGAGATAAAATCAGCATGTACAGTCATGAGCCCCATAAAGATGTTTTGGTAAATGATAGACTGCGTATGGATAGTGGTCCCACAGGATTATAATGGAGCTGAAAAATTCCTATCACCTAGTGATGTCATAGCTGTTGTAATGTCATAGCACATTGCATTACTCACACGTGTTGTGGTGATGCTGTTATAAACAAAACTACCGCACTGCTGGTCACATAAAAGCATAGCACATTCAATGATGTACAATACTTACAACTTGATAATGAGAATAAATGGCTTTGTTACTGGTTTATGTATTTACTATACTTACAGTTTTTTTTTTAATTATACTTTAAGTTCTAGGGTACATGTGCCCAACGTGCAGGTTTGATACATAGGTATGTGCCATGTTGGTTTGCTGCACCCATCAACTCATCATTATTTTAGAGTATACTACTTCTACTTATATTTTCAAAAGTTAGCTGTAAAACAGCTTTAGGCACATCCTTCAGGAAGTATTCCAAAAAAGGCATCATTATCATTGCAGATGACAGCACCATGCATGCTTTTGCACCTGAAGATCTTCGAGTGGGACAAGATATGAGGGTGGAAGACAGTGATACTGACTATCCTCATCCTGTATAGACCTGGCTAATATGTGTATGTTTGTATCTTCATTTTTAACAAAAGAGTTTATTTATTTATAATTTTTTTTTATTTCTATGGATTTAGGGATGGAAGTGCAGTTGTGTTACATGGATATATTGCATAGTGGTGAAATCTGAGCTGTTAGTGTACACATCACCTGAATAGTGTACATTGTACCCAATAGGTAGAGATTCATCCCTCATTCCCCACCCTCTCTCCCACCTTTGTGAGTCACCAGTGTCTATTATTACACTTCGTATGTCCATGTGTACCCATTGTTTAGCTCCCACTTATAAGTGAGAACATGTATTTGACTTTCTGTTTCTGAGTTATTGCACTTAGGATAATGGCCACCAGTTCCATCCATGTTGCTGCAAAGGATATGATTTCATTCTTTGTTATGGCTAAGTAACACTCCATTATATATATATGACATTTTAATCCAATTATCTATTAATGGACACTTAAATTAATTCCATAACTTTGACATTGTGAATAGTGCTGCAATAAACATTTGAGTGCAAATGTCTTTTTTAATATAATAATTTATTTTCCTTTGGATATATACCCAATAGAGGGATTGTTAGATTGAAAGATAGTTCTATTTTTAGTTCTTTGAGAAATCTCTATAATGTTTTCCATAGAGATTATTTAAAAAGTAAAAGTAAATAAGTAAATAAATAAATTTTAAAATAAAAAATTATAGAATAAGAATATAAAGAAAGAAAATAATTTTTGTACAGCTGTAAAATGGTGTTTGTGTTTTGTGCTAAATGTTGTTACAAGAGTCAAAAAGTTTTTTTAAAAATTTAAAGTTTATAAAGTAAAAACATTACAGTGTGCTAAGATTAATTTTTTTTGAAGAAATAATAATTTGTAAAATAAATTTAGTACAGCCTAGGTATACAGTGTTTATAAAGTATAGTAGTGTACAATAATGTCCTAGGCCTTCACATTCACTCACCACTCACTCACTGACAGCCAGAGCAACTTCTAGTCCTGTAGGCTCCAGTCATGGTAAGTGCCCTACAGAGGTGTACCATTTTTTTAAATCTTTTAAACCATATGATATAGTTTGGCTCTGTGTCCCCATTCAAATCTCATATCGAATTGTAATCCCCATAATTCTCACATGTCCAGGGAGAGACCTGGTACAAGGTGAATGGATCATGGGAGGCGGTTTCCCTCATGCTGTTCTCATGACAGTGAGTGAGTTCTCATGAGATCCAATGGTTTTATAAGTGTTTGGCAAATTCCTCCTTTGCTCTTCTCTGTCTCACCTGCCACCATGTAATAGGTGCCTCTTTTTATTCTGCAATGATTGTAAGTTTCCTGAGGCCTCCCCAGCCATGCAGAACTGGCAGTCAATAAAGCTTCCTGTCTTTATAAATTATCCAGTCTCAGATATGTCTTTATAGCAGTGTGAAAACGGACTAATGCAGTGAATTAGTACTATGGAAAGTGGGATATTGCTATAAAGATACTTGAAAATGTGGAAGTGACTTTGGAACTGGGTAACAGGTAGAGGTTGGAACAATTTGGAAGGCTCAGAAGAAGACAGGAAGATGTGGGAAAATTTGGAACTTCCTGGAGACTTGTTGAATGGTTTTGACCTAAATGCTGATAGTGATATGGACAATGAAGCCCAGGCTGAGGTGGTCTCAGATAGAGATGAGGAACTTCTTGGAAACTTGAGCAAAGGTAACCCTTACTATGCTTTAGCAGAGAGACTGGCAGCATTTTGCCCCTGCCCTAAAGATCTGTGAAACTTTGAACTTGAGAGAGAATATCTAAAATTGGAACTTATGTTTAAAAGGGAAGCAGAACATAAAAGTTTGGAAAATTTGCAGCCTGACGATGAGATAAAAAAGAAAAACCCATTTTCTAGGGAGAAATTCAAGCCATCTGCAGAAATTTGCATAAATAATGAGGAGTCAAATGTTAATAGCCAAGACATTGGGGAAAATGTCTCCAGGGCATGTCAGAGGTATTCACAGCAGCCCCTCCCATTACAGGCCAGGAGGCCTAGAAGGGAAAAATGGTTTCATGGGCCTGGCCCAGGGCCTTATTGCTTTGTTCAGTCTCTGGGCTTGGTGCCCTGCATCATAGCTGTGGCTAAAATGGGCCAAAGTACAGCTCATGCCATTGCTTTAGAGGGTGCAAGACCAAAGCCTTGGCAGCTTACACATGGTAGTGGGCCTGTGGGTGCACAGAAATTAAGAATTGAGGTTTGGGAACATCCTCCTAGATTTCAGAGGATGTATGGGAATGCCTGAACATCCAGGCACAGGTATGCTGCAGGGGTGGGGCCCTCATGGAGAACCTCTTCTAGGGCAGTATGGAAGAGAAATGTGGGGTTGGAGCCCCCACACGGAGTCCCCACTGGAGCACTGCCTAGTGGAGCTGTAAGAAGACAGCCACCATCCTCCAGACCCCAGAATGGTAGATCCACTAACAGCTTGCACTGTGCCTCTGGAAAAGCCACAGACACTCAATGCCAGCTCTGACAGCAGCCAGGAGGGGGGTTGTACCCTGCAAAGCCACAGGGGTGAAGCTGTCCAAGATTGTGGGAGCCCACTTCTTGCATCAGCATGCCCCGGATGTGAGACATGAAATCAAAGGAGATCATTTTGGAGCTTTAAGATTTAATGACTGCCCCCATGGATTTTGGACTTACATTGGACGTGTATCCCCTTTGTTTTGGCCACTTTCTCCCATTTGGAATGGGAGCATTTATCCAGTGCCTGTACCCCCATTTTATCTTTGCAGCAACTAACTTGCTTTTGGTTTTACAGGCTCCTAGGTGGAAGGGACTTGCCTTATCTCAGAAGAGCCTTTGGACTTGGACTTTTGAGTTAATGCTGAAATGAGTTAAGACTTTAAGGGACTGTTGGGAAGACATGATTGTTTTTTGTTGGTTTTTTTTTTTTTTTTTTTGAGATGGAGTCTCACTTTGTCACCCAGGCTGGAGTGCAGTGGCACCATCTTGGCTCACTGCAATGTCTGCCTCCTGAATTCAAGTGATTCTCCTGCCTCAGCCTCCTGAGTAGCTGGGATTACAGGCGCCAACCACCACACCAAGCTAATTTTTGTATTTTTAAGTGGAGATTGGGTTTTCTCATGTTGGCCAGGCTGGTCTCGAACTCCTGACCTCAGGTGATCTGCCCACCTTGGCCTCCCAAAGTGCTGGGATTACAGATGTGAGCCACCATGCCCGGCTGACATGATTGGTTTTGAAATGTGAAAAGACATGAGATTTGCAAGAGGCCAGGGTCAGAATGATATGGTTTGGCTCTGTGTCCCCATCCAAATCTCATCTTGAATTGTAATCCTCATGTATCTAGGGATAGACCTGGTGGGAGGTGATCGGATCATGGGGGTGGTTTCCCCCATACTGTTCTCATGGTAGTGAGTGAGTGAGTGAGTTCTCACAAGATCTGATGGTTTTATAAGGGGCTCTTACCCCTTCACTCCTCAGTCTTCTCTCTCCTGCCACCATGTGAGAAGGTCCAAGCTTGTTTCCCCTTAGCCTTCTGTCATGATTGTAAGTATCCTGAGGCCTCCCCAGTCATGTGGAACTGCAAGTCAATTAAACTTCCTTCCTGTATAAATTACCCCGTCTCAGGTATTTCTTAATAACAGTGTGAGAATACACTAATACAGCATATTGTTACTGTAACTTTTCTATGTTTAGATGCACAAATACTTACCCTTATGTTACAATTGTCTAAGGATGCAATACAGACAGTAACATGTTCTATAGATTTGTAGCCTAGGAGTGATAGGCTGTACTACATAGCCTACGTGTGTAGTAGGCTATACCACCTATGGTTGTGTAAGCACATTCTATGCTGTTTGCACAATGACGAACTTGCCTAACAGCACATTTCTCAGAAAGTTTTCCTATAGTTAAGTTACGTATAACCATATCCTATTTAACAAGAGAAAATATCTCAAGTATCTATGCCATCCTTTTCTCCTCTCTCTATTTTATGCTTTTCTTACCTAGGCATAGGAAGAAATGATCAGGGCTAGTTTGTAAGAAAGATTTTTCTACTGATATTCTAGAATTTGGAAAATAAATTATATCATCAGGACTGTGGTCCAATTATACCCAAGACTAAATATTCACTGTTCTTATAAAATTTAAGGAAAATTATATTTTCACATCTGTGGGTACTATTTACCCCTTATATGCTTTGAACTTATTGTATTAATTTTCTTCCACTTGTGGTAAGAATAAATTGGGTAGTCATAGGGCTGATTAAAAGAAGATCCCCATAGAAGGAAACTGAGGAGTGCAAAGGAAATTGATTGTATCTTTCACTTCCTGGGAATTAGAATAGCAAAGTAAGCTTCATAGAACAATAAGACTGAGAAAACATGAAGACTGCTTCCAGCCAGCTTAGGTAGGTCAGAATATACAGATATCATCTTACCTTGGGGCTAACCATATCTCCTGTTAATTTAGGAAAAAGAGAACTTTCCCTATTCGTAAATCTCCATAGAATAAAACTATCTTTGCTAACCATAAGTTCCAATTCCAATGAATCTTGATCTTATCTGTTGCTTCTTGTGACATTATTATGCAGCATCATGTCTCTTTATTGGAACTTCTCTTTTATTATCTGTCACAGCTGTCACACAGATCACACAGCCTAATTCCCAGCTTGAAGTAATCAGGAGGTTCATTTTGGAGTTGTGACTATCTGGATCACCTTCGGTGACCATTATAGAAGCTTGGATTTACACACACGGTCTTGTCTGTTTGGTTTTCATCCAATTAAGTGTGCTATTTTTCATATTGTTATGATTCTGTCAATTGTATAAAATATTCTTATGTGCAGTGGTTGATATTATACAGAATATTGCTTTTCTCGTCTGTGAATGAATTTCACGACAAACCTGATTTTGTCACTTTTGTAATTGCTGTGGTTGCTTTCAGCAACATCTGCCTTCAAAACTGCAACCCACAGAAGAGCATCTTTCTATGATAAAAATTTGGACAGAATATTCTGCATCACGCCATTTGATTTTTTTTTTTTTAGTGTTCTAGTAACCTGTATTTATGTTAGCTAGGTTACTGATGAACTTTATAGTTTTTGTAAATTACTGCATCAAGAGACCTGGACTGCTCTTGGAACCACTATTAATTGGCTTTGTGATTAAATAGTATTCACTTAGCCTCTCTGTGTTTGTTTTCTCATCTGAACTATAGAGATAAAAGTGTCTCACACATTTGTTGGTCTTAAAACTATAATTGATTTTCTTCGGCAGGGTAAAAGTGTCTCATGCAATCTATTTCCCTGAAAGAGAGAGAATGAAGAAAAAAATAGACTGACTTGCACCTTGTTCAGTAGCTCTTCCTTTGTCTCTCAAGATTGTGATGGATGATAATGTATTGTTCAGTAGTAACATTAGGGATTTTGAGAGGAACAAGAACAGAGCTCATAACCCAATTTTATTCATGCTTGACTGTCACCATATAACAAGCTGAGAAAATCCCCATGATTCCAGGTATTTGAGCAAAGTTTCCATGGGCAACTGGCTTCTTCCTTATGGATTTGAAAAGTACTAAATTTCTATAAGTAATAATTCGAGGCTACTAGGCAAATAACCAAACAATATTTCGTGCATAGTATAACACTGACTGATACTGAAACTCAAGGAAAAAGTGAAGTTGTATATCTAGTGAACTTAGAAATGCAAATACTGGAATGAAAATGTTCACTTATGTGGCCCTGAAAATTAAGAATATTTTTCCATTCATTTTGTCTTAAAATGAGCAAGAATGCCTGGCATAAATAAACAATGGTAAGCTAAGCAAAAAGTTTGCAAGAACTGTTACTTATTGAACCTATTACTCTGCTATGTAATTTTGGGATCCAGGAATGGAAGACTTGGTTTGCAACCCAGGTAGAAAAGCAGAATTTGTTAAAGACTCTTTCATACAAAAACAACTACTAGAGAACAGTGTGAAATGATACAGAATGCTATGTTTGATGACTTAGCATTTCAGCAAATGGATTACTTACAGCTTCCATGAAGAAAACAAAATTTCTTAACCAAGAATCCAAGACCTTTCAAAATCTGACTTTAACTTTCATTAGTCTCATTTGCCTCTATCTATCAAAAGAACCATCCACTCTAGTCATTGATCCCTACACATGTATTTTATGACTTCCTGAGTTTATAATTGTTTCTCTTTGAATGAAATACCCTTCTCTGCTTGGTAAACACTGACTTACATTCAAGACTCAGCTCTCCCATTCCCTCCTCTGTGAGTTATTTATCCATGTCTTATCTTCTCCATCCTACACTTTAGCACTTAGAACATTTAGATCTCTTTGTTTATGTTTCTGTTTGCAAGTGCAGAGCAGGTACAACATCTTAAATCTCTCTATCCTACCAAGCTATCAGCAGAATGTTTGACTCATAGTTGGTGATTAATAAACATTTGTTATTTGTTCACCTATTCAATTAAACCATACGAAAGTTTGGAAAGATAAGGTAATGATAAGTTGATGAAGAAAACTTGCATATCTACCTGAGGAGTTTGGGATTTCTCCTACAGAAACAGGGAGCCACAATAGATTTTTTGAGTGGAAAAGTGGAATAATGGAAGCATCTCTGTAGGGAGATGATTCTAGATGTGGTGCAACAGGACAGAAGGATGGAGAGGGTTTCTAAGAAGGTAAAGACATAGCAGTAAAATAGATCTTAGCAAGAACTTCAAACTGTTTAATGGATTTATATGTATCTATTTGTATACTTTAAAATATTTTAAAATCACAGAGCCATTCAAATAAGTATTTGAATCACTTATTGCATTTCATAAACTTTGTATGTAAAATTATTTAGAAATAATTTTAGTTTCACAGAAAAGTTGCAAAGATAATAAGACTTTACACTCCTCAGCTAATTTTCCCCATGGTTAACATTTTACATTTCTGCAGCATATTTGTCAACACTATGGAACCAATATTCATACATTGCCACCAACTAAATTCCAGACTTTATTTGGATTTCACCAGTTTTTCCATTAAGGTCCTCCTTCTGTTCCAGGGTCCAATGCAGGGTGCCACCATGCATTTAGATATGATGTCTTCCCAGTTTCCTTTGCTTTGTGATATTTTCTTAGTCTTTCTGTGTTTTTCATGGCCTTGAAAGTCTGGAGGGATATTGTAGGTGTCTTGTAGAATGTTTCACAATCTGAATTTGTCTGCTGTTTTTCTCATGATTAGACCAAAGTTATGGATTTAAGGGAAGAATATCACAGAGATGAAGTGCCTTGCTCATCATATCTATGAGAGTTTACATATCCATATGACATCACTGATGTTAACCTTCACCACTTGGTTAATGTACTGTTTGCCACATTTTATTATATTATATTTATTACTTTTATTATAAAGTTCTTATTTTTCCCTTTCCCTACTCTAATCTCTGGAAGCAAGTCACTAAATCTGGCACATGCTAAGTGGAGATGGGGCGGGCAGTAAGTGGGAGGATGAGGGATGATTAAACTCTACCTCCTTGAAGGGGGAAGTATCTGCATATATTATTTGGAGTTTCTTTGTTAAAAAGGATGTTTCTCCTTACCTCTACTTATTTATTTATTTAATAATTTATTAATATCACTATAGGCTAATGTATATTTATTTTACACTTTGGGTTTTAATTCAGAACTACTTTACTGATTTTGTTGCTCAGATTTTTCCAGTTTGGGCCTATAGTTGGCTCCAGTGTCCCTCTAGCATAGTCTTATCATTGCTAGTTTTTCTTTGTCAAGGAGGGCACTTCCTTACTTTCTGCCATTACAAGATGCTCCAGGCTCATGTCATATATTCCCCACTCCAGCCCTACAATCAGCCATTTCTCCATGGAGCCCTCTTTCCTTTTATTGAAAAATGGTGTTTAGAGACCACGATCTATGTGCTGGCTGTGCTTTTTGCTACCGAACTGTCATTGTTTTTAGGCCCTTTTGGTGGACACAGCAAGAAAATACATCTGTGTATACTAAACCATCTATATAAACATATCAATAAATATTTCTGTGTATTGATTAATACCTATATTAAGCTAAGCATGATTTCATACAGATGTCTCCAACTCCAATCCAGTATCACATGGTATATTCTTGCCTTCCCCCCAAACTTGCTTATTTGTAACTTACCACTCCAACATTAAGAAACCTGGCTACCACTGCGCACCATCCATTTACTTATTTATTTAACCCAGGATACATAGACAACAGGGTTAGAATTATTAACTTGTACCTCCATGAGAAATAAATTTACCAACTAGAGTACTGTGCTTACATAATATCTTTTGTTTTTAGTTTTACAGTTTTCAGTCAGAACATTATTTTCCAATGTTACTTAGGTCAGACCACTTTCCCCACTCCCTTTAGTGAGGCCATATTATACATTTGTAAAAGAGATAGATTCATTTTTCACAGTCTGTATTCCATTGTGAGATACCCTACATCCTGACTGATTTTATTTTTTAGTTTGCGTGCATTAAAATTCACTCTTTGTAATGTACAATTCTATGGGTTTGGACAAATGCATGTAAATAGTTTTTGACCACCCCAATATAGCACAGGTATTTCACTCTAAAAGTAAGGAACAATTGTTTCACCCTAAAAGTTCCCCTGTGCATCCTCTTTGTAGTCAATCACTCTTACAACCACTGACAATGACTACTCTGTTTTTCTCCCACATATGATATTTTAATAAAGTAATTTGTTAATCAATTGCTGTTATTTGTCTCTCCTATGTGAATATAAGCTCCATGAAGGTAGGAACCATGTATCTTGTACATCACGATATGCCTTCTAACTAGGAGAGTACTTTGCACATTATAGGTGTTTAAATATTTGTTGAGCAAGTGCATTAATGATGAACTAATGAATAAAAGTAGATTTTTTTTTAGACTTGATAATGCCTTTTAATAAACTATATTCCAGTGGGCACTGGAGATTCAAAGACAGAACATGAACTCTTTCTTCAAGGAATTCACACTTTAGTCAAAGGACAAAACATGCATACAAACTACTGCAATGCATATTAGACTGTGCTAAATGTTCCAGAAGAGTAGTAGAAAAAGAGTTCAGGGAGGGAAGAACTTACTTCTAGATACAGCTGTCTGGTAAAGGTTTCATAGAGAATGTAGCAATTAACTCACTTTAAAGGATTCTATTATAATTTGTTTGGATTTAATGTGAATTTGTTACTAAGGTGTATTTGCTGCAAACAGAACCCTGGTTCTACCATCTTTATGAAGAGTATTGAGAGGGCTTAGAGTCTGACATGAAGGCCAGAGGGTATGAGTAGAGGACATGGTGATGTTTTGCGTATTTTTAAGCTGCTAAAGTTGTTAATTGCTTCAAGACATTTTTGTTCTAATTTTCCAGGTTGCTTTATGGTCTATGTTAGTTTAGCTTTGATGAAGACTTACTTTTTTTACTCCCTATCTGTAATAAGGTCCTCAATCCTCTTTATCTTTTTGTTCAATTTCATATTGCATTGATTTCCTTTCAAAATATAAGAAGTTTCCATCTTTGGGGAATATACTATATTCAAATGTGATTATTGCATTTGGGAAATATAACTGAACTGTACAGAGAAAATTATATCCAATATATGTTCAATGTCAAATATAAATCATATTCCTAGAAAAAGAGTAAATGCATGTCAGAGTATTTAACTGTATAAAAACACATTCTCAGGAGATAATTCTTCAGAAACAATACAGAAATGTGATGGCTGCTGCAGACTGTGTATTAACTACACAATCTGTTTTGAAGAGTGTTTCAGAAATAATCCCAACCCTCAGTGTAGCTCCATTGGCAGCTACATTTATTTGCAGTTAAAGCATAATAAGCCAAGGGAAAGTAAAACTTGATTTCTTAGTAGGAATTGTATGTAAGCTTACAATCAATCATTAATATCTAAACCAGGTTTAATTTTTTGGATTAACCTTAGTTCATTTTTGCTGCTATAACACAAAGATTAACCTTAGTTCATTTGTGCTGCTGTAACAAATTACCTTAGACTGTGTAATTTGTAAACAACAGAATTTTATTGCTCACAGTTCTGGAAACTGGGAAATCCAAGATCAAGAGACTAGAAGATTTCATGTCTGGTAAGAGTTCACGCTCTGCTTCCTTGATGCTTTGTTGCTGCATCATCACATAGCAGAAGGGTAGAACACTGTCTTCACATGGCAGACCCTTCTGCCAAGGGAATCCACTTAAGTGTCTTTTATAAGAGCATTAATCTCATTTATGAGAGTGGAGCTCACATGATTTTATCACTTGCCAAAGGCACTACCTCTTAATACTATCACATTAAGTATTAGGTTCCAACATATAAATTTTGGGAGGACCACCAACTTTCAGACCATAGCACCTTACTAGAGGTCTGGGTCCTGAGAAAATGGATTGAAGTACAGATAAGTTTTGATGGAGGCAGATAACAGGAAATGTCTGGAGGTCATGACACAAGATTTTGGGGCTGAGTGGAATATGCTATGAGTTTGGGAAGGAGATCTAAGGAATTTAGACATTTTGTGTATAAAGAATGCTAAGAAAGAGACAGTGGATTGCTTATATATATATATATATATATTCACGTGAAAGCATCTGTGGATATCTGATAACAAAATTCACAAACATTGGGCTAGGACTTGTGTGGCAGGAAAAGAGGAAAAGTCTAAAATAAGGTGAATACTACTACAACTTTGACTTCAAAGGAGATGCCACCAAAGTAAGAATCAGGCAAAAAGATAAATGACAAGTCCAGGTAAGTGAATTAAAGCAGGAAGGAACAAACAAACATTCTATAATTCAAATTTCAGGTACCACAATGATGTATGAAGAAAATACAGGCAGATAATTTAAATAGGAAATAACCTAAAACTCAGGGAACACTAAGGCACAACAGTAACAAATGTTCTGTTTCTGGATTGTTCTACTCAATGCCGATGCTGGTGCCAGATTTCAGGTAGGCAAGAATTCAGATAGGTAGAGAAAATCACACCTGGCTACAAGGAAGGATGGACATCATAACCAGAGAAAATACAGCTCCTGATAATACGTTTGGATCCTTTTTAGTTGAACTAGTTTTATTTTTGTATATGCTATCATTCTGATTCACAAAACAAAGTACACTTAAAAATTTATAAAAGTTCAAATATACTTGAGCCCTAGCTCTGGTATTGCCTGAGCCTCTGATACTCCAATACACTTTAGTAAAAGGACAAAACATTCATACAAACTACTGCAATACATATTAGTAGCATTATTAGCAATACATTGCTAATTTTGTAACTTTCCTTTATATTTACTTTCCAGATCTTTCAATTTACAAAGAAGTTTTGGAATTGTATCCAATTGTATATGATGAATTTGTACTTATTTAGTATATGGAAAGAGATGGGTGGATAGAACTTCTTATGGTAGCATATATCCTAACTTATAGAAATTTAGAAATTGTTAGGAAAAGTTTTTCAACTGGTCAGGAGCATAAATTTTTCTCTGACCTCTTCTATTAATCTCCTCTTTGATAACCTTATCTAGTAACCAGACTTCAACCAGTACATCTAGGAAAGACTCTTAATTATCTTCCTCAAAGTACCCCCTTTCCTGATTCTTTATCTTTGTTAATTGGGCCACTATCGTAGCATTGTCCATTTCTCAAAGCCACGTGTGCAAGGACTTTCATAATCTGACACCAATCTATTTTACCAGCATTATCTTCCACTCTGCCCTTAAAAATCCTGTCCACTTCAGTTAAATTCTTCCATTTACTGCTTCCCAAGCAGTCTTTAAAAATTCTGTATCTCCATGCATTTGTTCATTCTTCCACTGTCTCCTTCCTCTTCTCTATCCATTAGACTTTTTCATTCTTTATGACCCAAATCAAATACTTGACATGAAGCTATGCCTGCCACTGCTCCCTCCTTAATGAAATGCATTTAATGCACTTCTCACTTGGAATATCAAATTTGATGCTTTTTCAAGCATCAAATTAAAATAAGTCTTCATTAAAATAATTTTTTACATGCAAAAATAATAACCACTCTCCCTTTGCCATAGAACTATCCAAGCCACAACTACTTTATGCCTAGATTCCTGTAATATCCTCTGAAGAAGAAAATTCTTTCTCTGTACACAACACTTTTGCCACCAAATGTGTGGATTTTCCACACCAAGCAATTCTCCAACTCCCTGCAGACACCAACTGAGTGTCCTACCATTTAATTAAATCTGACACTAAACTAACTAATCTGGACGTAGCTCAGACCCCATGGGTTAAGGGTTCAGTCCCGCAAGACTGCTCTCTCACTTCAGAAGTCAATTGCAAGTAGTGGATCCCCAGATTACCCACACTCCTGCCCAACCTGGCTACAAATCAGGGGCTCCCATGCCTCCCTCCTCGTGTTCAATAATTTGTTGAAATAGCTCACAGAACTTAGGGGAATGCTTTAATTTCTATTACCAGTTTATTATAAAGGATATATAGCTGAGGAACAGTCAAATAGAAGAGATGCATAAGGCAAGGCATGGGGGAAGGGCACAGAGCTTCCGTGCTCTCTCCAAGCATGCCACCCTTCTGGCACCTCAGTGTGTTCACCAACCGGGAAGCTCTCTGAACCCCCTAGTTTAGGGTTTTTATGAAGGCTCTATTATGTAGGCATGATTGATTAAATCATTGGCCATTGGTGATTCAGCCAATTTCCAGCGCCTTTCCCTTCTCAAAGGTCATGGGGTGGGGCTGAAAGTTTCAACCTTCTAATCACGTGGTTGGTTCCTCTGGCAATCAGCCCTCATCCTCCAAGAGTTACTTTATTAGTATAAACTAAGATATGGTTGCAAGGGGCATATTATGTATAACAAGAGTTGTTCCTCTCATCATTATTACTCAGGAAATTCCAAGTGTTTTAGGAACTCCCTGCCAAGAACAGGAACAAAAACTAAATATATATTTCTTGTTACATCACAATATCACATCCTTCTAATTGGTTTTGCTTCTCCCAGGCTCTCCTGCTTCCATTCACAATGCACACAGTGATCTTTATCCCCTTTGTAAAAAAACAAGTTGGATAATGGAATAGCCCTGTTTTAAAATCATTGAGCGTTACTAGCCATGTGACCCACATGGTAATGTCCAAGGTTTTCTTTGACCACATATTTTCTGGAAGTCAGGATGACCTTCACCACTATCACTATAGGAGTGGCTAGATCAGCATCCTGAGGCTGGTAGCTGAGTGCAGCCATTCCAGAGTCTAGATGAGCTTCAGCTGTTACTTTGGCCCTGTGGTCACATTTTTCTTCATACTCAGTTCACATCTATCATGAGTGGTATAATGGCAGAGCAGCTGGACACATTGTGTTGCTTCATTTGCTTAGACAATACCATCTGGGCTTGAGACTCGGCCCAGCGTTGATTCAAAAAACCCACAGTCCCCACAGCTTCATAAATTGGATGCATGATCTGCTGAGAGAAAGTGGTAGCGTCTAGCACCTATTTTGTTATCAAGATCTTCTTGAATTCAGAGAGGGCAGTGTGAATTCATAATGCACTGGGCTAATGTATCTTCATATATATGAATGAAATTGTCAGCACCATGGTGATGGGACCACATATTTTAGGAGGACGTGTACAGGTAGAGCCATTGACTAACTGGTGCAATGCAGCCATTTGGCAATCAGACAAAAGTAACCTTTTTATCATTATCTATGAAGGACCAGACAGGGATCTGTAGACCCTGGAAGGGATGATCAAGAAGGCTGTATCAGCCTTAATCATTGGAAGCTTGAGCAAAAACAAGATCAAGAACCACTTCTAGAAGATAATGGTTTTGAGCACATTCAAGTTGTTCAAAGATAAGCTGTGATACCTGATGTGGTGGATGATATCTTTGCCCAAGAAGACTGTGTATTTTAGCTTGTACCTGGTCTCCAACAGTAACCTCTAACTGAAGAAAAAGCAATAGAAAGATATTGATCTGATCAACCTAGAATATATTTATCCCATCTGCCAATATCACAGGAAAACCTTTTCTGTATGTCATTTTGGGTGGTGGTAACAGGGTGGTCCTATACCATCTCACCATTCTTGTGTACTATCAACTGCAGCTGATGAGTACCATGTGGATAAGCATCATGAAGAAACACTTTTCTGAGTTGGTGCCAGACACAGTGTACAGAGCCCCTACCTACTATCCTACCTGGACCACAAGTATCTTGGCATCTGTGGTCATCACTCCAGATTGTGTGACTGACTTCGTGGGGGTTATGGCTTGATGGTAGGGAGACTTAGCCAGAGCAGTTAGAATATATTGAAATATTTTTAAATAAATTTGTTGTATCTCCACTTTCTTGGAGAAACAACTGGTAATCACCCAACGGCTAGTATGCAAGTGACTCTTACTAATATTGCTCTCTCTCTCTCCACATATGCATTAGTAATAAGAAAAAGAATAGTTATGAAATCAATCATTATCTGTAATCACTTAATATAACTTGGCATATAGAAAGTGCCCCAAAATTGGGAGCTATCATTATTGTTCTGGCACAGGTCTCACAACCACTCTAGGAATAAGTATTCTAGTTGTTCACATTTACAATAAGTCATCAGAGGCATACAGAAAGGAAGTGGCATGATAAAATTCACACCATGAGCGTGTAGCAGAAACAGATTTTGAACTCAGTTCTTACTACAAAGCTCAAGTTCTTAACTGTTATGCTCTGCTGACCTGTGTGAATTTTGATAAAGGCAAAAACAATAATGGTAATTGGTAAGATATAGTGGGTGCTTATTATGTGTCAGGCTCTGTTAGCATTTCTTTATTTATTTAATCTTCACAACCATATGTACGCATGATTATCATCCCTATTTACATGAGGAAACTGAGGTCCAAGGAAATGAAGTCACTTGTCCAATATCACACAGTGAGTAAGCAGATCAGGATTCCAATCTGTCTTTGATAACAAAATTCATGGTTATCAAGTTTTTGGTTATTCGAAAAAGCAATCATACACTAGAATGAAAACACAAACAATATAAAAGGGTATAACCTAAATGCTAGGCTATAAATCCCCATTCCCACAGCCAATAAAGGCTGTTTGTCAGTTTATTATATATTTTTCAGACATTTTCTATTTATACCTATATGCATTTTATTTCTAATAAACATTAGTCTCTGTCCACTATGTTTTGCATTTTGATTTTTTTACTTAATATATCATAGAGATTTTCTTATGATTAAAAAAAATCTTCCAACAACATTTTATTGCACTAAATATAAAGACCAAGCTTTTTAATAAAGCCAAAAAGGCTCTTCATGATCTTGGACAGTCTTGTTCCCAGACTCATGTTGCAATTTACGCCTCATTTCTCTCTGTACTCTACCCACACTTTTCTTCCAGTCATCTTTCTATTGTTCATTTAAAATTACCGAGTATACACAAACCTGAGGCACTATGCCTTTCTCTGCATTCTCAGCTACTAGGCATTATGCATTCTTTAGTGATCTGACTCCTGCAATCATCCTATAACCATTGCATTGCCAACCAGAGAAGGAAAGAATGATTTTTAGAATCTATCCCCTAACATGTGACTCCTGTATGTTATAGTGGTATGATAGAATCAAGATTACAGTGAGTTACACTGAAGAGGGACACTTAATATGGCTTTGTAGAATTAAGGAAGACTTTCTGGAAGAACCAACAACTGAATTGGAAGAATGATCTGATGATCATATGGAAGGAGGGAGAGAAAAAAATGCTCTAGAAATGAAGAAATACAAGTGCAAAGGTCTAAAGCAAACTGGTGGCAAGAGGAGCTATTTATCCTTTATAATCTCTATCGGTACCATCACCAAACTACAAAACACACACACGCGCACGTGTACACACACACACACGCAAAGTTTCATTTATTATGGAAATGTAGCTTCAAGACAACACTTTAGCACCATTTTCTAACAATATTGCTGCCCCTAAAGTGTTTCAACATAGGGACTCTGGAGTCTTGAAGAAAGACCACAATATATTTCAATAGATGCAAATTATTTACTAGAGATGGAGTACATTCTGTAATCATTTAGTAAGAAGAGGGGATAAACAGTGAAGGCAAGATATGAGGCTGGAGAAATAAGCAGAAGGCTGATCATTCAGCATTTTATGAGTTACATTATAGTCAATGGACTTTATCCTGAAAGAAATGGAGGAAAAATTAAGCCTTTTATTAGGGGAGTTACATGGCCAGTTTTGTAATTTGTGCTTTAGAAAATCATTTTGGACTGTGCCATAAGAGTAGGAGTTTTGGAAGGGTAAAAAATGAAGGCAAGGGTATGAGTTGGGAGAAAGCCATTGCAGTAATCCAGGCAAGAGATAATGATGGCTTAAGATAAGTAATGAAGTAGGATAGAGAAAAGTAGTTGGATTCCAGAGATATTTAGTTTTTAGATACAGCATAAAGTGGCTGATTGGAAGGATTGAACAATCAAGAATGGCTGCTTAGCTTGAGCTGGCAGACCCGGGAAGAGATAGATGCAAATTTAAGGGAAAGAAGATAATTTCAGCTTTGAGAAATTTAACTTTAAAAATATTATTAATAATTGAACATAGAAAATAATGCATATCATAAGTATAGAGTTTGGTAAATTATCACAAAGTAAACACACTTATATTACAATCACCAAGGGTCAAAAAATAAAACATTACTAGCACTCTAAAAACCCCCTTAAGCCCTCTTACCAATAATTACCCTGACCCATTTACCCAAAGTAAAATAGTACTTGACTGGTAATATCAAAGCTGAGTGTTGCCCAGTTTTAATTCAATAAAAAATTATATGTTTTGTGTTTCTGGTGTCTGGCTTCTTTGGCTCAATGAAATTCATACTTTTTATTGGTAGTTATAGTGGTTTCATTTTCACACAATTTATTAAGGATTTCTACTCTTAGTAATTGCATTCTTTCCAACATAAGATTATCACAAATAGGTTACTATGTGCATTCTTGTATATGCCTTCTGGTGCATATATATATATATATGAATTTCTGTTAAGTGCACAGCTGGGAGATGTATTTCTGGGTCATAGGGTGTTTTAGCTTGTTCCTGATGTTGTAATAAAATATCTGAGACTGAGTAATTTATAAAGAACAGAAACTTATTTCTCACAGTTCTGGAGTCTGGATGTCCAAATGTCAAGGTGCCAGCAGATCCAGTGTTTGGAAAGGGCTGCTCTCTCCTTTAAAGATGGTGCCTTAAACTCTGTGTTCTCCAGAGAGGATGAATGCTGTGTCCTCACATGGAAGAAGGATAGAAGAGCAAAAAGGATGCCCCCTTCAACCTCTTCTATATGGTTGCTAATCTCATTTGATGGGGGCTCTGACCTCATCACTTAATTACCTCCTAAAAGGCCCCCCCTATTAATATTATCACCTTGGCTATTATGCTTCAACATATGAATTTTGGGGGACACATTCAGACCATAGCATATGGTATGCATAAGTTTCACTTTAGTAGACACTGACAGCCTTGCAAAGTGAGCAGTACATAAGAGTTCCAATTTATCTGAATACTTGTTGACAATGATTTGGTTAGTATTTTTAATTTTAGCCATTCTGGTTGGATTATATCTTATTGTGATTTAAATTTGCATTTTCTGATGATTAGTGGAGTAAAGCATTTTTCATGAGCTTGTTGGACATTGGGATATCTATTTTTTTGTGAAGTGCACAGAATCTATAGGTCTTCCCATCAATAAACAAGATGTATCTTTACATTTTTAAGGTATTTTTTAAAATTTAAAGATATATATTATATTTTTATGTAGCTGTTTTGAAGAGGTTTTACTAGATTCATTTCTATATATGAGATTATACTTTGATGTTATTGTCACAGTATCTATTTTTAAATTTTATTTTCTATTTTTTAAGATAGGAAAATTATAACATGATTTAATTTTGAATATTGACTTTACATCCAACTACGTTGTTAAGTAAAGTTCACTTGTTCTTATTTTTTTATTTTTGTGGGTACACAGTAGGTGTATATATTTATGGGGTACATGAGACGTTTTGATATAGGCATGGAATGTGTAATAAGCACATCATGAAGAATGGAGTATCCATCCCCTCAAGCATTTATTCTTTGAGTTACAAACAATCCAATTACACTGTAAGTTATTTTAAATTGTACAATTAAGTTATTATTGACTATAGTCACCCTGCTGTGCCATCAAATAATAGGTTTTATTCATTCTTTCTAGTTTTTCGTACCCATTAAGTATCCCCACCTTCTCCACAGTCCCCCACTATCTTTCCCAGCCTCTGGTAACCATCCTTCTACTGTCTATACTCATGAGTTCAATTGTTTGATTCTAATAGTTGGCTGTAGATTCTTTTGAATCTCCTGTGTAAACAATCATATCTTCTGAAACAGATGAGTTTTATTTCTTTCCTTTCACTTTTTATACCTTTACAACTATTTTTTTCTTCTATCATTGCATTAACTAGGACCTCCAACTCAATATTGAATAGTAGTTGCCTCAAGCATCAAAGGAAAGACTATTGATATTTTGCTAGTAAGTAAGGTAATTGTTCCAGGGTTTTTATGTACACTTTCTGAGATTTTGGAAGTCTCATTCTATTTCTAATTTGTTAAGGGTTTTCTCCTTTATAATTAAAGGATCTTGAATTTTATCAAATGTTTTTATTGTATCTTTTGAGATCATCATATGAGATGTATCCTTTATTCTGTAATTGTAGTGAATTTCAATGAATGTTTTCCAAATGTTAAACTCATCTTGTGTTCCTGAAACTATCCAACTTCATGATGTATTATATTAATTATATATTGCTGGTTTCAGTATGTTACTTTTGCAACTACATTTATAATACAAATGAACCTGTATATATTTTTTAATGCATTGGCCTTGTCAGGTTTTGATGTTAAACTTATGCTGGCCTCACAAAATGAGTTGGCAACTATTGGGTTTTTTTTTTAATTCTCTAGAAGAGTTTGTAAGATTGGTGATGTTTCTAAATACGGAGGAGAATTCACTGGTAAAGCGATCTTCTTTTAAAGTAGATTTAGTTGTCTTTCTTAAAGAGTTGAATAATTCGATACATTTTTTCTTGTGTACATTGTATAAGTTGTAGTTTTCTAGGCATGTGTCCACTTTGTTGAATTTTCAAATTGAAGTTGCTTAAAATATTCTGTTATGATGTTTAATATTGGTAGGTTCAATAAAACTTTTTTTATTACTGTGGCGAGAACACTTAACCAAAGATCCACCCTCTTAACATAGTTGACTGCATGATACAATATTTTTAACCATAGAAACAATGTTGTATGCAGGTATTTAGAACTTATTTATCTTGTATAACTGAAACTTTACACCCATTAAACATCAACTCCCCATCTTCCCCTCTCCAACCCCCATTTCAATGCAGCTGTCCCTGGGTTTTATGCTTCTTTGCAACTTATCCACTAGATTCTGGACTTCTTATAAAGTTATTTGGCCCATAAATCCTTATTGTTAAATCAGTATTTCTGTGGAGGAACAACGACTGAGACTTATTCTGCCATCTTGCTCCCTTCCATTATTCTTATTATTCACAATATGCGCCTTTTCTCTATCTTTTGGTTCTTTCTTTCTCAGTCTTTCCAGGGATTTTTCAATTTTATGATACTTTTTCAAAGAAACGAATTTTTAGCTTGTTGATGTTTTCTGTTGCATGTTTTTATGTCATTATTTTCTGCTCTTTTTGCTATTGCATTCTTTTTGCTTCCCTTTATTTGTTGTTTCTTTTTTGACTTCAAATAAATGTTGCATTGGGAATATATTGAGCCTCACCTGACATGCTGTAGGCATACCTTTTCACCCAGACATTGCTGTGGCAACAAACTTCACAAAGGTATAACTTCAGTATCTCATCTTACCTCACTTCATAGCACTTCACCTCACTGGGTCTTTTCTTTCGTTCTGCAACCCCACATATACATGCAAATCTTCCCTTCACGATGCATACACATCATAGAAGTGTGAAGGGATTAACAGTCCATGGAGTAAGTCGGCCAATGGAGGATAATGGCAAGAGGGGAAATGCTCCCATCTCTCTTCGCTTGAGCCTATAATTCTCAGGCACATTCTTCTTGACCCCTCAGATGACCCCTCTTTATTCTTTTCTAATAAATGTATTTCAGGCTATACATTACACTTTAGTGTGGCTTTACGTGACTCCAAGTTACTTTGATATATTATACTTTCATTATCATTCAGTTGAATAAATATTCATTCTCATTTCTACTTATTTTCCTTTATCTATAGGTTATTTAGAAGAATATTGCCAAATTTCCAAACATTTAAGGGACTGAGTTCCTCATTATCTCTTTTGTTAGTATATTCAAGATTATTCCCACTGTGGCCAGATAGTATAACTTATAGAATTTTGGTTCCTAAAATTAGCTGAGACTTCCATTATTGCTCCGCATATGGTTAATTTGGTTGAATGCTCCAAGAATTTACATTATGCAGTTGTTTCCATAAACAGAAATTAGATTAATCTTATTAACCATGTTGTTACAATTATCTATAATCTTAATTATTTTTATCTGTTTAATGCATTATTTAGAATGGAATGTCAATATCTATGGTTATGACTGAATTTATCTTTTTTATCTCTCCTTTTAATCTGACAGTTTTTATTTTATATACATATGTATATACATATATATATATAGAGAGAGAGAGAGAGGCTATGTTGTAAGGGGCATACAAATATAGAATTGTTGTATTCTTCTACTATATTGACCCTTTATTTAAAAATATCCCTTTTATCTCTAGTAAACCTTCTTACCTTAAAATCTGCTTTGTCCAGTATTAGCATTACTCCCTGAGCTATATCTACTTAATATTTGCATGATATATTTTTTATCCTATTGCTTTCGAGCTTTCTGAATTTTTATGTTTAAGTTGTATCTTTTATTAGAAATAGTTTTAAAATGCATTTGCAAACATTTTTCATTTGGAGAGTTTTTTGTGATTTTACGAAGTTTGGCACTTACTCTTTGATCTCTATATGTGAATTTGTCCAATGATTTTTTTTTGTCTTTTATAGCCTATTTTTAGAGTAATCAAATATTTTTATTATTCCATTTTTTCCTGTATTAGCATATCAGTTATACATTCTTTTGTTCTTTATATTAGTAATTCATCATGACATTATTGTGTAGTATGTATATGCATAACTTATGTACTGTTTTCATTCTCCTTCTTTTCTTCATGCTTCCATTTGGACTCATATACATATTTTTCTACCCAAAGAACACTCTTTTGGTATTTATTTTAGTACAAGGCTGCTGATGACAAAGTTTTCTAGTTTCTGTTTTTCTGAGAATTCCTTGTTTATACTTTATTCTCTTTATTTGTATGTCTTTAGAGGGTAAAAGGGCAGATTTCATACATGCATATATTGTGTAGTGGTGAAGTCTGGGCTTTTAATGCACCCATCACCTGAATAGTTTACATTGTACCCAGTAGGTAGTTTTTCAACTCTCCCCTCCCCGCTACTTTTATAGTCTTTAACATCTACTATTTCACTCTGTATGTCCATGTGTACTTATTGTTTAGCTCCCACTTATAAGTGAGAACATGTAGTATTTGACTTCCTGTATTTAAGTTATTTTAGTTAGAATAATGGCCTCCGGTTCCATCCATGTTACTAAAAAGACATGATTTTATTCTTTTTTATGGCTGAGTAGTATTGTTATATATATATATATATTTATATATTTTATATATATATATATATATTTATATATTTTATATATATAAATATATATAAAATATATATAAATATATATTATAATATATATATAAAATATATATATATTATAAAAATATATATATATATATATATATATATATATACACACTTACACACACCCCACATTTTCTTTATTCAATCCTCTGTTGATGGAAACTCAGACTGATTCCATATCTTTGCTATTGTGAATAGTACTGAAGTAACAATATGAGTGCAGGTATCTTTTTGATATAATTATTTCTTTCCCTTTCGGTATATACCCAGTAGTGAGACTGTTGGATCGAATGGTAGTTCTATTTTCAGTTATTTGAGAAATCTCCATACTGTTTTCCATAAAGGTCATACTACACATTTCCACCGAAATTCTATAAGCATTCCTTTCTCTATGCATCCTCACCAACTTCTGCTATTTTTTGACTTTTTAATAAAACCCATTCTGACTGGTGTAAGATGGTATCTTATTGTGGTTTTAATTTGTACTTCTCTGATGATTGCTGATGCTGAGCATTTTTTCACGTTTGTTGTCTGCTTTAATGACGCACATTTAAAATGTGCCCATTTTTATACCAGTAAAATGCTGTTTTGGTTACTATAGGCTTGTAGTATAATTTGAACACAGGTAATGAGATGCTTCCAGCTTTGTTCCTTTTGCTTAGGATTATTTTGGCTATTCGGGCTCTTTTTTTGGTTCCATATGAATTTTAGGATTATTTTCTAATTCTGTGAATAACAATATTGGTAATTTGATAGGGATTGCATTGAATTGGTTGATTGCTTTTGGCAGTATAATCATTTTAACAATATTGATTCTTCTAATCCATGAGCATGAGATGTTTTTCATTTGTTTGTGTCATCTATGATTTCTTTTATCAGTGTTTTGTAGTTCTCCTATAGAGATCCTTCACCTCTTTGGTTAAATATATTTCTGTGTATTTTATTATTATTTTTGGAGCCATTGTAAATGAGAGTGCCTTCTTGATTTGGTCCTCAGCTAGATCATTATTAGTGTAAAGAAACTCTACTGATTTCTCTACGTTAATTTTGTATCTTAAAATTACTGAATTCATTCATGAAATCTAAGAGTTTTTTGGTGGAGTCTTTAGGGTTTTCTAGATAAAAGATCAGATCATCAATAAATAGGGATAATTTAACTAATTTTTTGCCAACTTTGATGGTTTTTATTTTTTCTCTTGTACATCTTTTTAAAGCGTCCTGCTTCTGGCCCATCAAAATCATGTGTGATTTTTTCATAGCCAACTTCCAAGGATTTACCTGGCAGGTCTTATGAGAGAAAGCTGCCCTGTCCTGACTAATCTTGGTGTACAGCCAGTGCATGGCAGTCACTGAAGGGAGTTGCAATCAATGACTCAGACCTCTCTGGCCAGCCATGCTTTTATGTATTAATATATTTGCATTCCTAACCCAGGTGCCTTTACTCAGAGTTTTCTTTATTTGAGACCTTTGTCCAGAGCCTTTCTCAGGAACTCTTTTAAATTCAGCTTCAAGAAAGCTTGAAGACACCTTTCTCCACTCTAACTCAGTACTCAGAACTTATCTACTCCTACCCCTTCCCACTCCTGTCCTCCAACCTCTTGAGTCTGTAAAATCCCAAGAACCATTTTTTTCTTTGAGGTTCCTTCAGCAGCAGTGAGACAAGTCCAACATCTGTACTGATCCATCCAACCCTCAACGAGCGTATTGTTTCATGAGGGAAAATGGAGCTGAGGGAAGTTAGGGTTTTTTTCTTTTTTCTTGTTTTTTTTTTTTTGGTTTAGCTTCTTGCTTATATCATCAGGAAATGATAACGCCTTGAGTAACACTTTCATTTTTGGCTTGTTTCTTTGATTACTCCTACACCTGACAGTTCAGCTGTCTACAGCTCAGTTGAGCTCCTGACATTTAAGATATTTTTTTACTCGGTGTAAAATTCTACGTTGGAAGTTATTATCTTTCAGCAATTTAAAATTTAATTCCATAGTTTTTGAGCCTCTACTATGACATTTTCCCCCATGGATTAGTTTGCTTTCATTTTTTTCCAGCACTTCCTTACATTTTGGCAGTACAGGGTGCTGTTAAATCAACTTTAGCTTAAAGCTGCCTCCTTACATATTTTAAATTCAGCCTAAAGGTTTCTCTGTGTATAGTGAACTATAACCTAAATGGAGGTGTAAGCCAACTATAACCTACTCTTCTGCCAATCACCGAGTTTTGGCCAATCAAATGGGACCAACTGTTCAAACTGCGTTCAAATACTGTGTTCAAAAACTGTGCTCAATTAAACTCCTTTAAATTTAATTTGGCTAAGGATTTTCTTCTAATAGTGCTATAGGCTCATCTTGTATATTTCCTTTCCCAGTCCTAGAACCAGCACTTTCTTCAAGGAGTCCTGGTTTCTTTTGTTGGAGAAAGGTATTAGGTGCTAAGTGTGCTCTTTTGCTCTATCATGTCTTTTTTTTTCCTCCTCCTGCTTTACTGCATCCTTTGACATTAAATGTTTTCTAATATAATATTTTATTTTATTATTTTTACTACATATTTTTGAGTTGTGAATCTTAACTTGTCATAATCTACTTCTGATAAGTTAACTGATACTGTTATAGTAGTCAGGCAGACATGAGCAGGGTAGGAGAGTCCCCCTCACCCCCTCACCAGGAATGTCAGATGACCATCAGGTGATGGTCAGGCAGTTGTTAACTGTCTCTCTAAAATAATTGGTTGCAGCCAGCACCAGGGAAAGGCAGTCTCCCAATAGATAGAAAAAGCCTGAAACTGATGATGAGCAGCTTCCTGATAACATCTCAGGAGTTGGGTGAATGGGCTCACTCATGTGCACTAAGAGACAAAATTGTGGTGTTTAACTGGTGTATGACCTTCTAGGAACATTCAACTGGTAGGGGAAGAACACCTCAAGTGAGCATATGTACAACTCCAGTAAACACACTGTGCATGCGGCCCCTCCCAAGTGCTGACGGGCCACTGCACTTGTGGACAGTTCACTCCAGTGGAAGAATCAGGGGAGAAGAGATGCAGATCCTGGAAGAACTCCAACATATAAAACCCCAAGTCAAAGATCAAACTGTGCACTTGACTCTCTCAAGTTGCCCACTTGGCCCTTTTTGAAGTATACTTTACCTCCTTTGATTCCTACCCTAAAACTTTTTAGTAAATTTTCACGCCTGCTCTAAAATTTGCTTTGGTCTCTCACTCTGCCTTATGCTCCTCAGTCAAATTCTTTCTTCTGAGGAAGTAAGAATTGAGGTTGCTGCAGACCCGTACATACATACAGATTTGCTGCTGCTAGCATACTTTGGTGCCACGTGACTCAGATACATTCCCTTAGTGCTAACAAAACTAACTTAATTCCAGTGAAATACAGAAATGTTACTCCTATATAACCCCTTTCCCTCTTTTCGTGGTATTGTCATACATATTATGTGATATCTATTATGAATGCAACAATGCTTTATTATACTTATGGTGACATAACATTTTTATGTTTTCTACTAAATCTGAGAGAAGAAAGACAAAACAAGGTGTATTTATAGTTTTCGTTATATTGAGTTGTAATTTACCATTTTTTGGTTGTCTTCATTTATTCCCATGGATTCTTTAAATATTTTTTCTGCTCTTTTCTGTCTTGAACTATTGGCTGGTTTGAAGTATTGGCCGGTTTGCTTAATGGTGTCCCACATTTCTCTGAAGCTCTATTCTTTATTTTTCATTATATTTTTTCTCTCTGTTCTTTGGATTAAATAATCTCTATCAATCTGTCTTCAAGTTCATTAATTCTTTCTTCTGCCAGTTCAAATCTACTCGAGTCCCTCTAGTGAAATTTTTATTTTAGTTATTGTACTTTTCAACTCAAGAATTTTCATTTGGTTCTTTTTAATAACTTCTCTTTACTGATATTTTCTGTTTGATGAGACATTTTCATCATACTTTCCCTCCTTAATAATGGTTTCTTCTAGTTCTTTGAACACATTAAGAATTACTACTTTGAAGTGCCAATTAAATCTGATATTTGGTTGCTCTCATAGGCAGTTTCTATTGCCTGCTTTTTTTTCTCTGTGTAGATCAGGCTTTACTGTTTCTTTGCATGTCTCATAATTTTTGGTTGGAAATTTAACACTTCAGATAATATATTGTAACAACTCTGAGTACCGCTCCACCCACTCTAGGGCTTTTTATTGTTTACTTCTTTATTTATTTATGGACTGGCTATATTAGTGAAATCTATCCCTCTCCCCTTCTGTCCTCCCTCTATCCAATCCCTCAAGCAGTGTGAAACCTCTGTTGTTGTTCCTAAGAGGATATACCCTTGGGTATGTCCATAGTCACTCTTTCTGTGATGACAGTAATTTTTGTAGGTCTCTCTTTGATCATCTCTTTCCCTGATCACACCCAGCTGTTAAACTCCACTACTTGCTGGCTGATTGCTCTATTGCTTACAACAATGCACTGTGGAATAAATTACTTTACAAACTTATACAATTACATTTATAGTTCTTTGTAGGGATAGTTTTTGTGATGTTTGGGATTGGTCTTTTATATTCTTCTTAAAAAGGAATATCAAAGGACATACTGTGAATTAAGAAATGTATTCGAGAAAATTTACTAAAATTTGGCAACGACAGCAAGAGACTGTGGTATCTGAACTGCAACCAGACAGCATGATAGAAATTCCACTCCAGGCTGCTGCAGTCAAGTACATAGGGTTTGCTGTGTCCCCAGCAACCCGTCGGAGGGCTATAGTATCTTCCCAGGAGAGGTAGGACATCAGCATTTCTCATTCTATCCCCAGCTACCTGTTGCAGAATGTATGTTTTGGGTGAGTGTTGGCAAAAGGTAGGGCTCCCTTCTTCTACTGAGTCCCCTGTCAGAGGATAAAGACTCTACCTCGGGTATACCAGATCACCTCTACCCAGCTCATAAGGCCTAGGTTTCATACCAAGAGAAGCAATCCAAAAAGACCTGAGACTACTAACTGTCCCCTACCCCCAGGGCACTTAGCTCTTAAAGGAGGCGTGTCACATGGAAAAAAGAACACCTCTTTTCCTGTTTCCAGGTCTAGAGACAGCTCAGAGATTTTGCCCTTGGGGAAAGTCAAGTCTTAATACAGAGCTAGTTCCAAATCTCTTTTCAAAAGAACTGACTGTTTGCAATAGAGTGTCAGGAACTTCAGGCCTGAAGACATTGTCAGAAACAATGGCGGTTATGGAGAAAAGCAAATAAGAGGTGACTGGTAGATTCACTAGGGGACTCTGTGGGTATCTTAGATTTAATTTTCATCAATTTTGATTTAAAATTTAAAATTAAATTTTAAATTAAATTTTGATTCAAGATTTAAAATTTTCATCAATTTTGGAAAATTTTTGGCTTTCATTTCTTCAGATAATTTTGCTTCCCCTTCTTTTCTTTGGAGACTACAATTATTTGTATATTTTATCAGCACTCACTGATGCTGTTTTCATTTTTTAAGCTTTTTCTCTTCTATGTTTTATTTTGGATACTTTCTATTCTATGTCTTTAAGTTCACTAACATTTTCTTTTCTAGCTTTGAGTCTGCTGCGAATCCTACCCAGTGTATTTTCGTCTCAAATATTGTAGTTTTCTTCTTTAAAAGTTTTTTTTGGGTATTCTAATATCTTCCATGACTCTACTTGTCTTTTTGAATATATAAAAAATTATTATAATAACTGTTTTAGTGTCCTCAAAGTTATAACTGTTTTAGTGTCCTAGTTCTATTATTTGTTTTATTTGTGGGTCTATCCGGTTTTTTTCCTCGTTCTGAGTCCTATTTTCCTGCTTCGTTACATGCTTGATAATTTTTGGCTGAATGCTATTGTTACCAGGGGTCCTTGCTCACAGAGCTCCCAAGATGGTGGCAAGCCACTTCCAAGATGTTGGCAGGCCGCTTCCAAGATGGTGGCAAGCCTCGTGTTCTCTGACCTGGGGTTCTTGGCCTCACAGATTCCAAGGAATGGAATCTTGGGCCATGCGGTGAGTGTTATAGCTCTATTAGAAGCCGTGGGTCAAGGAAGAGAACCGTGGAACCCAGTGACTAGTGTTCAGCTGGATTAGGACGAACCCGGGCACTTAGCCGTGCAGGAACAATGGCAAGCCTTTAGTCCAATCAGGAGCGGCAATGGGCACCTCGCTGGATCAGGAGCACAGCGGACACACCCTGCTGGATCCGGAGGGATGGGAGTCAGCAGCAGGTGTGCGACGGCGGCAAACAGCAGTGGTGGATGGCGAGCCAAAGCTCAGCTCGAGCCGTAACAAACATGGACCAGAAGAGTGCAGTTGCAAGATTTAATAGAGTGAAATAGAGTGAAAACAGAGCTCCCATACAAGGGAAGGGGACCCAAAGGGGGTTGCCATTGCTGGCTCGAATGCCTGGGTTTATATCCCGATCCTTGTCCCTCCCGCTGTGCTCTCAGGCAATAGATGATTGGCTATTTCTTTACCTCCTGTTTTTTGCCTAATTAGCATTTTAGTGAGCTCTCTGACTGGTTAGGTGTGAGCTAAGTTTCAAGCCCCGTGTTTAAAGATGGATGCGGTCACCTTCCCAGGTAGGCTTAGGGATTCTTAGTCGGCCTAGGAAATCCAGTTAGTCCTGTCTCTCACTATCAATGAAAAGACTCAAAGTCTGTAAAATAGTCGAAGAAATTTATTCTGAGCCAAATATGAGTGACCATGGCTCATGACACAGCCCTCAGGAGACCCTGAGAACATGTGCCCAAGGTGATTGGGTCACAACTAGGTTTTATACATTTGAGATACCTGTAAGAGGTACATTGGTTTGATCTGGAAAGGCAGAACAATTTACTGAAAATGGAACGGGGTTGGGGGGCGGGGGGCTTCCAGGTTATAGGCATTCAAAAATTTTTCTGGTTGGCAATTGGTTGAAAGAGTTTATCTAAAGACCTGGAATCAATAGAAAGAAAATGTCTGGGTTAAGATAAAAGATTATGGAGACCAAGGTTCTTATTATTCAGATGAAGCTCTAGGTAGCAGGCTTCAGAGAGAATAGATTGCAAATGTTTATCAGGCCTAAAAAGGTGTCACACTCTTAGTTCTTTCCTGGATCAGGAAAAAGGCCTGGAAAAGGGAAAGGGGATTCTCTACAGAATGTAGATTTTTTTTCCCCCCTACAAGAAACAACTTTGTAGGGCTACTTCAAGATATGGTAAAAAAATGTTTTGGGGGTTAAAATATTTTTATTTCCTTTCTTATCTGTCATGCTGTTGAAATGGCTATGCTGTCTGGGGTATATACCCTGGGGTTCATTGTCACACGCTGAGAAAAAATTCGGGACATGGACACATGTGGGTGTGTTAAGGAGTGGAAAGTTTAATAGACAGAAGAAAAAAGAGGAGAGCAGCTCCTTGCAAGAGACAGAGAGAGAGAGAGAGAGAGAGAGAGAGAGAAGAGAGAAAGGTCTGAAAAAAAGGAGGGAGGCGGCGGACCACAGCAGATTTTATAGGCAGGCTAGAGAAGGTGGTATCTGATTTACATAGGGCTCACAGATTGTTTCAATCAGGTATGACAGCTACATAGTACGTGGGAAAGCTGGTCACCCCACCCTAATCTTATTATGCAAACGGGCTTTCCAGTTGATTGGCGCCATTTTGTCTGCTTTTTACTGTATGCGTAGCTGACAAAGAGAAGGGAAGATGAAGCCACCATCTTGAACATGATTGGCACAACTGCCAGTATCTAGGTCAGCAGCTCAATTTTACAGGCTGCTCTTCGTTAGAAAGGAAAATAATTTGGGGCTGCTTTTCATTAAAAAGAAAAGCCTTACTGAGGACTCCAATACCCTTACTATCTGTCTAAGTAATTTCTTCTTGACTCCAGTATCATTATGTTATTCCAGAGTCAGATTGGAAAGTAAGCCACATAATATAGGGTTAAATAAAAACCCTCTGATGAGATTTTATGATTTATAGGGCATGACTCCTCAGGCCCCTTAGATAGGAACTTGGGCAAGAGAAGAAAAAAAGTCAGAATTTAGTCGTCAATGCTACACATTGTGGATTATGTCTTGCTGATTATTTTTGTATTCCTATGAATATCCATGACAGTTTTTTTCCATGATGCAGTTAGTTTACTTGGAAATAATTTGATTTTATTGGGGTTTCCTTTTAAGTTTTATTAGGTATGATTGAAGCCACCATTGTAAAATTATAACTGAGACAGTGAAAGAGATCTGATCTAACCAACTCCATCTTGCTTCTGACCTCCAAGCTGTACTTGTTCATTCTTGGGCATAGGCTGAACTAACTTTATAAGGAACTTAGTTTATAGTTTGAAAAAAAAGATGATAACAGCCTTTTCCCAAAACAAACCCTTTTCTTGCCTGGGGACCATACTGCCTTTGTAGGATTAACAAATTATTCAAAAGATTAGAAATTATGGTTTAGGAGTCATGCAGCTGGAGGCTGCAAGATTCTGACCCTCTCCAAATTGCTTCCTGGGGATATCTCTGATTATAACAGAACAGTGCTTGAGACATTTTGCAGATGCTGCCCTTGATGGTACAGCTGGTACCACCCAGACTGATAAACTGGCTCAACTGATCTTGTGGCCCCTACCCAAGAACTGACTCAGTGCAAGAAGACAGCTTCCACTCCCTATGACTTCATCTCTGACCCAACCAATTAGCACTCCCGACTCACTGGCCTCCCCTTGCACCCACCAAACTATCCTTAAAAACTCTGATCCCGCATAGCTGGCCCTATGTGAGTTACTCTTTCTCTATTGCAATTCCTCTGTCTTGATAAATTGGTTCTGTCTAGGCAGTGGGCAAGGTGAATTAGTTGGGCAGTTACATGGTCAGTGCAGCCTCCAGGCCTAATTTTGTACCTACTAAGGCAATAACTTCTAAGTCTTCTACTCAAATCTCCATAAATTACAAGGCTTTTTTCTCATCGTAGCTAGTGGATACACAAACTATTGCCAGTTCCACGTTAGCTCCAGAGATTGTTGCCTCTAATTCTTTCAGGTGTTTCCCCACCCCCATCCCCATTCACTGGCCTTGGATATTTTCCTCCTACACATGCTCTGATTAGTACTTGTCTAAAGAATTGAGGGAAACCCTTTGCAGATATTTACAGCTCTTTTCCACCTAAGTTCTCCTCTCCCTGTGTTATAGCCTGAAAACTCTCTCCAAGAAGAAATTAGCACAGCCAAAGGGCTCACATTTTTGTTTCTCATTTCTCTCAGAGCATTGTCCTATGCTACCAGATATCCAATATCTGAAAAACATTTTTATATATTTTGTCCGATTTTTAAGATTTTATGTGGCCTGAGAGTAAATCTGGTTTCTGAAATTCAATTTTCGACAGAAGCAGAACTCGAATGTTCTGACTTTTAATTTCAGTTTTCATAATTTTTAGGTCTAGAATTACTACTTGATTAATTTGTATAGTGATCAGTTCTCTGATAATACTTCACATTTTAATTTTTTTTTTTTTTTTTTTTTTTTTTTTGAGACGGAGTCCCGCTGTTTAGCCCAGGCCGGATTGCAGTGGCGCAATCTCGGCTCACTGCAAGCTCCGCCTCCCAGGTTCACGCCATTCTCCTGCCTCAGCCTCCCGAGTAGCTGGGACTACAGGCGCCCGCCACCGCGCCCGGCTAATTTTTTGTATTTTTAGTAGAGACGGGGTTTCACCGTGTTAGCCAAGATGGTCTCGATCTCCTGACCTTGTGATCCGCCCGCCTCGGCCTCCCAAAGTGCTGGGATTACAGGCGTGAGCCACCGCGCCCAGCCCATTTTAATTTTTTTAACTTCAAAATCTGAGTCTCTTTGTTGATCTGTTCCGATTGTCTATGTTTTTTCTTTTTTTCTTAGATTCATTCAATTATTTCCTAATGACTTTTTAGATATTTATATGATGAAGATTTTTTAAAAACATACATAAAAGTATAAAGCATACAGAATAATACAATTAATCTTTTTTTTTTTAGGGTTGGGGTCTTGCTCAACTGTTGCTCAGGCTAGAGTGCAGTGGCATGATCATGACGCACTGTAGCCTTGAACTTCTGGGCTCAAATGATCCTCCCATCTCAACCTCCTAAGTAGCTAGGACTACAGGCATACACCACCATGCCTGGCTAATTTTTTAAGTTTTTTTGTAGAGACAGGGTCTCGCTATGTTGCTCAGGCTGGTCTTGAATTCCTGACTTCAAGTGATCCTCCCACCTTGGTCCCACAAAGCACAGGGATTACAGGTATGAACCACCACACCTGGCCTATAATTAATCTTAAAATACTCATCAGCAATCCCCAACAATCATTATCATGTGGCCCATCCAGTTCATCTACTTCTCTCATTATTTAGAACCAATCACAGATATTATAGTACTTCTTCAATAAATATTTCAGAATATATCTCTAGAATATAAGAACACTTTTACAAAATGGCAACCACAGTATTATTATTAAACATAAATATTAACTATAATTTTATATCATAAAAGTTAATGTTCAAAATTTTCATTTTTCCAAAAATATTATATTTTTTACATTTAAAAAATAAAGGTTAATATAATGTCCACATATTGCAACTGACAGGTATTTTTAATGATTTTTAAACTGTAGATTCACACTTGGTTTTTCCATTTAATTTATTTATTGCAAGAAAAAAAATTGGTTGTTTGTCATGGATAGTTTCCAAAGACTGGCTTTTTTTTTTTTTTTTGAGACAGAGTCTCACTCTGTTGCCCAGGCTGGAGGGCAGTGGCATGATCTCCGTTCACTGCAACCTCCACCTTCCAGGTTAAACCGATTCTCCTGCCTCAGCCTCCCAAGTAGCTGGGACTATAGGTGTGCACCACCACACCTGGCTAATTTTTGTATTTTTAGTAGAGATGCGGTTTCACCACGTTGACCAGGCTGGTCTTAAATTCCTGACCTCAGGTGGTCCACCTGCCTCAGCCTCCCAAAGTGCTGGGATTACAGGAGTGAGCCACAGTGCCTGGCCCATAGACTGGCTTTTACAGAATACTTCTGTATAATGTAGATGAGCATATTCCACAAAATATACTGTCCTCTATATTTTGTCGGAATCAGAGGTTGGCAAACTACAATCCTTAGACCAAATATGGCCAGTCACATGCTTTCGTATAACCTATGAGTTCATTTTTTTTTAATAGTGAAAATTTTTTTAAAGTAATAGTAATCACATCTAGCCCATAAAATTTAGAATATTTACTCTGTTTCTTCCTCTACAAAAGATGTATGCAGACTCCTACTCTTAATTAATAGCTGGATCCAGAGACACGAACTGATTCATTCATGTTCATGATTTTTTTTCTTTTGGTTTTTGCTAAGTTACTTCATAAGCTGTCATGGCTTCTTCCATCACACAATGTCTGGTTGGTTTTAACTGGCTAGTTTTCATTGACTGTCAGACATTGTGAATGAATAAAAATTAGATACTTAAAATCGGAACAATATTACTATTATCCACCTTTTTACAAGTGATTTACACTATGGGCAGATTACCTTACCCCAATCAAGGAATGTACTGATTCAAAGCTATGCTTCAGTTCTTATAAGAGCTAATCTATTTTTATTACCTCAGTACTCCTAAGGTGTATACTTTTCCAATCCTAAATAAAAGCTTGAAGTGATTATCAGGACCCATCATCCTTTTGGAGCTTTGAACTTCAATACATTTTCTCAGGCATGTGAGACTACCAGAGGTTCCGTTCTTTAGGTCTTTCAGCTGTTATTTCTGAACTACAACTCCCTTAGGAAAGTTACGCCAAATGGTAGGCCTCTGATTCCCTTCTCTCTGGAATGTTAGTCCCACCAGTACTTCTTGTATTTTTAGCTTTCCAATGCCTTCAGATAGGTTTGTCTAGCTTTTTCTAGTATTCTCAGCAGGGGTATCAGTGCAAAACAAACTAGTGCATCATTTCCTTAACTGGAAGTTGCATATTTTATTTGAGATGCCCGTGCAACCCCCAAAAAGGAAATGTCTTGAGGGCAATTAAATATAAGAATCTGAAACAATTTCACTGCCTGCCTTTTAAATATTGGTCTTTACCCAAATCTTTTCTCATCTTCCTGTCCTTGGGTGGTCTCATAACTCCCTATGGTTTCATTTACCATTTATATGTTGATTGCTCTTCATTCTAATATTTTTGGTCCTGGGCTTTCTCCTGAGATCTAGACTTGAATTTTCAACTGTTTATTACATATCCACTTTGCAATCAAAACCGGCATGTTGAAACAAGATCTCTTGATCTTTCCCCAACCCCACCGACCAACTTCTTTATTCTGAGTTGAACTTCTTGTTCCTTAACACTGTCATCTAATTCTTCAGGCCTTCCCTATATTTCAGTGTTAACATATGATATTTAATAATAATGTGATTTGGGTATGATTTATGTAGAAGCTTTCAAAAATCAAATCCATAGACTCATAAAAAACTATTTTTTAATCCTTAAAAATATAATAATACCTATGCTAAATTGGCATTACACATTTATTGGTATGGAGAAACTTAAATTTACTTATGCTCTTCTAAAGTTCTTCATTCTGGATATTTTTATTATTTTAATTACTTTTAAAACTACAATTTTCTCTTTAATTTCATCGATTTATATGCCTATATTAACGTTGCTAGATTTTCTGACCCTTTTGAAAACTTTTGCAACCTTTACATGAACAACACATGCAACCAGAAATTTATGCGATTCCAAGAGAGGACTAGAAAATTGGTGCTTCCAGCTTACGTTTTTAAAACCTCATTTTAGTTTTCACTAGTGATTGTAATGATAAGTTTTTAAATTATACTAAAATTATAACCATAATATTCATACTATTCCCTAACTGTTCCCTATAGCCCTGTCGTCTGAATGGAACAGCTGTCTGTATTTCATAGATTGATTTAAAATGTTTAGGTCTTGTTCAAATGGTCCTCCAGTTATTCCTATGTTTATAACTCATCTAATCACGAAACATTCAAAGACACACTATATGTCTGGTATGAACCACAACTTCATCTTTTGTAAGGTAAAATTATATATGGGCATTGTATTTATTGCTTGTAGGCATTGCCTAATTTTTTTTTATAAATAAAACAGCAGTATGAGTCACTATTAGCTTCTTAAAGGTAGAGACCTTGTCTGTCTTGTTTAATTAAGCATCCTTAGTGCTTAGCAAATAACTATGCTAAAACCTATTTGCTGCATCCCAAATGTAGAGAAGTTTTATGTTAATATGACTGCCTGAATCTGAAAGCCCCAAGAATTACAGGTTTATATCAGGAGTAAAGAGATAGAAATTTGGAGTATTGGACACTTAGGAAACTAGAGGTGGTTGCCCCAGTGAAGAGATTTGATCAGCCAAAAGAAAAAAGGACAACAATGAGTGCTTGGAGAAAAAGGAGAGAGAGTTCAGAAAATAAAGCATAGGAAAGAAGGTTAGAAGGTCTTTGACTTAATCAAAACCTCATCCCTACCCTGATGAACTACCATTCTAAGGCTGAAAATCAGCAAAGACTTTTTCCTACTTATTAATCATCTTTCCAATTCAATGCTTTTTTGTCATGCCTACTATTGCAAATCTAGTAAAGTTTTCATCATCTTTTGCCAGGTTATTTACAATAATTCTCATTGAATGTAAGTTTCACAAAAGCAAGAATAAGTATCATCCATGGATAAATCCTCAGAACTTGGAACAATGCCAAACACATAGCATGCCTTCAATTACTATCCTATTCATTCATTCAAAAAATATTTTTGAGTACCTACTATGTGCCAGGCACTGAGGTAATAAAATGGAAAAACAATGAAAGCAATTTAGGCACTATTCCTACTCTAATGCAAATGAAACTTTCATTCTAGTGGTATTATAAATAGTAATAGTAATAAACATGAATATGTAGCATATTTTCAAGTAGCAGATACGTTCTAACAAGAAAGGAAAGCAAGAGATGGAAAAAGAAGATGCTGAAGTTTGGATGTTTGACTTCTTCAAACCTTATGTTGAAATTGGATCCCCAATGTTGGAGGTGGAGCCTAACAGGAGGTGTTTGGGCTGGGGGCAGATCCTTCATGAACAGATTAATGCCCTCCCTGAAGGGAAGGAGGGTGCTGAGTGAGTTCTCACTCTATTTGTTCTGACAAGATCTGATTGTTAAAAAGAGCCTGGCATTTCTTCACTTTTTTTTTTTTTTGAGACAGGGTCTTACTCTGTCGCCCAGGCTGGAGTACAGTGGCATGATTTTGGCTCACTGAAACCTCCGCCTCCCAGGTTCAAGCGATTCTCATGCCTTAGCCTCCCCAGTAGCTGACATTACAGGTGTGCACCACCTCGCCCTGCTAATTTTTGTATTTTTAGTAGAGACGAAGTTTCTCCATGTTGGCCAGACTAGTTTCGAACTCCTGGACTCAAGTGATCTGCCTGTCTCAGCCTTCCAGAGTGCTGGGATTACAGGCGTGAGCCACTGCACCTGGCCACTTATTCCCTACTTTCTTTCCTTCCTCTCATCATGTGATGTATACACTTAGGCTCCCCTTCCACTATGAGTGGGGGAAGCCTGAGTTCCTCGTCAGAAGATGTTGATGCCATGCTTCCTTTACACCTAGCAGAACTGTGAGCCAAATAAACTTCTTTTCTTTATAAATTACCCATCCTCAGGTATTTCTTTATAGCAACACAAAACAGACTAAGACAGAACACTCTGAGTGTTGAAGGTCATTTTACACAGAGTTTTCAGAGAAGGACTATCTGAGGAGGTGACATGTAAGCAGAGATGTGAATAAAACAAGGAAGCAAGTCATGGGCAGGTCTGGGGAAAGATCATTCCAGGGTCAGAGAACAGTAAGCACAAAGGCCTTGAAGTGATCTATCTAGAGTAGAATGGGAAAGGCAAAGACTGTTAAAAGTTGTAGTTTTTAAGTAACAATGGGGCCATATCATGTGGAACTTTGTTAAAAAAAAAAAAAAATACTTGAATGACAGGCACACCAACAGCTTATTTAACTCAGCCCACTCTATCAAGGCCACAGTGGCTGCCAGATGTTAACCTTGGTGAAGATGCTGAGATTTATTACAGGAAATTGTGCTTCATACTGATATAATCAGACTAAGGGAAAAAAAATGCAGCCTCTGTTCCTGCTAAGCAGTGCCAAATAAGTCAGTCTGTATCTCTGGACCTCTCTCTGCTGACTTAGAAGAAAAAAGAGTTGTCAAGGGCAGATTAGCCAAGGGGCTGAAAGGGCTCCCTGAAGTACTGTAAAGTCCAGCTGAAGCACAATAGAAGAGGCTGCAGAACTAGGAAAGAAGTCAAAGTGAAATCTTAGGACTAGGAAAGCTATGAACAACTGTCCTTGTCAGTCACATCCATTCCTTTAGTTAACAAAAAGCTCCAAAGGGCACTGCTAAATATTATGTGAGAAAAATAGCAATTTGGAGATACTGGGAGTCATAGAGAATTTTGTTTTTCCTGTGTACTAATACTGATTTCCACAACAAGGTAAATGGTGGATTTCATGAGACTCCAAGTTGAAGTAGATACTGTAAATTAGCTAGAAGTTTAACTAATTATTCCCCGTAAGTCAGTAAGCTTACAGAAAAGGAGTAGTGCCCAAGAGATATGATTATATTCAAAATCTGTGAACCAAAGAAAGAAGTGTATATTCAAGTAGGAAGTAATCAGTGCTCCACATTGTATAGCCACTCAAGCAAAACTGTTATTTTCAGAGGAAATTAAGCATATATTTATTTGAGGGAAGAATGTGGCTTTGCATATAGAGTTAGGCTCAATACATGACAAAACAATATTGCACTTTGCCTCCCAGATTAAAATTTACTAATTTAAAAAATAATAGAGTACTTAAGTTTTGAAACTCCTGGCCCCACGATTCCAACCCCAACAACTGAGAGAAACATTAGCAAACTCAGAAAATGTGTATTGCGATAACACCAGTCTTGCTAATTCTAAAGCTTTATCCAACTGATTAAACCTGATGTTATAAAAGCCTACTTTGAAGAAAATTATTGAGTCAATTCTGTTATTTTTAACTCAGGGAGGGTACCTCTCCTTGAATTCATTTGATGGAGAGGTTCAATAGACACAGAGAAAAGCAGTTCTCTTGTTTTTAAATCATAGACAATGAAATTCACCATTACAACCATCAACATCAGTGTCAACAAAGTTAACCAATTACATAGTACATCAAACTCTGTGATGAGTTATCCATTGGTTGAATTAGGAAGCAGGGTTGGAGAACACAGATTGTCTTTCCAAGATGTTTTTGAGATCACATCCATCATATCATTCATTCATTTATCAAACTTGTAAATCTCTGCTATTTGCAAAGCATACTCTGTGTGTGTGTGTGTGTGTGTGTGTGTGTGTGTGTGTGTGTGTGTGTAGTCATGCATTTCTTAATGATGGGGATACATTCTCAGAAATGCATCATTAGGTCATTTCATTGTGTGAACATCATAGAGTGTACTTACACAAACCTAGATGGTATAGCCTACTACCCACCTAGGCTATATGTTATAGTCTATTGCTCCTAGGCTACAAACCTGTACAGCATGTGACTGTACTGAATACTTTAGATAACTAATACAATGGTAAGTGTTTGTGTATGTAAACATATCTAAACCTACAAATGGTACAAAAAATACAGTATTATAATCTTATGGGACCACTGCCATATATGGGGCCATATATACATACACATAGATATATATATATGTATGTATATATGTATATACGTGTGTGTGTGTGTGTGTGTGTGTGTGTATTCACCTGGACCCAGTTCTAAGTATTCAAGAGGTGGTACACAATAGTTGATTAATAAATATTTGTTTGAGTGAATAAGTGAAAGAACAGGTTCCTCCAATTCGAGTTTAGAGTTTAAGACAGATATCTCTCCTCATTAATATGAAAGCAAAAGTATAGGAATAAGGCATAGATAGTAGAATGATATAGTATCAATACTTCTATTTCTAAAATTCTATGATTCTACATTAAAGTATTAGTAGCCAAGCATGTATGTCTCTTTAATGGAAGCCAAGCATATATTTCATCTGCTGATCAGGAGTAAATGCATTCTAAAAATGGGGCAAGAATAAGTTCACACTTAGGACAAATTCGAAAAAAATAAAGGAGGCCAAAGACTCTTTTCTGAAAATCAGATTACCATGAGTTTTTCCTGAAAGAAATGGAGTCCCAAGAACTGTTGAAGAAATAAGTGTATGACATTGGCTGTTGGTTTTTTGCCCCTCCCCCTTATAGTGGTGGCGTTAGGGGCTTGGAATTATCTGTTGCTTTGGGCGTACGAGTCTAGCATTCAAGAAATGTTTAATTTCTAGGTACTTTGCATCAATAAGATGTGCTGACAACATACAGTAGATAATGCTACAGGAAGGGCAACATTCTTCCTATAATCATAGGTAACTGGGAGAATATAATCAATTAATTTTGCTTAATTATTACTGTTTAAAATAGAAAAATGATGCCACTAACCAGCTTTGTAACAGTGGTCACTTAACTTCTGGGGCTTTCGTTTCCTCATAGTTAAAATGAGACTTTCTTGTGAGCTGATGCCCAAAGTTCCTCCTTGGTCTCTAATTTTATGTTTCTAACATTTGGCAAGTTCAACTTTTAAATCTTTGTGCTTTAAAAGTAGCAACTGTATGGTTCCTCATTTACATTGAATTGCTTCCCTGTAAACATCTCTCCCCACTGTCACCCAAGGAACTCCTTTTGTTGTTCGGATAATGAATTACTTTTAATACAGAGATTAGATTTCTAAAATCAAGCTTACTGGAACATTACTTAGCCCCTTCTAATCTTTTCTGGAAGCGAGTGATATATAAATAATAAATAAATGACATGAAAATGAAGCAGCATATTTAAAAGCCCATTTAAACAAATCTTAACAGAGGTTTTAAGCACAGGAAGCAGAGACATCAAAATCTCTCATCCCAGGGAGTTCATTTAGTGGGCTGGGGCAAAGGGTATTCCAGGAATAAAACATTGCAAAAAAAAAAAAAAAAAAAAAACAACTTGGAGGTTAGAACTTGTACCCAAAGATATCTTTAGTTTCATCCAAATGGTAGAGATGATTAGGGTCACAGAGGCTAATCAAGAAATACTGCAACCTAGGCTACCATGTAAAAAAAGTGGAGTGATGTCATGAGCTATAGTTAAAAGTTGAGAAAGAGACAGCTAGACAGACAATCTGATAGTAGTAGCCATAGTAGAGGTAATGGTACTATTACAATTTAGCTCGACCATACTAGAGCCAGGCCCTGCACGAAGCATTTAATACACATTTTCTTATTTATTCTTCATATAACTCTACACAGTTAGTAGTTTCTTCTTCATTTTATAAGTTGAGGAAACTTGAGGCTTAGACAGTTAAATACATTTTCCAAGGTCACACAATTTGTGTGTGTCAGAGGCTGTCTAAAACATCTGCCTAACTCCAGAGTTTTTGTTCTTAAATCCTGCATAAAGTGTATATCGATGTGGTCCTGATGGCTCCAGGGATTTGGTGTCTAGCTTTGCATGCTTAAGAACTCTGTTATAGACATATGAATGTATAATTCTCTTTGACACTTCTTTACTTGAACCCTGTGTTCACACCTCCTTCTATTTTGCCAACATGACTTGTGACATGTTACAATTAATTAACTAAAGCTCATCTTAGCAGTTGCTCCATTTTTGTCTCCTTAATGGAGGCTTGAGTGACACATTCTGCTCCCTTGATGAGATTTATCTCAGAAGGCTGTGTAGGTCGTCAGTAACACGTGTCTTAGTTTGCATCTATTTTTTTAATCTGATCAGTGTCTATTTCAAGAAATAACAATGCTCCCGTTTTTCCAGTAAACATCTGTACTCATGATACAAAAATGAACTTTAGTCATTTAGCTGCAAGATCCAACTTGATTGGAAAATATTAGCAATGCAAATAGATGTTTAAAAGAAAAAAAATCTAAATTTCTTACTATTCTATTGGAATACCCCGTGATCTTTTATAGGCTTATGTTCAGTATGGTTTATGTTTTTCTTGTTGCACTGCTTTTATAAGAGTGACTATTTTCTACACCTTCAATTTGGCTTGTAGTCATTGGACACACAGAGGGGTACAGGTCTATCCCTCTAAACTTATGAGCTATGTTATGTACTTAACAATGCACCAGAATAAATTGACACACTATGCTAGGCAACAGGAATGCAGAAGTGAATTAGAATTTTTTTTTTATTCTCAAAGGAGCTTACTGTCTACTCTAGCATTTCCTAAAATCTATTTTTTATTGTAATATTCTTTGAGGCATTGGATCTTTGAAATCACAGATGCTCTCAATAATCATTAGTATAATCAATATATTTTGTGGCATTAAAAGTTTTGAATTATTAGATGGAGGAGAACCTTGTTTAACTTTTTAACTCAGAGAAACCCAAATTTACTTAATCACAGATCATTTCCTTCCTTCATCTCTCTCTCTTCTCTCTCTCTCTCTCCCTTTAGCACAAATATTAACATTTTGCAAAATGCATACTCTTATAAAACAAACGTTGGAATTTGTTGTCCATTTCATTGCAAAAACAAAATGAAACCAAAAAGAAGTAAGATGAACAGACGTAGTTTCTCTTTCTCCTGACATCAGATCTGGAAAAAAGTTGGCCGGGCGCGGTGGCTCATGCCTGTATTCCCAGCACGTTGGGAGGCCGACGCAGGCGGATCACCTGAGGTCGGGAGTTCGAGACCAGCCTGACCAACATGGTGAAACCCCGTCTCTACTAAAAATACAAAATCAGCTGGGCGTGGTGGTGCATGCCTGTAATCCCAGCTACTCAGGAGGCTGAGGCAGGAGAATCGCTTGAATCCAGGAGGCAGAGGTTGCAGTGAGCCAAGATCGCACCATTGCACTCCAGCCTGGGCAACAAGAGCGAAACTCCATCTCAAAAATAAAAAAGTTTAGCCTACACCTGCATCCTTCTTAGAGGACTGCTGGGGAAAGGCAGGGAGTGTCTATTGTTTACGAAGCAAAATTGTTATGAAATAATTGTTTTTCAACTTTTAAAGGAATATTTACATTTAAAAGTAAGCTTAATATAACTCACTCTATTTTCAAAATTATGTTCTAGACACCTTTCATGTATCTACTTTATATTACTAATATTAACATGGTAACAGGTTGTTCAAAAGTTTTAGTTCTGTTAATCCAGAATTCCTAAACCAAATTACTGGTGAATTTTAACTCTCTGACACTGTTCTTAAATATGACAGGGTTGTTATGGGTAACTGATTTCCAAGTTAACTGAGTCATTATGATTTGTCCACAATAGGTAGACAACGTGTGAGCATTGCATAGTGTCAATAATGCAAAGGCTTTGGGTGTTCTCTTCAAGCAGCAGACTGGAGCAGTGACCTACAGACTCATCCCAACTAGATAACCAGTCTGTGGCTAGTCCTAAAGGACTTGGTCTTGCTCTACCAAGTCCTAAAGCCTTGCTCTATCACTTTGAGATTGTAGTTTTATATTCTTTAGCAAGAAGAATATTTGCACTGTTCTGAAAGGTTAAAAAACAGCCAGTCCTTTTCCCATCGGTAGTTAAAATATAATTTCCAATTTCAGATGCAATTCTCTAAACAGAAGGCACTGTAGGTATTTTTTAAGTTATGATTTTATTAATCCAAGTTACCAAGACAAGTTAACAATTTTATATAAATCAAAAATCTCACAGGGGAATGTGATTTCTAGTTTCAGAACCTCAGAAAGAGGGTGGTATTACGATTTATTATATTTTCAAAGGTATCACATTAGTACGCAATATCATATTCTGCTTTTTTTGTTGGGGTTCATAATTGTGTGGCTCAATAATAAATTAGCATGAAATAGCAATTCTAATCATATCAGTAGGCATGTCCTCAAGGTCAGTTTAATGATTTATGACTGAGAAAATTAGTATAGATTTTATGATTTGTTTAGGTGTCTTTCATGCACAAGGACTAAGAATTCCTCAGGTTTTCCAGGGTACTCAATATTTTAATTACCAGAAAATATCATCGCTGCAAAGTAATTTACAATGAAAGAAAAAACTGCAGTGACATATATTCTGTTTTTATGCATCCATTTTTTCATTTATTAATTCCATGAACATGTACTACTTGGTACTAAGTACCTACTTGGTACTAAGCACTGCACTAAGCAAGGGGAAATAAAGCTGAAGAGAACACAAAATTGCTCTCAGAGTATAGTGGATACAAAGAAACCATAATAGATGAAAGAGTGTAATATCTTACACACTATACTGAAGATGAAAAAAGTGCTATAGGAACACAGAGGCAGAAACAAAAAAGAACTTGTATCAAAGTAGAGATAACTCTAGGAACCAGGTATCAACAAAGTTAAAGTAAGTAGAATTCCAGTACACTTTTGGAGCTGTACAGAGAAGTTCTTTATCTCTATTATCCCTATTATATGGAATTCATCTCATCAGTCATATTAAGATTCTGTTCTAAAATTTGAAATGCTAAGTATAACTGCATCTCTCAGTGTCACAAATACTTTGAGGGCCTCGGTCTCTATACTCTTACAGAATAAAATTATATCCAATCAACATGTAGACTGATTCATAATAATGTTAGTTTTAATATCTAATGTGTATTGTGACTTCACAATTGGAAAGAGTGGAACTTTGCCCTATACATAATAAAAGACATGATTAATTGAAATTTAGTTCAAAACAATGCAGCTTAATTTAACTGTTCATTTCCCACCTATATACCCAATTATATTCTAGTAGAGACCCACACATCCACTGGGTCAGACATAACAGATGCAACAAATTATGGAATATTCATTCCTAAATTAGTGTTGGAACTCATTTAGGAAGAAGTTTGTCTTCATAAACTGCTATTTGATTGACTAGAAATGTATAATAAAAGCATTATAAATGTGACTCGTTCTTTACTGCTGAATGTATGATGGACTTCACAAATTAAAATCCATATGCATTATTCTAGTTGTCAATTCTTTTTTTTTTTTTTTTGAGACAGAGTCTCACTCTGTCGTCCAGGCTGGATTACAGTGGCACGATCTCACCTCACTGCAACCTCCACCTCCCAGGTTCAAGCGATTCTCCTGCCTCAGCCTCCCAAGTAGCTGGGATTATAGGCACGTACCACCACGCCCAGCTAATTTTTGTATTTTTAGTAGAGACGGAGTTTTGTCATGTTGGCCAGGCTGGTCTCAAATTCCTGAACTCCGGTGATCCACCTATCTCAGCCTACCCAAAGTGCTGGGATTACAGGCATGAGCCACCACGCCCGGCCTAGGTGTCAATTGTTTTAAAATAAAATGCTATGGGAGCTTAAAGAGATCATCCAAATTAATTACTACAACCAAGTTTCCCTTATAGAACTCTAAATCTTAGATATGAATTATTTGGGTATTACACCTGACTGCACCAAGTGTGTTATGTGCGTGCTTATGATAATTAAATCCAGAAGTAATTGCCCAGGATTTTATTCAGCCATAATTGCAAGTAACCAAGGGCAGAACCTTGCAGAATCATAATCTGTGGGAGATGTTTTGACACAGAATGACCAAATAAGATACTTTAACAACATAATAGTGTATCTCATAGAAAATAGAGCTGGTGATCCTTGCATCAGAATCAATGGAGAGGAGGAAAAAAACAAACAAACAGAAAAACCAAAAAAACATTGAAAAAGAAGTTGAAAAGAAAAATGACATCATGTGCAGTGGTCTTTTTGCAGGGAGGGATAGACTGTGATCTTTAAGAGCTAAACCAATTAGTATGAAAGGAACTCACAGGGAGCAAGACTGTCACTTTGTCAATCTTAATAATCTTTATTGATTAAATGTGACTGTCACTGACAGTCAAGACAATGTGTCTTTATACAATGGAGCAGAACAAAGCAGAACTTTGACCAGTCAATTTAAGATTCCTCAGGCCCTTTGGGAGAAAAATAGTGTATTCCATTGTAGATTCTGGTTATTTGGAAAATAGTAAGGATTAGATGCAGAATTAATCTGCATCTGGCAGGCACAGGGAGGAAGGAAACTTTCAAAACAATTAAATATTGCTCTTACTATGACCTTTTACAGCCTACCATCTTGTGGGGCCTCCAGGGAATTAAGGTTGCAAGGAATATTCACAATAAAAACTGAAATTTACAAAAGTATTGGTATGGGCCCTAGAGAAAGCCAAAAAACTAATGCAATAATTTACTTCTATTCACTCAATCTTTGTACTTGCTATGCCTTCTACCTAAAACTTTTTCCCTCCCATGACTCCCTCTCTCATTTCATTCAGGTCTCTGCTCAAATATCAATTCAAGCGAGTCCTCTCAGCCCCTCCTTGTGATTATTCTCTTATAGTAAATACTTACAATTTCATATTGCCTTGGCATCCATTCTGAATATAAGTTAGATTTTATCATACCAGAAGCCGGGCTTAGTCGCCCTTGACAATTTCCAGCTCTCCGCCTCCTCTCAGTTCCAGTGTTATCAATCCAAATATCTGTTCTATATAGCTGCCTCCTGGTGACCACTTCCCTATGGGACATATAGAATAACAACCTACTGCACTCACCCCACTCATCCCACATCCCGTATAGACTGCACGGATCTGCCACAGTGACTATGTCTCAGTCACTATCTCTCTGTGACCCCACAGAATTTGTGCCTGCTTGCTTTAAACTCACCAATTAGAACTCTCTTCAGAAAACCAAGGGCAAGGGTAATACCCTTGACCCCAATAAAGGCCTCTGCCCACAGTGATAGAGGCAGACAAATGCCTAGACAGATAGGGGCGGGTCCCTAGCAAAACACCATCTCCAAGTCGAAGACAGTTTATAGCCTGAAAGCCAAGCTACAGATTAAATCGTCAGACTGAATTGAGAACTTGTCTTCCTGTTTGGCATGCTTTCCTCTGATTGGTCCCCACCTTTCGCCTATTTTACATATACCTACCCTTTCCTATTGGTTTTTCTACACTGTCATGCCCACCTTTGTGTGCTGTCTTCGCTTTAACCTTTTTTGCATACTCAAAACTAATCAGCACACTTTCCCCATTCTGAGTCCATAAAGGGCCCCAGACCCAGCCACATGGGGGAACCATTGCCCTCCCCACCTCCCCTCCCCTCCCCTCCCCTCCCCTGCCCTCCCCTCTCCATTGAAAGCCATTTTCATTGCTCAATAAAATTCTCCGCCCTCCTCACTCTCCAATGTCCCACATATCCTCATTCTTCTTGGGCATGGTAAAAGAGCTCAGGAACTCCAAATGCAAGTACAAGCTATAACGCAGGCGAGCTGGGGCATGCCAGCATGGCCGAGAGAGGCCCAGGTGGGGCATCACCACCTGGGGGTCCCTGGCTTGCAAAGTGACCAACAAGAAAAATCCTGCATCAACGGGTTCTCCTCTAACTGGCTCCATATTTCCTGGTTGAGCACAGTGCCCTCTTTACCTTCCAGTCGACCTTCATCAATACCTCTCTTCTCTTGTGGACCTGTAACTGATGCACTGCCTCTGTCTTTTCATTGTTTTGTTGTGCTGTCTCCTCTGTGTCTTACCTGACCCACACACCCACACCTAACTTCTCTCCCAGTCAGAGCTCTCCTAGAGAGTGGCTATCTTGGAAGAATAAACTAGACACAGGTCAGACAAGAGCCACAAGGGCATCTGCCAGTATAAACAAGTTTTCTGTGAGAGGGACACTCGGTCACAGGTCAGACACTTAGGCATTAGCTGTCAGTCAGGATAAAGAAATATCCTGTGAAAGGCACACTGTAAATAACCATGACCAAATCCCCTGGAACCCCATCAGGGCAAGGCTAGAGTTTATAGCCACTCTCCTAAGAAAGACCTCAAGACCAAATTAGAAAATAAAATAACCTCTATATTCTTTTATCCTGCTTTATTTTATATTTTTTCCATAGGGAATTCCACTATTAGACATTGTATTACATGCTTGTTTATTTGTTTATGTTCTGTCTCCCCCACTATCATGTAAGTTCCTTGAGAGCAAAGAATTTATTTTATTAATCTTTATAACCTCATTGCCTAGAATATGCCTTGCATATAGTAGGTTCTCAATAATCATTGGTGCAAAAAATTAATTTAGAGTTTAATATATTAGTTGATCAGATTCTTTCAGTGTAACATACCGTAATTGAACTCCATTTGTATGAGACACAGAATGGGTAAATTTTCATGGGCTGAAAATAGAGAGAAAGGACCTAACCATGAGGTTAATGTCCACATCAGGATAATCAGGGTGGAATACCACAGTATGGATCTTTGGATATTTGGGGGCCCGTGTGAAGGAACTTAAGATTATGATGGAGAATGATAATAAAGAGATGAGTTATAATGGAGATAATGGTAAGGATATATTTTCAAGAAAGCAGTCTGGAGGCAGAGGATCATGAATAAATACAGGTAAATGAAACAAAGAGAAGAAAACAGCAGGACCAAGCATAGGTAAATAGGGCACTCCAGTTTCATACTTGAGTTGTCACAAGGGTCCTGCCTACTTAGTGTGTAGCATTGTCATAGCTTGAGCAATGCTGTTCTCAATAGGGCACTATTTTAACAGTGTTGTGTAGGTCCCAGGAATATCTGAACCCCCTTGCAGAACAGATTAAAGCTAACCATAATCGATGGAGCTTTCTCTTCAGTTGCAAGGGCCTAACTCACAAGAGTATTGATTGCAGTAGACTAGAAAAAGGGTTTCCCATGGACACCCTGGCTGATATTTTCTTGCACAAATAGTGTTTGGGCCTGAAACATAAGGTAAAGAAAGACAATGCCTGAGGAACAATACCAACCCACAGTAATAATATGCCATGCCACCCATCACTTTTTTACTGGGACTCTGATCTGTGCCTATAGACTTGAGTGCATGCAAACTAGTGCCCAGCTAGGCCTAGTGGTGGGGAGCCTCCTTACTCTGATGTTGCTTTTATTTTATTATTATTATTATTATTTTTTGGAGACAGAGTCTCATTCTGTCGCCACACTGGAGTGTGGTGGGGTGATCTCGGCTCACTGCAACCTCCGCCTCTCAGGTTCAAGCAATTCTCTTGCCTCAGCCTCCTGAGTAGCTGGGATTACAGGCGCACGCCACCACGCCTGGCTAATTTTTGTATTTTTAGTAGAAACAGGGTTTCACTACTTTTGGCCAGACTGATCTCAAACTCCTGACCTCAGGCGATCTGCCCACCTCAGCCTCCCAAAGTGCTGGGATTATAGGTGTGAGCCACCACGCCCAGCCTCATTGAGTTTCAAAGTTTATCTTTCATTTTGGGAAGTGACTCCTTTATTTATTTATTTATTGTCGTAGGTCTTTAAATATTAAATTCCAATCTCAGTCCAATAAAGCTACACTTTAAAAAAAGAAAAATGAATTAAGTACCAAATAGTACAAGATTTTGATGTGTGATGCTATCTTTTAAAATTTTTATCTCGAGATAATTATGAGTTACGGGAAGTTGAAAAAAAAAATGTACAGGGAGCTCCCATGCACCATTCATCCAGTTTTCCTCAATGGTAACATTTTGCTTAAGTATAATATCAAAACAAGGAAAATGGGTAATGCTACTTTAAGACGATTTTGCTCCTCCACCCTAGCTGTTTTAGTATGAGAAGCTGAGACGAATTAGGTTTTTGATGTTGGAATCTCATTGTTATCTTATAACTCTTACCTCAGAGAGTCAACTATAATCCATGATTGCATTTTAGCATGATCTATCTGGCATGGAATGACTTAGGATTTAGCCAGGATTTAGGTTATGCTTGATTGGTGGGCCACTGGCAGTAGGAAACCTCAAACCTCCTAAGTTCAGACCTTGATTCAGTTTTGGAATTTTCAGAGCTCTCTCTTTGGACTGCACCAACACAGTTTTAACTAATTTGTTCCCATGATTTGGGTGGCACTAAACATGTCTTTGCCTCAATTTTCTCATAATTTATCCACCTGGCCTCAGAAATTTTGTAAAATACAAATGAGGCAACCTAACAAAAGTCACTTTTAAATTATTTTATTTTATTTTTATTTTTGAGTTGGAGTCTCACTCTGCCACCCAGGCTGGAGTGCAGTGGCATGATCATAGCTCACTGCAGCCTCGATTTCCCAGGCTCAAGCCATCCTCCCACCTCAGCCTCCCATGTAGCTAGGACTACACATGTGTCCCACCATGCCTGGCCACCTTTTTTGATCTTTAGTAGAGACCATGTCTCACTATCTTGCCCAGGATGGTCTCTAACACCTGAGCTCAAGCAATCCTCCCACCTCAGCCTCTCAAAGTGCTGGGATTACAGGTGTGAGTCACCACGCTAGGCCAGAAAAGACACTTTAAAATGTATAAAAGCATTCTGTGTATGCTAAATTTTCTTGTTATGTATATTTATATTTCTTTGAATACTGAATCAAGCACTTTATAGAGTTCCTACTAAGTGTTTCATAAAACCAATCTGTCACCATTACTGTCTGACAGGTTCAAGATACCAAGTGGGAAGGGAGACTGAGTAAGTAACATTGAGTACTTAGTGTCATATACTAGGAATTTCCTTTGGTATTTTCATGTGCACTATGTCATTTAATTGGTACAATCAAACCAAGAGTTAAGTAGTAAAATCCCCAAATCTTGTTTGATTAGGAAGCTGAAATTCACAGACTCTAATATCTTTTGTCTAAGGTCACACTGGTGTTAAGAATAAGAATCAAGATTCAAACTAAGTCTGTGTTCTTTCGGAGCCTATTCTATCTTCTTCCAGAAACATGCCCCTTTGTGGAGAATAACTAAGGTCTCTTTACAAAGTAGTTTGTTGGCTCATCTCGGAGGACACAGACATAGTTTTGCCTAGAGTAGTTAGTTATTCAATGTTGTAGAAATGAATTTGAAGTATTTGTTTTGCAAATTGGCATGTATGCAAATATTGATAACATATATTGACACAAATCATTTCTATTCCCAGCTTTGTTCTGTTTATAAGCCCACTCTGTCTCCTGAAAGCTTGACAAACAGTGTGCTAGAAAAACACATAGTTCCATTCTCAGTTAAAGTCCTTGTTCTTTGATATTGTTTTTATGTAAAAAAGAGAAACTTTTAGTATGACTGAAATCATTGGGGGAAAAAAACCATTCGTTCAAGAAAGCAATACGCAGAGTAATATTTTAGCCAAATTTAACATTCAGACCCTCTTTGGTCACCAAATCTACCTGTCCATACAGTGTGTTTCAGGCAGGAAGTAATGTCTGGTGAGCCTTATGCTGAGGCAGACTGTGGAGAAGTGAAGGTAGATGTGAGAAAACACAGAAGACTTCCAAATCACTGTCAGTGTCAGATTTCAAAATTAGTATCTTACATACGAAACCAGATACAGCAAGAATAGGTTTAAAACCGAAACCTAAGGTCATTTTGGACATGGAGTGTGAGACATGTTAGAAGAATAAGTGTTAAAGCAAACATCCAAATCTTGATATCAGGAAATAATCCATGTGTTGGGTTAAATCAAGCAAGAAGTAGAATAAGTCACAGCTTTAAGCAACTGACAACAGAGATGTAAAAGCAAGTTAGGCAGGGCACAAAAGTGGTAAGAAGATAGGTGTTGGATTCAAACACGTATAAATTCTATTTTTGCAATTTACTACCTATGTGAACCCGAGAAATTTACATTGTGCCTCATTTCTTCAACTTCAAGTGGAAATAAAAAATAATACCAACCTCAAAAGGTTGTAATGAAGATTAAATGAGACTGGCAATATTAATTATGTAGCACAATGCCTGGTGCATAATAATCATTAATTATTATTAATTAATGACTAGGTGATCGCATCGTCTTCTGGCATTTTTTGTGCTGAGGCTAATTCTGAGGCCGGTCTGAGTTTTATTGCTTTAAGGTGATCTGATTTGGGAGCTGGGGTTCTGGATCCTTTCAGAACTCCCATTGTTCATAAAATTTAAAACTTTCAGATAGATTAGTTTAGAGTTTAATCTATCTTCTTTATTTTCTGGTCTATAATAAGTCCTTTCAACTTGTAGATTTCATTCTTCATTCATCTCATTAAACTTTAATTCTAGTATATATTTGCCCATTATTTTTTTCCATTTCCTCTGGTTTACTTTTACCAGTTGTTTGCTATTGGGCAAGTTACATAAACAGTCTGAACTTTAGTTTACTTACCTATAAACTAGATATATTGATAGTACTAACCTCTTCCTAGGGTTATTATGAGAGTTCAGTGGGAGAATGCTTGGAAAGCACTTATCACAATGCTTGGTATCAATAAATATTATTGTTGTTTATATTGTTATTGGCATAACAATAGCTTTCTTATATCTCATGTGAAGGTTAGTTATATAATATATAAAGTTCCTGACACATAATTGGCATTTTACAAGCAGAATTGCGAAGGTCTACAGAACGATTAGTTATCACAATGATTATTATTAACCACAATCATAATAAAACACTCATGATATCCACACAGGGAACCACAAACTCCCTTCACTCTAGCCGATAAATACCTCAGCCTCTTGTTCTTACTCATGGTCTCAAAACAAACATGGGCTAGAACAAGCACCAGCATTTGACCACATGTTATCAGAAAGCAAGGGAGAAGGAAAGGGAAATAATGACTATTTCAAGAAACAGATACAGCTATGTGCTCATTGTCAGCCAAATCACATCACCCAATATAAATAACTTACCGCTTTATTAACTACTTTCTATATTTACAGCACTGTGCTAAGTTCTGTAGAATGAATAAGCTGTGATCCCTACCCTCTAGAAAATAAAAACAAAAAGCTATGGGGCAGTCACTTAGCTAGACGCTTATATATGAAAATAATGCAAGGCAAATTGTGGTTAGTGCTAAATAGAGGTACAGATAAAGTTGTCTCGGGGCATAGAAGAATGAGATAAGAGTAGTTTGTTTTCATAATACTTCCGGGAAAAAGAGAAATACAAATCTAGTTTCAAGGAATTAGGATAAACTAACAAATAGTAATTTAGCTAAGGATAATAATTTCACACAAGCTAAGTAAAAAGAGAAGTTACTTAAAAATATAAAGGCATCAACATTTTTCAGTCGATTTAGTTTACAGAAATGACAATAAAGATCAAGAGGGTATATGAAAGCAGTTCAGATTTGGAAAGGGGACATGATTTATCAAATACCACACAAAGGTTGACTAGAGTAATTTTGGATACAAATCAGAGGGATGGTACATTGAGAAAATGTTACTGGTTTTCTGACAACAAGGCAAAGAATGTAGTGGAACCCAATTATAACACTGAAATTGGGGAACAAAAGTAACATCTGTGTAATAAGCAATCAGTGAGAGAAAGATTATCAGTTCATATGAAAGAGTAATTACTCAAAACCATCTAGGGATGAGGAAGCTGCCTCTTTTTTTGACACAGGGAGAGATTTTACACTTCATGGTTTCAATCTTTGAGAATGAAAATGGGAATGAGAAATAGCTCTGGCAGTTTTCCAAATATCATTCAGGTAATTGACATTAAGTGAAATCTTTATAGGGAATGTTATTTAGGGAATGTCTATAGTTATTTAACAGTTGAAGAAAGGGATCTGTGCTATTGAAACCCTTTCTATTTACATTAAGCAGTAAAGCCACCTTGCAAGTATGCTCCCTGCCAAAGATAGAAGAGACATACTTGCAAAATTATGAAAGATTGAGTGCACTGGCACCTGGCAATACATAGATGAGTCTGAAAAGAGAATGAATATTCCCTCAATGGGAAATTTAGTCTGAAACAAAATAATGACAGTCAGCCAACTGAAGGATTTAGACCTACTTAAAGGATATGTTCACCACTTGGAACTGGAATGTAAGGGCCAAGGTTCCTGCAATTATCCAGTGAAGGGGGAAATGAAATCAAAGTTACTGAACTACATTAGTGACATAAAGTATAAGGTGAATGCAGTAAAGCTTTATTTCCATAACCTCTGCAATGCACCAATAACCTACTTTCTGAAATATACTTTATATCGTTCTCCTATTAATGTTGTATTTTTAGTTGATTGGGTAGGCATGATATTCAAGAATAAGTTGTGTAAGACTTAAGGCTTTGAGATAATAAAAATGGTTCTACTTTAGAGGAATATTGTGATGTATGAATGAGTACAAACGTGTAAGTGTTTAGAACAATTCCTGACACAGTAAGGGCTTGAGAATAGTATCATGTGTTCATGGGAGCCAGGGCTACTTTATCCCTGCTACAACCCACCCAGACAAGCTCCCCATTCAGGACCCCCAGCTATATTCTACATCTTTTCACAGGATACAGTAGCTTGTAATAAATAACTTTCACAACACAGGGGAGCTCAAGGAGACTTCGGTAAGGTGGCAACCTCTGAGGCCTTCTCCTTCCAGAATCTTCCAGAATCCCAAACAAGTAAGACAGAATCCTCCCTGCCTCCAGGAATTTGCCTCAATCAACCTAACTGCCTCTCTTTTTTCTAAAACTTCAGTCCAGAGAGCAAAGATAGGGATGCATCTGCCTTCCTGCTTCTTGTACCTCCCCTTTCTACTCCCCCTATTCCACTCGGGCTAATAGGAACAAATATTTCCCTTTTCCTTGCTATCTGACCATGACTTCCCTGATGTAAAGCTCTAGTCAAAGTGTCTTTGCCTCCTGGTATGGTAATTGGAAATAAAAGAAATTTAGGAAATCCTTTTCTGTCTCCCTGCCCATCTCTCTGTCCCTCCCTTCTCTCTCTGACTTTGTCTTTATCTCTTCCTCTCTCCCCAATACCTGTATTTCATAACTACCATATCACAAAAGGGAACACAGGCTTTGACAGAAGGAGGGAAATTGCTTCTTCTCAGTAGAATATAAGGATAGACGCACATTTAGGTATGGAGTCAAAATGAGGAAAACATGTCAGGGAGTTACCTTATAAAGGTATCTAAGAAGGCAAAATCTGTTGAGAGTAAAGGGAGATGCAGGAGGGTAGTAGGGTTAAGGAGCATGTCCCTATGAATAGCTGACATTAGGAGGAAGTATAGCAACTGACAAGACACTTGTAATGGGTGATTTTTTTAATTTTCTATTTTTAATTATTGTGGATACATAATAGTTGTACATATTCATGGGTACATGTGAGGTTTTGATATAGGCATGCAATATATAATGATCAAATCAGGGTAATTGGGATATCTATCACCTGCAACATTTATCATGTTTTTGTGTTAGGAACATTTCCATTCTAACATTCACATTCTACTCTTTTAGTTATTTTAAAATATAAAATAAAGTATCATTGACTATAGTCACCCTATTGTGCTGCCAAACACTAGATCTTATTCCTTCTATCTAACTATACTTTTGTTTTCATTAACATGTTTATAATCCCCCTTCCCAATACACCTCCCAGCCTCTGGTAACCATCATTCTACCCTCTATCCCCATGAATTCAATTTTTTTTTTAGCACCCACATATGAGTGAGAACATGCAATAGTTGTCCTTCCGTACCTGGATTATTTCACTTAATATAATATCCTCCAGTTCCAGCCATGTTGTTGCAAATGACATAATTCCACTCCTTGTTTTTGGGTGAGTTATCATTTAATTGTGTATATGTACCGCTTTTTTTTTTTTTAGTCTATTCCTCCACTGATGCATACTTGGGTTGATTCCATATCTTGGCTATTGTGACTAGTGCTATAATAAACATGTGCATGCAAATATCTCTTTAATATACTGATTTCCTTATGTTTTGGTATATACCTAGCAGTGGGATTGCTGGATCATGTGGTAGTTCTCTTTTTAGTTTTCAGTAACCTCCATACTCTTTTCCACAGTGGCTATACTAATTTACATTCCCACCAACAGCATATTTTTCCCAAAGGGACCAATGACATACAATGGGGAAAGGACAGTGTCTTCAGTACATGGTGCTGGGAAAACTAGATATCCATATGCAGAAAAATGAAGCCCACCAAGGGCTCCCCTTTCAACATATTGTCATCAGTATCCATTATTGCTTGTCTTTTTAATAAAAGGAATCTTAACTGGGGTGTGATGATAACTCATTATAGTTTTGATTTGTATTTCTGTGATAATTAATGATGTTAAGAATTTTTTCATATATGTCATCTTTCAAAGAATATCTATTCAAATATTTTGCCCATTTTTAAATGGGATTATTTGGGTTTCTTTTCCTATTGAGTTGTTTGAGCTCCTTGTATATTCTGGTCATAAAGCCCTTGTCAAATGGGTAGTTTATTAATATTTTCTGCAATTCTGTGCGTTGTCCGTTCACTTGGTTGACTGTTTCCTTTCTTATGCGGAAGCTTTTTAGCTTGATATAATCCTGTTTGTCCATTTCTACTTTGTTTACCTGTGCTTTTGAGGTCTTACTCAAGAAATCTTGGCCTAGCCCAATGTCCTGGAGTGCTTCCCCAATGTTTTGTTCTAGTAGTTTCATAGCTCCAGGTCTTAGATGTAAGTGTTTAATCAATTTTGATTTGACTTTTTTATGTATCAAGAGATTGGGATCTAATTTCATTTTTCTGCATATGGATATCTAATTTTCCCAACACCATGTATTGAAGACACTGTCCTTTCCCCATTGTATGTCATTGGTCCTTTTATGAAAAACAAATTGACTATAAATGCATAGATTTGTTTCTGGGTTCTATATTCTGTTCCATCGGTCTATGTGTCTGTTTTTATGCCAGTACCATTATGTTTTGGTTACTATAGCTTTGTAGTATAATTTGAAGTCAGGTAATGTGATACTTCCAGTTTTGTTCTTTTAGCTGAGGATTGTTTCGGTCATTCTGAATCTTTCATAGTTCCGTATAAATTTTGCTTTGGGTAGTATGGACATTTTAACAATAATGATTTTTCCAATCCATGAACATGGAATATCTCCTTTTTTGTGTATAGTGTTCAATTTCTTTCATCAATGTTTCATAGTTTTAGTTGTACAGCTCTTTCACATCTTTGGTTAAGTTTATTCTTAGGTATTTTAATTTTTTGTGGCTATTGCAAATGAGATTACTTTTTTGGTTTCTTTTTCAGATTGTTCACTGTTTGCATATAGATATGCTACTGATTTTTGTATGTTGATTTTTATACTGCAATTTATTGAAATTTTTATCAGTTCTTACAGTTTTTTTGGTGGAGTCAATAGGTTTTTCTAAATAGGAGATTATATCATCTGCAAATAAGGACAGTTTGACTTTTTCCTTTCCAATTTAGATGCCCTTTATATTTTTTATCTTGTTTTACTGCTCTGGCTGTAACTTCTAGTACTATGTTGAATAAGAGTGGTGAAAGTGATCATTCATGTCTTGTTCCAGATCTTAGAGGAAAGGCTTTCAGTTTATCCCTATTCAGTATGATACTAGCTGTGAGTTTGTCATATATGGCTTTTATTGTGTTGAGGTATATTCCTTCTATACACAGTTTACAGAGAGATTTTTTTTATCATGAAGGGATGTTGAATTTTTAGAATACTTTTTCACCATCTTTTCAAGTGATCATATAGTTTTGTCCTTCATTTTGTTAATGGTATGTATCACATTTATACATTTGCATATGTTGAAACATCCTTACATCTCTGAGATGAATCTCACTTGATCATGATGAATGATCTTTTTAATGTGCTGTTGAATTTGGTTTGCTAGCATTTTGCTGACGAATTTTGCATTTATATTTATCAGAGATATTGGCCTATAGATTTCTCCTTTTTTAGATCTGATTTTTGTCTGATTTTGGTATCAGGGTAATATTTGCCTTGTGAAACAAGTTTGGAAGTATTCTCTTCTCCTTCTTGCTCCTTCTAAATTCCTATGTGCAAACTAAAAATTGTGTTAAAAATCTTCCTTTTCCTCAAAGAAAACTGCCATCATCAAGAGTTCTGGCACAAAGCTTGTTGTTATCTTTAAGGGCCAGATATTAGTTTATTTTGAGGGTTCCCTAGGAGGGCCGCTGATGTGAGAGAATTTCTTTCCTTACTTCTACCAATTTTAGGTTTTGTTTGCTCTTGCTTTTCTAGTGTTTTCAGAGGCATTGTTGTTTATTTGAAGTTGTTCTACTTTTTTGATGTAGGTATTTATTGCTGTGAGCTCTCTTAATACTGCTTTTGCTGTGTCTCATATGTTTGGTATATTGTGTTTCTATTTTCATTTATTTCAAGAAATTTTTAAATTTTCTTTTCAGTTTTTTCATTGATCAGTGATTGTTCAGGAGCATATTATTTAATTTTCATGTGTTTGTATAGTTTCCAAAGTTCTTCTTCTTATTGATTTCTAGTTTTATTTCATTACAGTCAGAAAAGACGCTTTATATGATTTCAATTTCTTGAATTTTTGAGACTTGCTTTGTAACATAACATATGGTCTTATCCCTGAAAATGAACCATGTGTGAAGAGAAGAATGTGTATTCAGCAGCTGTTAAATAAAATGTTCTGTAAATGTCTATTGGGTCCATTTGCTCTATAGTGAAGGTTAAGTTTGATGTTTCTTTGATTTTCTGTGTAGATGATCTGTTCAATGCCAAAAACAGGGGTGTCAAAGTCCCCAGCTATTATTGTATTGGGGTCTATCTCTCTTTTTAGCTCTAATAATATTTGCTTTATATATCTGGATGTTCTAGTGTTTGATGCATACATATTTACAATTGTTATATCCTCTTGCTGAATTTACTCCATGATCTTCTTTATCTTTTTATACAGATTTTTTTCTCAAAATTTATTTTATCTAAATATAGCTACTCCTGCTTTTTGTTAGTTCCCATTTTCATGGAATATCTTTTCCCAATCCTTCATTTTCAGTCTGTGTTTATTTTTATACATGAAGTGGTTTTCTTGTAGGTAGCATATAATGAGGTCTTGGGTTTTTTAAATCCATTCAGCCACTCTGTCTTTTGATTGGAGCATTTAGTTCATTTACATTCAATGTTATTATTGATAGGTAAGGACATACTCCTGCCATTTTGTTATCTGTTTTCTGGTTGTTTTGTGAGTCCTCTCGTCCTTTCTCACTTCCTTCCTATCTTTTTTTTTTTTTTTTAACATGACAGTGATCTCTGGTAGTGTGTTTTAATTTACTGGGACTTTTTTTTTCTTTCTTTCTTTTTTTTTTTTTTTTTTTTGAGACAGTCTTACTCTGTTGCCCAAGCTGGAGTGCAGTGGCGCAACTTCAGCTCACTGCAACCTCTGCCTTCCAGGTTCAAGCTACATGCCTCAGCCTCTGGAGTAGCTGGGACTACAGGCACACACCACCAGACCTGGCTAATTTTTGTATTTTTAGTACAGAGAGGGTTTCACCATGTTGGCCAGGCTGGTCTGGAACTCCTGGTCGCAAGCAGTCCACCTGCCTCAGCCTCCCAAAGTGCTGGGATTACAGGCTTGAGCCACTGCACTCAGCCAATCCATTGCTTTTTATTTTTTGTATATCTATTATAGGTTTTCATTTTTTGTTTATCATGAGACCTGCAAAGAACATTTTATAGCCAGTTATTTTAAATGGATGAAAACTTAACTCTGATAAAAAGAAAAGCAAGTAAAAAGAAAACTAAAAAACTACATTTTAACACAATCCCTCGACTTTTTGACTTTTTGTTGTTTCTATTTATATCTTTTTATATTGTCAATCTCTTCAAAAATTACTATAATTATTATTGTTGATAAGTTTGTCTTTTAGTCTTCTTACTAAAGATATGAGTAGTTTACACACTGCAATTACAGTGTTAAGAGTATTCTATATTTGTGTGTGTACTTACTTTTACTAGTGATTTTTATACCTGCAGATGATTTCTTTTTGGTCCTTAATTTTCTTTCCTTTCAAATTGAAGAACTCCCTTTAGCATTTCTTGTTAAGACATGTCTGTTGTTTACAAATTCCTTCAGCTTATGTTTCTCTGGGTAAGTCTTTATTTCTCCTTCATTTGTGAAGGGTAATTTTCCTGGATATAATATTCTAGGTTGAAAGTTGCTTTCCTTCAGCACTTTGAATATGTCCTCCCACTCCCTCCTGTCCTGTAAGATTTCTTCTGAGAAGTCTGCTTCCATACGTATTGAAGCTCCTTCATATGTAGTTTGCTTTTCTCTTGCTGCTTTTAGGATTCCTTCTGTATCCTTAACTTCTGACAGTTTGATTATTATATGTCTTGTGCTAGTCTTATTTGCGTTGAATCTGCTTGGCATTCTTTGACTTTTTTATACCCGGATATTCTTATCTTTCTTTAGGTTTGGAAAGTTCTCTGTTATTTCTTGGAATAAACTTTCTACTTCATTCTCTCTCTATATATATGTCATGTTTAAGGCCAATAATTCTTAGATTTCCCCTTTAGAGGCAATTTTCTAGATCTTGTAGGCATGCTTCATTTTTTAAAATTACCTTTTCTTCTCTGATTGTGTATTTTCATATAATCTGTCTTCAAGCTCACTAGTTCTTTCTTCTGCTTGATCAGTTCTGGTGTTGGCAGACTGATGCATTTTTCAGTTTGTCCACTGAATTTCTTAGCTCCAGAATTTCTGCTTAATTTTTAAAAATTATTTCAATCTCTTTGTTAAATTTCTCTGATAGAATTCTGAATTTCTTCTCTGCGATATCCTGAGGTTCATTCAGGTTCTTCAAGATGGCTATTTTGAATTCCCTGTCTGAGAGATCACATATCTCTGTTACTCCAGGATTGGATACTGGTGCCTTATTTAACTCTATTTGGTGTAGTCATGATTTGCTGGATGTTCATGATGTTTTTGAACATTTGTCAATATCTGGGTTTTGAGGAGTTTGGTATTTATTCTAATCTTTGTAGTCTGGGCTTGTTTGTACCCATTCTTGAGAGAGCATTCCAAGAATTCTTAGGGGATTTAGTGCAGTGACCTAAGCCTGTGGACACTGCATCTGTTTCAGCACTAGGGGGAACCCTAAGCCCAGGAACGCTGAAACTCTTGCACGCTCCTGATAAACAGCCTTAGTGGACTTGGGGAAGATAAAGCATTCCCTGGCTTACCAGGCAACATCTTGTACTCTCTTCCCTCTCTTTCTTCCAATCAGAATGATCCCCTCTCTGCACTGGGATGCCTGCACTTGAGGGAGGGCTGATGTGGGCACTCATGGCCCCTACCGGGGGCACCACTTCATGTCATCTTCCAGACCTGCAAATTATTGGGGTTTTTCCAAGGCTCATGGTCACTATTGCCTGGCTGCTGGTGATATTTAATCAAAGCCCAAAGCCACTTTAGTCATCAGGTGGTGAATTCTGCCAGGAATGGGAGCACATTACTTTCTGGCCCAGGGTATGTCTAGAAATGCCATTAAGGAGCAAAGGTCTGAAATCAGGGTCTTAAGAAATCTCCTTGGTACTTTGTTTACTGTGGTTGAGTTGGTTCCCAAGTTGCAAGATAAAGTACTCTTCCCTCTCCTTCTCCCAAGTGGAAGGAGTCTGTCCCCAAGCTGCACTGCCTGGAGTTGAGAGACGGTTGACACAGGCACTCCCATGTCTGCCGCAACTGGTGTTGCACAGGGTCCCATCCCAAGTCCACTGCTTCCTAGACCAGCTCAGCACCAGAGCTTGCCCAAGGACTGCTATCCTTGTGTCTTGACTGCTAGTCAAATTTGCTGATAGCCCCAAACCACTTTAGTCAGCTGGTAGTGAAGGTGGCCATGGCCGGGACCTGGATTCCTCTCAGTGGAGCAGAAGATTCCCCTCTGGCTTAGGGCTTGTCCAGATGTTCCCTCCACGGGCACTGGCAGAATTCTCCCTTGTATTGTGTTCTGTTATGACCAGGGCAGCACTGAGTGCTAATGCAATATCCCACACTCACTTTGCTGTCCCCTCCCCAAGCATACAGATTCTCTATCTTGCACCACCTGGGCTTCGGGGAGGGTGGTGTGAGCAATGCAAGCCTGTCCTTTTTACTCTCTCCAAAGCATATTTCCTTGCTATTATGTTAAAACCAGGTACTATTATTGCTCACCTGATTTTTTTGGTTCTTATAAAGGTGACTTCTTTCATGGACAGTTGTTCAATTTGGTGTTCTTGTAGGGGGGACAATTGCTGGGGGTTTCTATCTGGCCATCTTGCTCTGCCTCCTCCTTTTATCTACAAGGATTTAAAAAATATATATGTGTGTGTGTGTGTCTGTGTGTGTAACTGATTAGTTTTAATGTTCTTTTTTATTGTGTTTATATATATATATATAAACGTACATATATATAAAATTTACTACTTTAGCCATTTTTAAGTGTACAATTCAGTAGTATTAAGTATATTCATATTATTGTGCCACCATCACCACTATGCATCTTCACAACCTTTATGTTCCCAAACTAAAACTTTCTATTCATTAAACAATAAGTCCCCATTCCCTCCTTCCTCCAGCCCCCGTAACCACTACTCCACTTTCTGTCTTTACGAATTTGTCTTCACTAGGTGCTTCATAGAAGAGGGATCATAAATTATTTCTCCTTTTGTTACTAGCTTATTTCACTCAACATAATGCCTTCAAGGTTCATCTATGTTGCAGCATGTGCCAGAATATTATTCCATTTTAAAGCTGAGGAACAGTCTAGTACGTACATACCACATTTTTTGTTTATCTATTCATCTGTTAATGAACATTTGAATTATTTTCATCTTTTGGCTGTTGTGAATAATGTTACTATGAATGTGTGTGTATATATGCATACATATATGTATATATGAATGTCACTGTGTATATATGTGTATGCATATATGTATATATGCAAATACACATATTCATACATATACATACACATATATGTATATATGTATACACATATACGCATACATACACATATATTACATGTGTATACACATATACACACACATACACATATATGTATATATGTATACACATATACACACACATACACATATATGTATATATGTATACACATATACACATACATACACATATATGTATACACGTATACACATATACATTATATACGTATACACGTATACACATACATACACATATATGTATACACGTATACACATACATACACATATATGTATACACGTATACACATACATACACATATATGTATACACGTGTGCACACATGTATATATGTATATACACGTGTACACACGTGTGCACATATGTGTATACGTGTATATACACGTATACACATATATGTATACGTGTATATACACGTATACACATATGTGTATACGTGTATACACACACACACACACACACACACACACACACTGTAGCCTGACCAATCAGATAGTAGTCAGATAGTGGTCCGACTTTATTCTTTTGTATGTACCTATTCTTTTGTATGTACCGTAGAGACAGAAAGTGGATTAGTGGTTACCAGGGACTGGAGGAAGGAGGGAATGGGGGCTTACTGTTTAACCAGTACAAAGTTTTATTTTGGGAACATAAAAGTTGTGAAGATGGATAGTGGTGATGGTTGCACAGATATATAGATAGATAGATAGATAGATAGATAGATAGATAGATAGAGCTATATCAATACCTATATCTATAGATATAGATCTTTTTGAATCCGGGCTTTCAATTATTTGGGGTATAAACCCAGAAGGAGAATTGCTGGATCATACAGTAATTGTATGTTTCGTTTATGAGGAACCACCATGCTGTTTACCATAGTGGCTACATTATTTTACAATCCTATCCACAGTGCACGAGGGCTCCAATTTCTCCACATCCTTGCCAACATTTGCCAATTTCCAATGGGTTTTTTGGGTATTTTTATTCATTTATTTTTATAATAACTATACTAATGGGTATGAAATGGAATCTTATTGTGGTTTGGATTTGCATTTCCCTAATGATCAGTGATGTTGCGAATCTTTTCTTGTGTTTATTGGCCATCTGTATAAGATGTACAGATGTTGAATGTTTATTCAAGTCCTTTACCCACTTTTCGATCTGGTTGTTTTTGTTGTTGAGTTGTACGAGTTTTTTTTTTTTATATGTTGGATGTTAATCCCTTATTAAATATATGATTTGCAAACATTTTCTTCCATTTCACAGACTGCTCTTTCACTCTGCTGATAGTGTCGTTTGAAACATGGAAGTTTTACATTTTGATAAAGTCCAACTTCCCAGTTTTTTCTTTTCTTCTTATGTTTTCTTCTAAGAGTTTTATAGTTTTATCTACTACATTTAGGTGTTTGATCAATTTTGAGGTTTTTTGGATATAGTGTAAGATACTAGTCCGACTTTATTCTTTTGTATTTACCTATCCAGTTTTCCCAGCATCGTTTGTCAAAAGGACTATACTTTCCCCACTGAATGTCTCAGTAATCTTGTCAAAAATCATTTGACCCTGTATGTGAGAATTTATTTCTGAGCTCTCTATTCTATTCCACTGGTCTATATGTCTGCCTTTATGACAGTAACACACTGTCTTGATTACTACAGCTTTGTTTATGCTGTTTTCCATAGTGGCTACACTATTTTACAATCCTATCCACAGTGCACAAAGGCTCCAATTTCTCCGCATCCTTGCCAACACTTGCTAATTTCTGGTAGGGGGTATTTGTATTCATTTGCCCATCTTTAATCATGTTCTGTTGAAGTATTCCACTTCTTAAACCTACCCGTGAGGTCTATTTTCCCAGGGAAAGAAAAAGTTGATATGAGTAGTAGGCCGTTGATCCTCTGACTCTCAAAGCTGGTATAATTAGGCAGGGGCCAGAGGTAGGTGGTAAAACTGCTTCTTTGAAGAGTTCCAAGTAGGAAGTGGAACAGAAGTTTCATGTCCTTTTTATTCCCTTCAGCTTATCTAATAAACCTCTCCCTCCAGGACTTTTACCCAGAGAAGGGTGATTGGACAAACATCGGACCACCTTTCTCTGTCTCTCTTCCTCTTCTTCCCCCTACAATACATCAAAAATAGATGAAATGTTTTCACTTATTTTCCTGTCTGACTTGGACCTCCATTATATAAAACACTATCATTAAGTCCACTAACTCTACTTCTTGACAGTATCAATAACATTGACAAATTCATATCTTCATCTTGATTTAAAATTTGGGCATGGCTTTATAAATAATGGAATTGTCTGTTTAGGGGTTCACTTGGCTCATACAAATACCACCTCTTTCCCATCCTTCCATTTCCACCCTAAGCAGGAAATGTCCAATTTAAAGGCCATTAGACAAAGCATTCCTGAATGATGCAGAGAAGTGACTGTGACTCTACCTTGGATGGTGATTGAGAAGGCATGTGAAGAAGAATAATATTAATTCTGGACATGGTTAGAGCCTTGAATTGGCCACTGATGATAAAATATCAGATTAGAGGGCTGGGCATGGTGGCTCACGCCTGTAATCTCAGCACTTTGGGAGGCTGAAGTGGAAAGATCACTTGAGCTCAGGAGTTTGAGACCAGCCTGACCAACATGGTGAAACCCCACCTCTACTAAAAATACAAAAATTAGCCGGGTGTGGTGGTGCACACCTGTAATCCCAGCTACTTGGGAGGCTGAGGCAGGAGAATCGCTGGAACCCGGGAAGGGGAAGTTGCAGTGAGCCAAGATTGAGCCACTGCACTCCAGCCTGGGAGACAGAGCAAGACTCCATCAAAAAAAAAAAAAAAAAAAAAATCAGATTAGGATATATACAGATATCCAATGCTCCATTAAAACTGTCCAAGTCTGAAACTAAATGTGTACATTTTTGTTTTGTGCTCAGTAAATGTTCTTGAAGCATTAACTTGTGAAATAAAATACCCTTGAGAAAATAACATATTATTCATGTGAGTTACTCTCTACTGAGAAGATATGTGGATAGCAGCATAGCCAGAACTTATGACTGTCAATAAATGAGAGGTAGCTGAAAGTCTGGGAAAGACTACAAAACCAGGAATAGTAGACAACAAAGAAAGAACTTGCCAGCTGGATAGCATCACCAAGCACTGGCCTTCCATGTGGATGGTCAAAGAATCTATTGCTGAATGTTGAAAAGCATCACTTGGACAAATCAACCCAGGAGTCACTGCCATCTGTTTTACTGGAATTTGCTATTCTGCAGAGTTTACCCAAGTTTGCATGAAATATATAAATTTGTACTTTGCAAAATCCTACTGAGTTTTGAAAATCTAAGCCAAAAGCCTTTTTATTTTTATTCTTTTAACTTAAAACTTTACAAAAACATATGCTTCACTTAAAATTTAGTCCTTCTGATTTTGTGAAAGCAAGAATATTTTAGGTGCATATTTTTATTTTTCAACATTTTTCCTCATTTATTATAATAAAAATATTGAGTTGAGGAAAAATATGGTTTATTAACTACTGACAAACATCTCAAGCAAATTATATGCTGGAAGTAGAGTAATAAAGTTAGGTTTTCTTTTTCAAAATATCTGGCAGAATTCTAAACTCATAAAAGATCTTAACTGGGCTACCATAAAATGGCCTGCAATGGATTCTAGTGAAATCTAATAAGATACTCAGTTACTAGCTTCATTAAAACACAGTGTGTTCATTATAACCCAATCTGGCAGAAACTCTCATTACTCTGGGTTTGTATTACCTCATGTAATTCTGCTTTTTAAAGTTCTTTTCTTTCCCCTCTCATCCAAACCCCACCACACCCTTGGTGTTACATTATAGCCAATTAACATACTTTAACTGTTTGTAATATATCATGTTTTTATTACTATTCTAAAGGAGTTTGTGTTTTTTCATTTTCTTCATTAGATCATTCAAGTAAGTCTCAAAGACTTGAAATGTTATACTTGATTATATTCAGAGTTTTGAAAAACATGCTGCTCTAAGACTATGAGGTACTACCATTTTGAATCATTATGCCCTCTCTGTGATAAGAATATGATCCAATGCTATGCTATTCTCTGAATTAATCATAAAAATGATGTAAGAGGCTTATATAAAAAAACATATGTAATAGACTGTAAGCTTCTTGAGAGTACAGTTATGAGTATATTTCCATAGCAGCTAACATTTATCAGGTGCTTACAACATGTCAGCTACTGGGCTAAGTTGGATTTTTTATCTCACTTAAGATGACAGCTGAACGATATCTCTATTATGCATTCTTCCTCATTTTACAAATGGAAATAAATGAGACCCTGAGGAGCTAACCACTAGCTCAAGGTCACAAACCCAGTAGGTAATGGAAGGAGAAATCCAATCCAGTTATAACTCCAAAATCACCACTCTCTCCACTTTATTGAACTGCTTTGGGTCTTTGTTTCTAAAGAGCCCAGGACAGTGCTTGGCATTGAGTTGGCATTCAAATATTTGTTGACTTTAATGTTGATGGTGCTAATGAGTCACCGACAAATTGTTGCAATTCAACGTTGTTTTATTTCAATGTTGTTCTTTTCAACAGCCACTTTTAGTTGAATTTAACTATTGTTTTATTTTGTTTATTGTCAAAATGATGTATGAGTAGACATAGCTCAAAGGGGACTGAAAAGTAAACATTTACCATAGCTACAGAGAAGCCAGTCAGGAAGTCAGGGTGTTAAAATGGAATTTGGCAAATAAAGGAAGCTGACAGAATAAGGAAGCAAATAAGAGAAAACAAAACAAACAAAAACTCAAGAAATAAATACAAATGCCTGCACTTCCTCTTCTATTCCCTATTTATTGCATTTGATCCCACCATCATGCCCCATTATACAAGCTAGAAACCTAGGAGGCATCTATGATTTCTCCTTTTTCTGTACCTTCTTTAACCTATTTAATCACTTACCTATTCTAAATACTGTGTATACTTTTATAATCTGTCCCCTCCTTTTCTCTCCTGCAATCACTGCCTGTTTTGTTTCTTACCCAAATTAAAACCTTTCTAACTAATCTCCCAGCCTTCGGTCTCTTCTCCTCCTTAGGTCCTTTGTCCACACGGTTACAAGAATGACATCTAAAATTCAAAACTTATGATGTCACTCACTCACATCTTTTAAACTCTTTAGTGGCTCTTCACCAACTCAGAATAAAGCTAAAGCTATTCTACCTTTCTTTTTAAGCCATTTCTATGTGTTGCAGATGAGTGAAAACAATTTGGATAATACAGCAAATGCCAAGTTGTGTTTTGTTTTGTTTTGTTTTTGTAAATATTGTAGCATCTGGTGGTAAAAGATATGTGAAAACTACATGTTCTCTCTCCCAAATCTTGGCTATTAGATAGTAGTTACAACAAAATAAAGTATCAAGTTAAATTACATACAATGCACAAATGTTCATTAGAAAGGAGGCAAAAAAAAAAAAAAACTATATAATCTATTCGATAGCTCTGGGAGATCCCACTCTCTGACCTAAACCCAAAGACTAGTACTTTACATGAAAAGCACATTTTCAAGAAGGCGCAATGTAGGAGTCACTGGTAGGACTAGGGTGCTCTACAGTCAGACTGGGCAGCAGAAGACTGAGAAATTTAGGTACATAAGACCAACGTGGCTCTAGACTCCTAGCTTTTGCTGAACTCTAAAACCTCCTTCATGCAGGAGCAAGTGGGTCTTATACATCATTTCTAACAATTGCCTACCTTAAACACCATTCATTTCAATAACAAAAATTTATTTCTTATGTTCCTGAAGACAAGTAGACCCTGTGGTGTAGCTTTTGTTAAAGATGACCAATGTTTTCTTTTTCTTTTCTGTTTTTTTTTTTTTGAGACGGAGTCTCGCTCTGTCGCCCAGGCTGGAGCGCAGTGGCGCGATCTCAGCTCACTGCAAGCTCCGCCTCCCGGGTTCACGCCATTCTCCTGCCTCAGCCTCCCCAGTAGCTGGGACTACAGGCACCCGCCACCACGCCCGGACAATTTTTTTGTATTTTTAGTAGAGATGGGGTTTCACCATGTTAGCCAGGATGGTCTTGATCTCCTGACCTTCGTGATCCACCCACCTCGGCCTCCCAAAGTGCTGGGATTACAGGCGTGAGCCACTGTGCCCGGCCGTTTTTTTGTTTTTTTTTAAGAGACAAGGTCTTACTCTCTCAACCCAGGCTAGAATGCAGTGGCGAGATCATAGCTCACTATAACCTCAAACTCCTGGGCACAAGCGATCTTCCCACCTTTGCTGAAAGTGGCATTTTCAACCTATTCAACCTTACATTTAAATATAAGAAGACATCCTTCTTGCCATGGTGTCAATCAGTGACCCAGACTTTCTAGCTCTACTTTGTGTAAACTCATTTAGATGGCATCCAAAGAACTGAGTTTTATAGTACTTACTTGGTATGCCATAGCTACTACAATCCTTATTTTGCTTATTTCATAGCTTAAGGTACTGAAAGCAATTATTCGACAGTATTATTATTATTAATTGATATTGATATTCTCCAGAATATTGTTTTTAATTGCAGAAATGAAAAACACTGCAAATATCCAATAATGGAAGTGTTAAGATAGATGCATAAGGTAGAATATTATACACCCATTAAATAACATGCTTTTATTTATTTTTAAGTTATTTTTATGTACTTATTTATTTTTTAGATACAGTATCTCACTTTGTCACCCAGGCTGGAGTGCAGTCATGTGGTCGTAGATCACTGTAGCCTTGAACTCCTGGGCTCAAGCGAACCTCCTGCCTCAGCCTCCTGAGCAGCTGAGACACAGGCACACACCACCATTCCCAGCTAATTTGTTTTAATTTTTTGACAGAGACAGAGTCTCACTATGTTGCCTAGGCTGGTCTCGAACTCCTAGCCTCAAGCCATTCTCTTGCCTTAGCTTTCCAAAAGCACCGGAATTACAGGCATGAGCCACCTTGCCCAGCCACATGATCAATGTTAAGTAATCAATCTTTAAGGTGATAATTCCTGATTATGGTATTCCATGTTATTCGACCATCACTGGAATGATGATTGCAATCAAAAGACTTCTAACACTATTTAATTGCCCGTATAACATACAACATACCCACTTTCATAATTTTCAGCTATAAAAACATCCAACTACTTACAGTTTCTTCATTGACTCATCCACAAATGTTTAATTGGTACTTCTTATATGTCAGTCACCATTCTACATGCTGCAAATGCAGCAATAAATGTGGCAGACAAAGCCTGTGTTCTCATGGTGTTTACATTCCTAAGGGGACACAGAATATATATATATATATATATAGTGAGGATAAGCTGTATACACCAATAGTCAGATTTCTTTTGATTGCAAGTAATAGAATCCCAAGCAAATTAATTTAGCACACACAAAAAAAAGATTTTTAATAGAAGGATAAAGAAAACCAAAAGGTAAGCTGCAAGAACAAGAAGAGTTTAGAAGATTCAGAAACTGGAACTAAAGATGTAGTTGCCCTAAGGACTCATTCTCTCTCCATCTTCCCCATCTCTTTTTTCAGTTGTTCTTTACACGCTGACTTCATTCCTTCCTGTAGTAAATGGTCTCTTTCCAGTTGGAAGGTAAAATGGCCACAGTGGTTCTCAACCAAAGGCAATTTTGACTCTCGGAAAACATTTGAACGTGTCTGGAGACATTTTCAGTTGTCATAACTGGGAAGATGCTACTGGCATCTAATGGATAGAGACAGAATGCTGCTAAATATCCTACGATGTTTGGGACAACCGCCTGCAACAAAGAATTATCTTGACCTGAATTTTAAGAGTTCCAATGTTGTGAATCCTTGCTCTAGGGGTGATTCAAATCTTACGTCATTCCAGCGTAAGAATCCCATAATAATCACTAGTGTATAACAAATATGACAGTAGCATATATAACACAACAATAATACCAACAATATTTAATAAGTATTTACTATGTGACAGGAAATATTATAAGTCCTTCCATGTATTAACACATTCGTCCTCACAACAGTACTATGATGTAGGTATTATTGTGATCTCCCTGTTTTACAAATAAGAAAACTGAGGTACAGAAAAGTTTAATAGCTTATCTAAGCTTACACAGCCATTAAGTAGTGGAAATTATATTTGAACCCAGGAAGTTTCACTCCAGAGTACATGGTCCTAAACTTTGTGACACCATTTTTCAATTGCTACTTTAGTATAATAAAACCCTAGGAAAAGAATCTGATTGATCTGGCTTGGGTCATATGCCATCCCTTGGATGAACTGCTCCAGCCAGGAGAATGCTATGTAATGATTGGCTTAGTCTGGGTCATATACCCACCCCTATAGTTAACTGGGCTGTGTAATATGCTTAACAGTTCTACCACATAGTTGGAGTGAGGGAAAAGTATACTGCTAAAACAAGAAAGAGGGCTGGGGCAGTGGCTCATGCCTGTAATCCCAGCACTTTAGGAGGCTGAAGTGGGTGGATCACCTGAGCTCAGGAGTTTGAGACCAGCCTGTGCAACATGGCAAAATCCAGTCTCTACAAAAAAATACAAAAATTAGCTGGGTGCAGTGGCCTGCGCCTATAGTTCCAGCTACTCGGGAGGCTGAGGCAGGAAGATTGCTTAAACCCAGGAGGCAGAGGTTGCAGTGAGCCTGGATCATGTGATTGCATTCCAGCCTGGGTGACAGAGTGAGATCCTGCCTCAAAAAAACATTTTAAAGGACAAAGAAAACAAAAAAGAAACAAGGGGTATAGGGCAGACAACAACGATTGAACTACCTTTTCCATAATGCTATTTCTCACATCTGCTCATCTGCTCATACTGTTCTCATTGTTTAGCATGCTCTGCCTAACATTCTCCCACAAGTATACACCTCAGCTTGAGGAACAATATAAGGTAAAACCTCTACTTGGAAACCTTCCATTATCACCCCTTACAAGTTGAGTTATATCCTCTTTTCTCCTATGCCCATAATATCCTGCACATATCTCTTTCATGGTATTGCCCATATAGCATACATCTCTATCTCCCCCACTACACTGTGATTGCCTTTAAAACCATCAATGTGTTGTATTCATCTTTCTATCCCACACGCCTAACCCTGCGTCCATACATATAGTAGGAATCCAATAAATGCTAGTTGACAGAATGGCAGATTTAAAAGTTTCTTGGGAAAAGTCAAAAGCAAGAGTCCTAAGATTAATTGAGTTTCTGTGGTAAGATAGTAAGAAACAATTCCCAGGTGATGTGGTCTGCCTGCTAGTAATTTAGTTCTTTCAGTTGAACAGCCTGCCAAAAACAATGCTTGTATAGTGACTGTATTGTGGAGTAAAGAGAAGTGAGAATTCTGCATCTTTTTTTGTAAAATTATGAATCACAGAAGAATAGAGCTGGAAGGGTGCTTAGAGATTATTTAGTCCAGGGCTTGTCATATAAGAACTCTAAAGCCAAAATATTTTATAATAAAGTGCACAGAGTAATGACAATCAACTAAAAATCGATTGAAGACTTCACTATAAGACCTGAAAAGTTGTAAAACCCATAGAAGAAAACATAAGGGAAAAGCTTTATGACATCAGTATATCCAGTGATTTCACAGAAATGACATCAAAAGCTCAGGCAACAAAAGTAAAAATGGACAAGGGGGCTACATCAAACTAAAAAAGCTTCTGCACAGTGAAGGAAACAGAGTAAGAAGACAACCTATGGAAAGACAGAAATATTTGCAAACCATACATCTGATAAGGGGCTAATCTCCAAAATATATACGAAACTGCTATGACTTGATAGCAACAACAGCAACAAAAAAAAACCCACAAAACCCTAATAACTTGATTTTAAAATGGGCTAAGGACTTGAATGGACATTTCTTTGAAGACATATGAAGAGTCAACAGGTATATGAAGAGATATTCAATGTCACTAATCATCAGGGAAATGCAATCACAACGACAATGAGATATCACTCACACTTACTGACTATCCCTTACCAAAATGCTTGAGGCCAGAACTGTTTCACATTTCAGATGTTTTCAGATTTTGGAATATTTACATATACATAATGATATATGTTGGATATGCAATGTAAGTCTAAACAGAAAGTTCACTTATGTTTCATTTACACCTTATATACTTTATACCATAGCCTGAAGGTAATTTTATACAATATTTTAAATAGTTTTGTGCATAAAATGAAGTTTTGACTGCAACCTACCACATAAAGTCAGGTATGGAATTTTCCATTCGTGGTATCATGTCAGTGCTCAAAAAGATTCAGATTTTGGAGCATTTCAGATTTCAGATATTTGGATTAGGGATACTCAATTTGTATTTTTTTTTTAAGGGCAGTAAGTGTTGGCTGGTTGTGGAGAAATTGGAACCCTTATGTACTGTTGGCAGGAATACAAAATGGTGCAGCCATTGTGAAAATCAATATGGAGATTCCTCAGAAAATTAGAAATAGAATTACCATATGATCCAGCAACCCCACTTCTGGGTATTTATCCAAAAAATTTGAATCAGAATCTTAAAGAGATATTAGCACTCCAATATTCATTGTAGCACTATTTGCAAAAGCCAAAATAAATGAAAACCTAAACGCCCATTTACAAATGAATGGAATTTTGTATGTATATATACAATGGAATATTATTCAGCCTTAAAAAAGAAATTCTACCATATGTGACAATATGAATGAACCTGGAAAACACTATGCTAAGCAAGATAAACCAGTCACAGAAGGGAAAATACTGCATGATTTCATTCACATGAGATATCAAAATTAGTCAAACTAATGGAAACGAAGAATAGAATTGTGGTTTCCAGGGGCTAGGAAGAGAGGGAAAAAGGGAGGTGCTGATGGGTATAAAATTTATTATGCAAAATGAATAAGTTCTAGAGAGCCACTGTAAAACATTGTGACTACAGATGACCATACTGTATTATATAGTTTAAAATCTGATAAAAGGGTAAATCTCATGCTAGGTCTTCTTAAAAAAAATTAAATTTGAAAATTAAAAATTAAAAGGAAAGAATGATCAAAGAGGTCAAACTTTTAAAGTTAATTCATTAGAGACATCTATGTTATTTGAATATTCTCTTTTATGAAATATCTATTAAACATTCTAACCATTAATTGGATTGCCTTTTCCTTAGTGTTTTGTGAAAATGATGTATATATTCTGTATATGAGTCATTAGAAAATATATGAATTAAAAAATTAAAAATACACTAGATTTACATTGAGTTGTATGTAAAATTCTTATTCCCTTCCATAAAAATACTTTTTAAAATTTGTTATTTTAATGAGATTTCATAATTTTGGTACTAATCTATTAATTTAATTTTTTAATTCTAAACTTACTTGGATAAATACTTATTGCTTGGGAATATATCACTGCTTTCAGTGCTAACATAGACATGAATGTTGCTGATGAGTGAGAACTAATCTATAGGTATCTAATGAAGATTATTATTATTTATTTATTTTGAGATGGAGTTTTGCTCTTGTTGCCCAGGCTGGAGTGCAACGGTGCAATCTCGGCTCACTGCAGCCTCCATCTCCCGAGTTCAAGTGATTCTCCTGCCTCAGCCTCTCAAGTAGCTGGGACTGCAGGCATGCACCACCATGCCCGGTTAACTTTTTTGTATTTAGTAGAGACAGGGTTTCTCCATCTTGGTCAGGCTGGTCTCGAACTCCTGACCTCAGAAGATCCGCCCACCTCAGCCTCCCAAAGTGCTAGGATTACAGGCATGAGCCACTGTGCCCAGCCTGATGAAGATTGTTTTATGTAGCAAATATTTGGTCATGGTATATAAAGTCATATCAATCTTGTATAATGGAAACCCACCCGATTTTGTTATTTTGTATCTACTAATAAGGCAAAAAGTTACCACTGAGATGAAATTTCAGATATGATTCTAAAAATGGTCAGTGGACACTGCTTCCAAATCAGATAAATCAGAAATAGCCCCAGTTGCATGTTTTTGAGGCCTCTGTTTATTTCCCATCTAAACCATTTTTATTTATACTGCCAAAAGATTGCAAATACTCATGGATGACCCATGTAGTTGAGCAATGGAAGCATCAGCACAAGGGCACATGATGTTTCCGTTTGCCATTTTACCCCTTGTGCTTTTGCAATTCTCATTCTCACAAGGGAGCTCCCCAATCTGGATCTTCCATCCCATGAGCCACTTTATACTCTTAATCTTGTTGTTTTCTCATGTTTCTGTAAGGATTTACCCATCCCATGCCTCCATGTTCCAGGAATATCATCTAATTTGATGAAGAATTTCAGGGACCATGCTAGGGACAGAGGGGCTTTAAATGTGATCTATAGGAATGCCAATCTATTAAATTGTTTTGAAAAAAATAAAATCTGCGGTTAAATAAAATTGGGAAATATATACTCTATCACTCTCTTGGAAACTCAAAATGTACATTAGCATACTTAAAGATGCTACGAAGTCCAACAGTTAAGAATCTGGTTTCCCTTTGTTTAACACCACATTTCCCACACTTATTTGAACCTTATTTTCAAGGCACTTGGAGCAGTAATCTTACAGAGAACACGTTTTCTATTTGTTTGTTTGAGACGGAGTTTAACTCTTGTTGCCCATGCTGGAGTGCACTGGAGGGATCTTGGTTCACTGCAACCTCTGCCTCCCCGGTTCAAGCTATTCTCCTGCCTCAGCCTCCCAAGTAGCTAGGATTACAGGTGCCCGCCACCATGCCCAGCTAATTTTTTTTTTGTATTTTTAGTAGAGACGGGGTTTTGCCAAGTTGGCCAGGTTGGTCTCGAACTCCTGACCTCAGGTGATCCACCTGCCTCGGCCTCCCAATGTGCTGGGATTACAGGAGTGAGCCACCGCGCCTGGTCGAGAACACACTTTCTATATTAGAATACACACTATATCAGAAATGTTAATGACGTCATACGTCATCCCTTTTTTATAGCATGTTTGCATTTTACAGAGACTTTAGAGGTAACGTTTTAACTCAGAGAGCATCACATTTTCACAAAGAAGAGCAATTCTTTTTTTTATTTATCTTTCTTTGTTATCGCTTTGTTATTCTATCCAAAAATTTTTTCTTTCTTCCTTCCTTCCTTCCTTTCTTTTTCTTTCTTTTTAATGGGAACCACACAGACTGCATCCTCTCCCTCTTACTCTCTGGGAAGAAGAGGAAAATAATCATCAATGGCAAATAGCAGTTATAGCAAAGCAACACCAACAGCTGGCTTCACATTTAGGAGAGAATGCTGTGCTTCTTCCTCATGTTTCCTGGTGTTCCACATGTTCAGAGAAACTTCTCCAGTAGTGAACTATAGAAATGAACCTTGAAAATAGTCTTCACAATTTCTTATATGATTATTATTGTACCTGGATCACTTTCCTTTAGCCTAAACTCCATCCTTTAGAATTTCCTTTAGTGAGGGTCTATTGGTTATCTGAAAATGTCACTATTTCAAACTAATCATCAGAAAATGGGCATATTTCAATGAGTATGGAATTCTAGGTTGGCAGTTATTTCCATTCAGTGCTTTGAAAACTATGATCCTACTGTCTTCTGACTTCCATTGTAGCTCTTGAGAAGTCAACTATTATTTTAACTGTGACTATTTATAAAATCTCTTTGCCTTTGATGTTCTGCAGTTTCACTGTCACTTGTCCTAGTGTAGATTTATTTTTATATATAATTTGTGTACCATACTTAGGTGTCACTGCATTCAAGAATCTGTAGATTAGTATTTTTTAGTCATTTCTGTAGAGTACAGAGCCGTGTAAAAGGTATTCTTTGTTTCCCTGATTCTTAGAAATCACCTGAGAATCTTGTATATCTAAAAGTGGGGCGGGGGGGGGCGGGGGTGGTTACTAGTGGCTAAAGAGAATTGGTCCTTTGGTTCTCCCAGAAAGTTATGGAGTAGAGCTTCTCCAATAATAAGTAGAGCTTAATAATAAGTAGAGCTTCTAAATAAATAGCCTGCCACAGAAGAGGATAGGCAGTTAATGCCACCCCTGAATTATTCAGTTCAGAATTTCCATGTTAAAGCCAAAAGTACTCTCGTGGTAAGAATTGTCCTGCTGTAGATGTAGAAGAGTCTGGTACTTGTTTGTAAGGGGAGTGTTCTCACATTCACAAAATTCTTGACAGGAAGTTGCCAATTCTACTTATGTTGAGAGTTTATCAGGCAGCTGGAATTTAGTAATTAGCTTTTAGATTCTCTCAGAAACTTTCATCAAGCTCTACTGCAATTCATCCAGTTTCTGAATTTCTTAAATGTTATTTGGTGGTACTAAACTTTTTTAGGTAAAAGCAAAAGAAACCTGAAAAATAAGCTAACCTTTTGGGGATTATAGCTGCTCTCACCTTCATGCCCTGCTTAGATATGGATCACCTTTTCTAGGCAGATAGCTCTAGGTGACAGAGTAATCACTTAGCGTGCCATCCAAACTGAGCCTTTAAGACTGTTTTCAGAAGCACTAATTGGATGCCTTCCAGAAAGTTATGGCCCACTAGAGAGATCATCATTGAATACAGTAGTACCTAAAAGTCAAAGAAGTGAAAAAGTGACCCCTGAAAATCTAAATGTTAGGAAGAATTTCCAGTAAATAGCTGTAGGGTGGAATGGGACTTTGTGAGGGGAGAATAAAATTACATTATCGGAGTATGCCAGTCACATCTCCTTTGAAACAGATGGTTCCATGGTAAAAAGAAAAATCATATGAAGAAAATATTAACTGTAAGCAAAGACTGCATTTTAATACTTTCTATTAGGTAATGAGAATTGTCATTTATTCAACACACTTTGATATACTCTTTAAATACACGTCAGGCACTGTTCACTCTCTGAAATTATTTGTAATAGGGCCCTGAAAGATATTTGCACTGAGGGTGAGGTATATTTCACTACTGTAATGGCTCAATTTAACTAATAAAGAGAATAGATTAGAATAAATATTAGGAAATCATCAAATAAAAATCTAAAAATATTTCCTAGAATAGAAGGCTGTCAATCCATTGATTGAAAGGACCTATTGTCTAGTACAACAACATAAGAAAGTTAAAAAAAAAAAAAATCCACACCCAGGCAAATGATTATAAAATTTAGGACTCTGGAGACAAAGAAAAGTTTCCAAAGAGAAAAATAGATAGGTTACATGAACATGCAAAGAATGAAGAATTACAATAGCTTCTGACTTCTCAATAACAACACTAGAAGCTAGAAGGCAATGCTCAAGATTCTGAGACTAATGATTGCAATCTAAAATGCCATATGCAATCCAATTATCAATTGAGATATATTTTTACACACTAAAAACTTCAAGTATTTTATCTTTCATATAGCCTTTCCTAGGAAGCTTCTGGAGAACATACTCTACCTAAACTAGAAAAAAACAATAAAGTAGTATATAAAAAGCAATTGATTCAATGTTAGAAAGAGAAGGAGAGATAAAGAGAAAAAGGGAATTCCATTAATGATGACCAACTGAAATTCCAGGATGTCTGTGTTAGTCCATTTTTGCATTGCTATAAAGAAATACCTGAGACTGGGTAATTCATAAAGAAGTTTAATTGGCTCATGGTTCTGCAGACTATATAGGAAGCATAGCAGCATCTGTTTCTGGGGAGGCCTCAGGAAGCTTCCAATCATGGCAGAAGGCGAAAGGGGAGCAGGCGTTTCACATAGCAGAAGCCAAAGCAAGAGAGAGGGAGAGTTGTTTGGGGGAGGTGCTACACACTTTTAAACAACCGTCTCTCATGAGAACTCACTCACTATGGTGAGAGCAGCACCAATACATGAAGGATCAGCCCTCATGACCCAAACACCTCCCACCAGGCCTTACCTTCGACATTGGGAATTACAATTCGACATGAGATTTGGGCAGGGACAAATATCCAAACTATATCAGCAGTTACTCAGCAGAGCTAAAGTGCAACAAGTCCAGAATAGACTACAAGATGAAAGGCTCCAGAAAAACTTGTAACCTGCAGATTACTAAACTGGTTTAAAAATGTTGGAGATGATGAAAAACTTAGGCATAGATTTTTTTTTAATAGACAAAAAATAACAATTATTAAGTCAGAGGGAAAAAATGCTATATGTGAAAGAAAATGTAACCAGGAGTGCTGCTATGGTCTGAATGTATGTGTCTCCCCCAAAATTCATGTGCTGTGTGGCGCTCTTATGAATGGGATTAGCGCTCTAATAGGGGCTGAACAGAACATAGCCCTGGTCTTCCATCCATGTGAGGACAGAGCTAGAAGATGTCATCTAGGAGCCAGAAAGCAGGCCATCTCCATACACCCAATCTTCCAGATCCCTGATCTTGGGCTTCCCAGCCTTCAGAACTGTGAGAAATAAATTTACTTTATTTATAAGCCATCAAATCTACAGTATTTTGTTATAGCAGCCCAAGCAGACTAAGACGATTGTTATGGTTTTTCTTTCAGTTACCATTTTAGCAAAAACAAGAACTCATTCATCCAGAGTTGGCAATGCCCTCTGACCGTGAAGTTAATAGAGTGACCAAAAAATTAATTGTCCAAACTTGGAAGCTTTCAAGAGTGAAAAGTAGGTGCTATTACCAGTTAAGGTGGACCAGCAGGCATAATTTAGATCTATTGTAGGCAAGCTGAGACATAAGGCTATCCTAGCTGTTGTGAAACTACCACTGTCCACCTGGTGGCAGTTAACCTTTAATTGAAGTCAAAGAATTCAGGAGAAAATAAACTTCTGATCTTGGAAGCTCCCTCCTAAAACATGATTTTTAAAATCACCATCTACTTCTGAAGTGGGAGTCAGATGCTTTATTTTTAGGCATTTGGGGATACATAGCTTACTATGTAAAAACAAGTAAAGAAAATAATTCTGATTTATGAAAAACAATTTGAAAATTACATTCTAGAAATAGACATTTTAAAACTGTATAATCATTATTTCATAAATTACTGATGTTAGCAAACATGGATTCTAAGAGTGTTTCCCAATAAGACTTGAAATGTGTAAGTCCTGTTAAGGCTCATCTTAGAGCTCCAATAACTTGATTTCATTAACCAACGTGTAACTATTATCTTCCTGCATTTTTGTCAGTCCTTTTCCAGTCTTTAGTTAGGCTTATTCATTAATTACATTAATTATATAGAGGACCTGCTCCAACCCCAAAATATACTTAAAATCCCTATCATTATGTGCTATATTTTTAAAATATATAACTGAACCATAATCAGAGGGGCCAAACTTCAAATATTCTCTACCTTAAAAACCTGACCAAAACTCTGTGACAAGTCTTCAATATTGAGGGCTATAGGTGTTTTTCTTTTTCTTTTTCCAAGCAGCATTGTGAATATATTCATAAGGATTTGAATTGTGATTTCTTGATAAGGAATCAAGACATTGCTGTTGTTCTTGTCATTTGAAGATTTTTCCATCAAGTGTAACATGAACAGCAAATGAACTATTACCCTAATCTTCACATTTCCACTTGATAAGTTCACATGTGACCATTCTGATGTGTTTTATAGTATACCATCAAGAAGATCCAGTAAAGAAGGTTCACAGCTTCAAAAGCTTTCAAACTTTTTTAATGTCTGTTAGTTATGAGTGAATTTGCCCAAATGAATAAACATAACTATTAAAACACATACATAGCACCACTAATAAAAAAGACTCGAGCCAGGCGCGGTGGCTCACATCTGTAATCCCAGCACTTTGGGAGGCTGAGGCGGGTGGATCATGAGGTCAGGAGTTCAAGACCAGCCTGGCCAAGGTGGTAAAACCCCGTCTCTACTAAAAAATACCAAAAAATTAGCCAGGCGCGGTGGTGGGCACCTGTAATCCCAGCTACTTGGGAGGCTGAGGCAGAGAATTGCTTAAACCCAGGAGGCGGAGGATGCAGTGAGCTGAGATCACTCCACTGCACTACAGCCTGGGCAACAGAGCGAGACCCCGTCTCAAAAAAATAATAATAATAAAAATAAATAAATAAGACTTGTCCAACTTAAGTAGACAGTCACATTAATAGAAAATTATTTTCCTCATAAGAAGCTTTTTTTTAGTATAAACCTATTAGTCTTCTATTTCTTACTTTTAAAACATCTATTTTTTATTTTACTTTTCATTATTTTTATGAAATGAATGTTAACCTATTTTTGGACTCTTACTTTTTAGAAGAGTATGCTATGACTTGAGCTTTTTAGTAATATTGTCAATCTATGGAAACCTATGAACGTTGCTTTAACTGGTGGTTATAAAATTAATGCAATTTCTAACATTTCTCCATACTCCTGAGTAATTCTGGGAATTATCCTTCCAAAGAAATCTTTGTATTTCTAGATTGAGATGAGAGAAAAAGTATATGGGTACTTCTACAAACTTTTCCTATGCATGTACATATCTAGCCAAGCATACCAACCTAAATCATTAAAGCCATCAGCATCTTGGAGAAGGATGGACAAGCTTGAAGGGAAGCTATCCAGCAGGAGAGAGTTAACAATAAAATAAGTTGTTTCAACCAAAATTCAAATAGATATGGAGGTTATATTTTGAAATGAGTTGGTTTTCACAACTGAAGTGTGAGTTTGTGTTTGTGCGTGTGCTGTGACTCTTTGATGTGTGGTGGAAGATTTCTGGGAACTAATTTTAGTTCCTGAGTTCTAATTCTAGTTGAGTCTGAGATCACCACAGGTAGTGTCACTATTTTGAGCAATTGTACAATTTCTTTACATTATCCCCAAAAGGCCTATGCCCACATAGGTACACAGGAGTGCTAATCAATGTAGTGAGTAGGTAAAAACCCTGTTTTTGTCTTTTGTAAGTTTAAACTGTTTTCTGTCCCCTAAAGAGAAACCCTTAAATAAAAATGATGAATTCTTATATGTCAGGGGTAGTGCCATGATCATGAAGGTGGTTCTCCCAGCGCCAAGGCTCATCTATTCCATTCCAGATGTGCTGACCCCCTGAGATTTCACCAAATGTGGGAAACTTGATTGCATAATTTATGGTGGTGGTGAACTGTGTTCACTCTTTCTCCAGTTCAAAAAACAAAACAAAACAAAACAAATGGCCTTTTATTTCCTAGTGACTGAACTCTTTTAACATTTGATTAACGTCCATTTCAAAAATGGCTATATTCAACCTCGGCTCAACATTATAAAACTGGGATTATACAGACAAAGCCTAAATCATATAAAGAGAAAATCAGCTAGAGATGTCTATCCATTTGGGTACTTGAACATGTCAAAAGCAACTTGAAATTTTAGCTAACTTTTGTAAACCTATCGGGCTTACACACCAATTAGTATCCAAGGAGACATAAAACTGTGAAGGCTTACAAGGTGCTCTTTCCAAAAAGAAAAGCCCTTTCAAGGACACTTGAAGGGAATTCCTTCCCTGAACAATGGCCATTCTCCCTTGGCAAGGGAATTTGTCAGGTGCCTGAGTTGTACTAACAGCATAGGATCAAGAAGCAGGCAGCTCTTCTAAAGGCTCTGCAGAACAGCCCCCCGAAACAATCAATCAGCAATCAACCAACTGGCCTTCCTAGGGTTCCTATCCTGTTTCAGGATCTAATCGTTTAAAAATGAGTGGGAATTTGGAAGTTAGAAATTGAATAGTTTTTATAATAACTCAAAGGTTAGCCTTGGCAAGGTTACTTAGAACTAACCCATCCATTTTCTCACTGGCACATTTCATAAAAACAAACAAATAAATTTGAATGGTACATTCCCATTAAAGGTAACTTTGCTTCAAGACCCTTTTCCAGAACACACATCATTCAGTGATTAGTCACACAGTAGTGTTACCAATTAAAAAAAAAAAAAATTGGAGGCAAGATTAGATTAAGGTCCTAAATCTCAAATGATTACAGTGACCTATACACTGCTACATAATTTTTTAATTAATTTTTTAAAACAGTAAAAACTTGAATATGTGTTACAATTAATATGGTATCTCTCTGGTATTTTTAAATAACAAATCTGGATAGGTTAATCAAAGCTGAACTTCGCTGGAGCTCTAAACATGAGTTTATTTTGATTTTTAGCTAGCTCAGCATTGGATTTTAGATAAGATTTCCAGAATCAATCAGAAACATCCTGCTGGGTCATTCTTCCAAATTAGGCTTACTGGAGTGCACACCATGGTCAGACTTCAGAAAACTGACTCAACAATCACAAAACTCCTGGAATCTTTTGGGAGCCTCTGTAATTTTTTGTCTATAATAGGGGCTTAATAATCATTTCGTGTATTTCTTTTTTACTCTTGAAAATGTAGTATTTGTTGGTCAGTGGTTGGATGCCAAGAAATTATGTTCAGCCAAAGTGGTCAACGGAATAGAGGTTTAGAATTTAAAAGTTTTTCTAATCTGCATACATGTTTTTAATCTGCTAAGCAAACCTTAATTTTGGTGCACACATTTATTTCTCAGAGGTGGACACTAATCATAGTGCCTTTTAACAGTGTTAGTTTAGTCTACACGCAAAATCAAAACTAGCAGTCCCTTGAGGAATTTTTTTACTGAAATGCCAAGAGTTCTGTCTCGGTCCTGCTGCTTGCTACAAAGAAAACCAATCACTGAGACAATGAGTATTGCCAAGGAAGAAGCCCTTAATTGGGTGGGCAGCTGAGGTGATGGGAGGGAGATCAGTCTCAAATCCATCTCCCTGACCGACTAAAATCATGAATTTATATAGCAGTGAAGAAATGTAACTACATGCAGGAAAGAAGGAATTAGGGAGGGGTGAGGAAGAGGAGTTGGTCAACAGGAAACAGGTGGTCAGCTGGCAATCATGATGGGTTAGGGGTCTGGCATCTCATTGTCCAGATGTGGTGATTCGGTGAATTTCAATTCTTTGATACTATCTGGGAGGCCTGATGGTTGGTTTCCTGAGAAAGGAACTCAGATAAGACAAATGTAACTTTCTCAAGTTTTAAGAATGTGAGGACAATTTCTATGTTTATTCAAAAGAGACCATAAACGTCAGTTCTATGGGACAATTGGGCCAATTTCAATTTTAGTCCAAATTCAAGTTACTCAAGGTAAAACAAATAATCTGGCAAATAAATAGCTGCTTCGAGAATCAATCATTTGGTTATTTTTTTTTTCTTTTTGTCTTGCCACCTACACAGATACTTTTAGATGGTGTGGTGTGAATGCAGCTTTTGGGGGGACAAGAGGCATAGGTAAAACAGTGTTAAAAATACAAGCCTATGAAAACCTTAAAGTTCAGAAAAAGAATTATGATGAGGCAGTACTCAAATTGTCATTAATAAAGAAGGAAAATTAACATTCACTAACAACTAGTTTCCAGGTACCTTGCTATGCTTTATTAATTTTTTAAAAATTTCCTCTTTACATTAATCCTATTAAGTTGATATCATTATGACATATTACAGATGTGGAAATTGAGGCTTAGAGATCCTAAATAACTTGACTATTGCTAGAAAGGGGTGAATCCAAGATTGAAGTCCAGATAGTCAGACTCTAGAAACTCCTCCCTTTTTTAGACAGCATCCATAATGGTTAAGAGCTGTAGCTCTAGAGCCAGACTGCCTGGGTTCGAATCCCCTAATTTCAACTGTTTCATTTACTAGTTGTGTGACCATAAGTAAGTGTGTTAATTCTCTGTGCCTCAATTTCCATACCTGTAAAATGAAATAATAATAATGCTTACCACATAGGGTTGTTAAGAAGAATTAATGAGTTAAATGAGTAAATATGTAAAGTGTTTAAAATAATCCTTGACACAAAGAAAGTACTAAATAAATGACAGCTATTGTTAGTATTTTTACTATGTCATACAGTTGACTGCCGTCAATAATGAGAGGCTGTTTGTATTTTAAACAGAGTAACTCATTTAAAAAAAATACTGCCTACAAGGGTTTACAAATGAATGGCACCAAAAAAGTAAAACTAAAATCTCCTTGCCAATTTCATATAACAGTACTTTTCCCTGAGCATTTTTAAATATTGAAGTTTATCGGAATATCTATCTAGCATATTATTTCCCTACCTTTTATAAGCCATGCCCCTTTGATAGATGTTTAAACATTTTAAATTGCCTTTAATGTTATTTGTAATTTCAAGATAAATTAAACATAAAGACTGAAAACAAATGAATATTGAAAAAAGTGGCTATATTTTCGAACTGCAAACACTTTCCACGTATTCTTCCAGCATTTCAGAAACACTGATTTAGCAAACAGGACAATGTGTGCTGAGTGAACTTAGGCAAGTTATATAGTCTCAGTCACCTGCTGTAAAACAGGATAAACACACAGGTTTTACCTCCTTGCCAGATGTGCTGGGAATCAAATGAAACAGTAGATATCAAGACCCTTTCTGTTCCAGAAAGCCTGATCCAAAAAAGAGATGATTATTGTGGCTGGCAGCAAACTTGTCATCTTGTTGTTAGCAGCTCATTCATCTTTTGATAAAATAATCTGGATGTATTTCATTGTTCTCAAAGTCAAAGAAATACAAACCTTTTTTAGTCATTGCTAGTAAGTAATATTTCAATTTTAGAAAGGACAACTCTATGAAGAAAAACAACCATCGATCATTAATGAACATTAATTTTCATTTTCTGAATGCTTTCAGATCCAGGTCCACACGAGCAATTTATAATTTCATGATATGACTGTTTTTAAGCATATCCAGTGCAGATACAGTCCTTTTAGTCCTTAAAATTCATGATATTGTGAGAAAAATATACTGTGAATTGTTGCATTTAATCTAAAGTGATATACACATCTTAGTGCACTTTTATGGTAACAACTAGAATGAATTAGAGACGCATTCAGAATGAATATATTCCTGGTCACTCATTGCGAAAAGATTGGTTAATATACCACATTCATTACTTGTGCAATCTCCTCTTATTGCTATATTTGCATGCAAACGACTTAGTTTTTCCTTCAATTTAAATGAATTCTCTATTAGAAATAAAGATCCAAATGTAAAACCATAAAATAAAGTTTGTGGGCTGCTTTTATTAAAAGTGGTCCTAAAAAATTAGGAGAAAGCCACGGGCAGATTAGTCTCATTTTTATATTCTCATTGAAATTTTAGCAAGTTTTAGGCAAAATAGGCATTATTTCATCTCATCTAGACTTGTTTTTTCTCAATAGTGATAATTGCTAGAAATAGAAATCATAAGGTCAGACTTAATTTTAGGGGAATGGGGTCAGGGTGGGTGAGTTGGGAGGGAAACAAAATAAAAGGAAGGGGTACAATGAAAATAAGTTGGGTGAGGAAGGCAAGGAAGGAGTTCTGCATAAGTTTGTAGTTGCACAAATGTAGAAAAGTGGGATGTAAGTCACATACACGCACACACCAAAAATAACTTGAACTTCATTCTTGTGAGTTTACTCCTCCTTCTTACCACCATTCCAAGTCCTTACCACACACACATTTCAGAGCATGTCTGTCCCTTTAATGCTAGCTGTCATTCAGTTTAAAGCATAGATCAAATTTTGACTGACAGCGAAATGACTGCATTGCATCATTTTTAGATAGAGTAATTTTAATGCTTTGCCATAATGAAAGCAGGTTGAAATTCTCATGTCTTTCTTTGTCGTGTTTCCCAATAGTGTTAGTTTTAATTGCTTCAATTGATGTTTATCTGTCATTACAAATTCCAATAAACTGTGAGAATACCACAGAAATAATCTCAAAAGCAAAAGAACAAAAACAAAAAATCATGCCAGAGATATTGTTTTATTTTTTAACTATCTCTAGAAAAGAGGAATGATAAACAAATTAATATTTTAATGAGGACTATAGGAAGAATGCCTAAATCACTGATTCAAGCTCTTCTAAAACCACTTTAGCAACTTCCATTTACTGATAAATACTTAAGGCGTAGTAGATCTTCAAGAAATCTCAGATATAATCTATTCTAATCCATTCATTTTATAGATGAGAACACTGAAAACATTTCTAGTGCCAGATCTGGGAGCAGGGCGTATGTGTCATGTCACCAGTCCATTGGGTATTTCCACTCTTCCTTCCTTCTTTTTGGTGTATGTGTGTATGTGACTTACATCCCACTCTACATTTGTGCCACTATAAACTTTTCCAGAACCCCTTCCTTGCCTTCCTTATCCAATTTATTTTCACTGTACCCCTTCCTTTTATTTTGTTTCCCTCCCAACTCACCCACCCTGACCCCATTCCCCTAAAATTAAGTCTGACCCTATGATTTCTATTTCTAGCAATTATCACTATTGAGAAAAAACAAGTCTAGATGAGACAAAATAATATATAATAATAATATAACTTAATCACAACCTTATTTTTACTAAAGCAGGCCCGCCGATTGCCAATAATTGGTTATCTCTTTTTAAAAACTGCATCTTACTACACTGCTTAAACGCAACCCAGCTACGTTTCTTTTCAAAATTATATGATTTAGACTTTTCACTATATCAGAATTGCCTTCTTCCAAATTATTCTTAGTTACTGAAGTTTTAGCTGTAGTTGCATCTTAAAGCTTTGCTATTTTTCAAAGCAGAAATTTAGGACATAATGGTAAAGTTTTGTTTATATTTGCTGTCCTGGTATTTTTATCATCCCAAGATAGTTTCATAGAGTCCATGCCATGGATATAAAGAAAAAGGAAATTTAGCTAAGAAAAATGATTTGTAGGCCGGGTGTGGTGGCTCACGCCTGTAATCCCAGCACTTTGGGAGGCCAAGACGGGTGGATTATCTGAGGTCAGGAGTTCGAGACCAGCCTGACCAAAATGGGGAAACTCTGTCTCTACCAAAAATACAGAATTAGTCGGGCGTAGTGTAGCATGCCTGTAATCCCAGCTACTCAGGAAGGCTGAGGCAGGAGAATCGCTTGAACCTAGGAGGCAGAGGTTGCGGTGAGCCGAGATCACACCATTGCACTCCAGCCTGGGTAACAAGAGCGAAACTCCGTCTCAAAAAGAAAAAAAAAAAAGAAAGAAAAATGATTTGTTGAAAAGTGTACTTCAAGACTTTTTAGATTGTGAAATCATTTTATAACCATTATCTGATTTATGGCACATGATTTTTAAAAAATTAGCCACCCTCCAAAGCACATTCATTCCTGTGCAACTCAAAATGTCAAAATAAATACACGTGTAGAAAATCTTATTTATAAAAATGGAAAACTTCCCTGAATATTTGTTGGACTCTTCTGTTTTGTTTTTGTTTTTTTTTTTTTGTTTTTTTTTTTTAAAAAGCTTGGGATTACTTATATTCTAGTCAATGCATATGCTGGTCATCTCAGAGCTCATTTCAGTATCTCATGACATAGACATATAGTGTCCTCATGCCTGTTTTTCACTGTCTGACATGGAACATGCCCTTGTTCTTCTCCTTTTCCCATCAAAGTGAATCATGTATGTGTTCCATTCTTTAGACACCTATTAGATGATTAACTGGCAGATCTGTAGATTAGTTTTTTGCATATACTGTATTTCATCTATTTTAAGATTACATTGTTTTTCTACATGCTAATGTCTCTGAAATAGGGCTGCATCCTGAAATTCTATGGCATCTTTTCATCAATTAAGAGTGACTTGTTTGTCATTTTCTACACAGCGAGATTTGTTCATCGCTGTTTATATGATCATCACAGCAATGTGTTATATGCTTTCTAGGTACTATATTACATGCATTGAGTTTAAAATGTCTCCAGAGAAACTATAATGTGATTCCTCATTGAAACAAAAGTTGTTATACATACAGGACGGTGCAGAAAAAGAGCAGGTACATGAGTTTGATGTTAGTGATTGTGGTAAACAGCATAATATCCCTCTTCCCTCAAAGATGTCCACATAGCCATCCTGGGAACCTGTGAATATGTTACCTTACCTGGGGAAGGAGAATTAAAATTGCTAATCAAATGGCTTTAAAATAGGGAGATTTTCCTGGATTGTTTGGGTGGGTCCAATGCAATCACATCACCAGAGTCTTTAAAAGTGGGAGAGGGAAGCAGGGGAGGAGTCAGAGTCGAGGGAGATGTGACTACAAAAGAGAGAATCAGAGAGATGGCAGTGTGAATACATGGCCTGACATTGCTGGTTTTGAATGGAACCAGCTGGTTCCATTGCTGGTTTTGAATGAGCCAAGGAATGTGGACAGCCTCTAGAAGCCGGAAAAGGCAGGGAAACGGATTCTATCATAGAGCCTCGCGAAGGAATGCGGCTCTGCTGACAACTTTATTTTAGACCTTTGGGACACATTTAGGACTTCTGACTTCCATAACTATAAGACAGTGAAGTTTGTGTTGTTTCAGGGCACTGATTTGGTAGTAATTTGTTACAGCAGCAATAGAACGGTAATACAATTATATTAGTGATTAGTGGAGAAAAGACTCTAATTTCTGATTTTCTGGCAAAGAATAAACCAAATATTTTATAAAAACTAAAAAGTAAAAGATACCTACATGTACTTGAACCTGCATTATATACCATTAAATTCTTACACATATATGTGGAAAATGATTATTTACCATACAACTAGTAGCGCAACTAAAGGCAGAAGACAGAAGAAATCGCCAAGTCTTTGGGATCTGATAAAAGAAATCTCAAAGCAACAAGAGACTGGTGGACCAATTCAAATAACACATAGAACTATCTGAGTCATAGTATAATTTAAAATATTTGTTCTTTCTTAGGGATACATAAAATAATGGTGTGTCTTACAATTGATGTCACCTTTCATTCAATGAAATATGTTAATATTAATTAGTGTTTATATCATAAGAGTAAAGCTCATTGTGTAAATTTTGGACGGAAATATATAAATATATAAATAAGAAAAGCGAAATCTTCCATAATTCCCCAGTATCAGTCAGGATAGTCTAATTTGTGTTATTATAACAAGCAACCCCCAAATCTCAATTGCTGAAGCAACAAAGATTTATGGCTTGCTCATACTACCTGTCCACTGTGGCAAGGCGAGCCTGTACTCATAATACCATTCAGATACTGAGGTTAATGGGGCACCACTGAGTTGAACATTATTGTTAGTCCTGTAAAAGTTCAATGAACCTCAAGCACGACAACATGAGAAAAGTATAACAAAGCACATCAAAATCAAATTGCTTAAAACCAGCAATGAAGAGAAAAATCTTAAAAGTAGCCAGGAGTTAATGAACAAACTTGGAGAGCTAACACTATCTTATTTTGAGATTCATTATATACTTACAGAGCAGTGTAATTGTAGCCTAAAAATAGGCAAGTAAATCAACAGAACAGAGTAGCAAGTTCAGAAAGAGATCCACAAGTGCATGGACAACTGATTTTTGACAAAGGTACACAGGCAAGTCAATGGGAAAAGGATAGTCTTTTCAACAAATGTTACTGCACAATGTGATATCAATATGCAAGAAAATAAACTGTGATACATACCTTGCGCCATATATAAAATTTAATTCAAAACGGGTCACTGGACTCAAATATACAATCTAAAATAACACTTGTAGAGAAAGGGACAGCAGTCTATGGCAGTAGACTGACTTTCTGTTTTTGTAAATAAAGTTTTTTTGAAAAACAACTCTACTCATTTGTTTGCATATCGTCTATAAGAGTTTCCATGCTATGACAGGGTTGAGTAGTTGTATTTCTAGGACAATTGAAAGAGAACAAGAGAGAGAAACAGATTATGCTTTATAGTAACTGGCATTGCCATAGCCTTTACAGAGGGTCTTGAATTACTGCCTTTGGAAGAAAGTGGCATAGTTAAAGTATTTAGCTTTCTGATTATTCTCAAAGAAATACTTCTAATCTAAACCATTACCATGTGTAGTCTTTGTGTCCCCATTCTTGTAAGTTACATAATTAGTAATTAATCAGTCTTTGATTTTATTTTATCACTGTGATTTTCCTGTACAAGGGTTTTAAGACTTATAAGTCTGGAAATCATATAATTTGGTGGTAATTTAGAGGGCATGTAAGGGGCTCAGAAGTCCTCTCTCCTCACAAATTTGTCACCTATGACAGGTACCTAAAATTCTACCATCACTTCTGTCCCACAGTTACTTAAAATTTTGACGCCTTTTATATGTTATTACAAATGGCTTATTTATAAGAGCATGCTGGGAATGGGGAATATATAAAGCATGAAGTCAGTTTTCACCTGGTAGGGACAAAAGGGTAGTGCATCCCTGAAGATGCAGAAGAACATCAAAGATGAGTCTAACTCTTACAATTTTGCTGAGGCTGCCCCTGGTGACACCCCACTGAAATATATTAAAGCAAACAATTCCAGTTGCAAGTGCATTTCAGCACAAAACAGATATAGTAGGACCACTACCATTGAGTTTCTCTCCTTCAGTTTGTAGGGTGCTGATATCACCACAAATTAAAAATAACCAAATAGAAATCACTTTTCTTGCTTTCTATTTTGCCAGAACACCCAGATGCAAAATAAAATATTCAATCTCCCATCTGGATATTTTGTCTCTGTGATGCCAAATATACAAATGCTTCCAAAGTGCTGAACTATTGATGACATTTTTCATCTTTCCTTTACAATGTTTTGACACTGGCGATGCAAGTGCTGTATCCAATTAGAAGTTTTACTTCTCAATAAACTGCTCAATTGCATCAATAGCCACCTCCACTTCACTGAGTTGTGTTCATCTACTGACAACTTACTATAATGGCAAAAAGTGTGGACAATGTGGGTACACTGCTAGAGTCCAAATCCCTTTTCAGCTGCTTACTAGCTGTGTTACCTTAAGGGAGTTATATAGCTTTTCCTTGCCTATTTCTGCATCTGCAAAATGAAGATAATAAGCATAACTACCAGAATTGTGGCCAAAATTAACTCAGATAAATGTAAAGTGCCAGGCATATAATGAACATTCAATAAATAATATCTTTCTGTTATTCCTTTTAGTAAAGCATTCATTGATGTCATAGAGCTACCTTGGAACCGGGAGTGAATAACCCTGGGGGCTCCTAGGTCCTCAGTCTTTTCTTCCATTTGTTAAAAGAGATCTAGAGTGACTTGAATGGTGCAAATGCCAAGCCAAATCAGTGGTGGGGGTGCAGGACCTTGCAATACCCTTCAAGCACACGCAGACCTGCCTGGGCATGTGATCCCATTCTTTCCCATGTGTTTACAAAGTGAGCAAGGCAGGGGGTCTTCTTTCATTTTGTTATAAGTAGCTACATGATTATAAAACGGGATAACAGCCATTGCTAATCTTCCCTATTCAATGCCAGAGGAATTTCCTCTTATTAAGGACCTTTGTCTTGGAATTTGGATTTAGGATTTTATAACCTCAATGGAAAAAGAGGAAGGGAAAATAAGCTATTTAGTGTTGTACATTCCAGCCTGAAACAATTGTCCTTCAGATATGCACCCTACGGATGCAGCTGTTGATTTGGGAGGTTACTTTTGTTCAGAGGTGAGTCAGCCCTTAGCCAAACTATGAAGGATGCAGTGTTGATCCTTTGAGTTCCCCTGCCTCCCTTTGAGTGTTCTTTGGCCCCTGTGTAATGCCTCAGCCTAAGGTGTCCAGTGTATTCTTGATGGTTGGGATCTTCCCTCCCAGCAATGAAGGAAAGAGATTTGATAAATTATTTCACAATAATGTGTCAGATCCTAATTTGTTACCTCTCTGAGAGAAACTTTGAAAGACACTGCTTATAAAGGAGAAATCCTTATTGGTGGGCATTGCACCATAAAGAGTCTCAGGGAAGGAAGGGATGCAGACAGAGATTAGGAGACTCTGATCTTCATATCCCAACTAGCTATTATATTGGAGTCTAAGGCCAACCCCACCTTGAGCACGTATCAAGAGGTAGTGATCACAAAGTTAAACTGTTCAAAAATCAATAATTAAAACTACCATTCCCCCAAGTGTCAGTGAATCTCTGGGGCTGAGATAACCTTCGAAGAGAAATAACGTAAAGCTAAAAGAAAAACATCAGCCGGGCGCGGGGGCTCACGCCTGTAATCCCGGCACTTTGGGAGGCCGAGGCTGGTGGATCACGAGGTCAGGAGATCGAGACCATCCTGGCTAACACGGTGAAACCCCATCTCTACTAAAAAATACAAAAGAATTAGCCGGGCGTGGTGGCAGACGCCTGTGGTCCCAGCTACTCGGGAGGCTGAGGCAGGAGAATGGCGTGAACCCGGGAGGTGGAGCCTGCAGTCAGCCAAGATCGTGCCACTGCACTCCAGCCTGGGCGACAGAGCGAGACTCCATGTCAAAAAAAAAAAAAAAAAAAAAAAAAGAAAGAAAGACATTGTTGATCTACAAACCTGTCAATCAATTTGAGTACTATGTAGAAAACTCTCAGGGTGGTTAAGACACCCCACGCTTTTTGGGATCAAGAGAAATATTCACTTTCAGTTCAAATATCTGTACCCTATTGGAATACATAGCTTTAGGAACTCACTGAATGTTTGTAAATCAGAATTCAAAATTATCTATCTTGACAATATCATTGTTCTTTTTTTTCTAAATAAATGAAATGTAGCATCTTTTTGCAAGAATTTTGATATGATAACTAAACTTGATAGGAGGTTCAGCATCTTTATAATTTTATTGCATATTTTACTGATTACATAAGGATCTTATAAAATAATTGCTTATAACATTATTTATTGCAAAGAGCAACCATTGTAAATTAGGAATCCATTATTTTTATTTTTCCCCTGCTTATAGAATTCTGAACACACGTCCAAAACCACTTTACTATAGTCTGTATACGTGTCAAAATAGCCATGATGTCATTCAAAATTTCTATTATTTGAACTGAATCAACATAAATTAGAATGAAAGCACTATATGATTTTAGAAGCAGCAAAACTAAAAGCTTTACATTTTAAAAGCTTGATACTATTAATAGATGGATGGACCCTGGATTGCTTGAATAGCCTAATTTATTGCAGTAGGAATAAATTAAGTCATTAAAAAAAAATCCCACCAGATATAGACATGCCTTTTTTTTAATACTTAAAACGTGGCAACAGATTTCTTCATTAGTATGTGTTGTACATCTCTTCCTACTTATAGATTTAAAAACTCATATTTTACAAGGAGAGTGGAATACACACCTCCCTTCTATGGCCCATCTTTTGAGGCAAAATTGTATTTAAAATAAGACTTCTGTAAATTCTACCCCTACGGTGTTTTTCCCTTTCCTGACTTGTAGTCACCCAGGAGTTTGTTGCTCTGTCTCCATTTTTATGGTTAATGTTGCTCTGAGAAAAGAATTACATGTCAGTCATTTTCACGTTACAATGAATTCAATTCAGTGTGCATGGGGAAAAAAATCTAGCATTTTAAAATAGTATTTATACAATTGTATGTATACAATTATACACTGTGCCAAAATAAGTCTGTTTGTATAAAAGAGATAACTTGCTAAGGTATTTACCTACCCTCACCTTAAGGGAGATGATTTAAATTTGCCAAGGCAGAAATGTTGCCACATGCTTTCATCAGCAGCTAAGAAGGGAAGTATGTTTGAATGAAGGCCACATCTGAACGTGAACCATAGAACAGAGGTTTTGCTTAAAGAGAAAAATTGCTTCAGACCCTTCTGAAAAGAGGAAGTTCCATTATTCTTAAAATAAGTCAGTTTCTTTTATATTGTGGGTTTTCACAAAATAATTACAGAAAAAGCCATGTAGAAATCTTTTTGCTACAAAACCACAAATAGGCTGGGAGAGAAAAATGGAGAGTGAATAAATTCATCCATCAAATTAAGAAAGAAACTGATAGTTATCATTCACTGTCTTCTTTTTTTGGTTTATTTGAAGAACTGAATTAATTGCTTTACAGCTTTACTTTGTGCTTGTATGTGGGTAATTCACTGTGATACAATAACATTAGAATGATATTTTCTAAGACTTTTTAGTTTTCCAATCAACAACCACAAACAATCCAGATCACTGGGCAGCAATAATGCAAGAAAATGTAGGATTATTAATAAATTGATTAAGCTTTTTGTAATATTAAAGGAATTTCAGGCATCAGACAGGAATGAGCAGGAGAGTTAATATTTGAAGAGATAGGGAGCTTATCACAGTAGGTAGTTCATGTACCTAAATGTAACATCACCCTGCCAAGCAAGGATACCAGGTTACACGTATGTACTTTTCATAATAGATTGATGTTTTGTGGTAAAATCTCTGCTATGAAGAGGACGTAATCAATCTCATTTTACTAAAAGGGCCATTCAAAAGGCAGTTCATATATTTGCAAAGTGAAGGTATCTAATTATCATTATCTGTGAAATTGTTTTCTCTAAAAATTCTCTGAGATGTTCAGATATAAGACTCAGAGCAAAATTTCTAAGACATGGCCTTGGAAAATTATATAGATATTTTTCTAAAATGTCATTGGTCAAATGATATTCATTGACTGTAAGTATAACTCAATTTAGTACCCTGCATAATACTACCTTCAAAGCATGTATATGATGCATCAAAAGCCTACTCATACAGGAGCTATAAAACATACGCCTTATAAATCCTTTTCCCCGACTGTAGATCTTTACTTACTGTGGCAATTCCCATAACTCAGTATTATTTGAAATTCCGGACACCATCTGAAAGCAGAAAATTTTGTCTGTTTACCAAGTATACATGTTACCTATTTGGGGAATTGCAGAATGTGGTTACTTTAATATATTCCACCTCTTTTGACTATGAAGTGTTTATATCTTGCACTAAAAATGTACTTTCATAGTAGATATTGGGATAATATAACGAGTACATTATTTAAAAAATTTTAAGTTGTTTTAGGTTGTTTGTTCAGCCAAATTTTATAACTTACAAATATGGGACTATGAATGTTGTCAACAAGCTAAATGATCATTATAGTCAGTAACTTTCACCATTTTTCATCATATTGCTGATCATATCATTGCAAAAATTAACACACACCTGATTTATCTGGAATCCATAAATATTCATGTATACTTATTTATCACAAACTGTCACAGAACTAGCACCATATCAACATTAGCTTTTAACTTGGGAATGCAGTAGACCATTGGTCTATGCACCCAATTCATCAAACTCAGTATTTTATTCATATTTGAAAGAGGTATTTATACAAATTTAACACATTTTGTTTGGGGATTTGGAAATAACCAAGGACAGATGTGGTGGCTTATGCCTATAATCCCAACACTTTTGGGAGGCTGAGGAGGAAGGATTGCTTGAGCCCAGGGTTTCAAGACCAGCCTGCACAACACGGCAAGATCCAGTCTCTACCAAAAATTTTAAAAAAATAAAAAATTAGTCAGGCATGGTTGCCTGCACCTGTGGTCCTAGCTACTCAGGAGATTGAAGAGGCAGGATCACTTGAACCCAGGAGGTCAAGGCTGCAGTGAGCCATGTTCATGCCTGGGCAACAGGGAGAGACCCTGTCTCAAAAAAAAAAAAAAAAGAGAGAGAAAAGAACCGAAATGATTGTATTCACAAATACTAAGTAATTTTCTTCTTAAACCTGATCCCCTTGGAAAATTGAGATTGAAAGATGATTGCAGTTGTTAAATTTCTGTTTTTTTAAAAAAAAAAAAGAATAAATATCAAATTTTATGCAATATCTTTGTTCAGTTCAAGAGCCAGAAAAAGTATGCTATTTTATTATACTTTACTTTTCTACTTTATTAAAGGAATACTTGCTTTATAAACTAGTCACCAAAAACCAAGTTTAAAAGGATTGGAATGTGTCAGATGTGGAAAATTTCAGATAATCTCAATTCTGCCACTTGCTAATCAAAGTGACTTTAGCCTTACCTAAGTGGCATGAGGCCACTTTAAATTCCAGTTTCCACATCTATAAAATGATGATACTTGTTCCTTATTTATTTGATGTTATATAGTAAGCATTCAATAAATGTCACCTATTATTTTTGTTATTATTACATGACTATATCAAAATTTGAATAAAAGAAACCAGGCCTGACAGTTGGCTTATACAGGCATGGCTTCTTTCAGCATTCGTAAGTATATTTAGTACTCATGTGTTTTCTTGTGATTTCAACCTTTTCATGTTCCTGAAATTCTTTAGAATTCCATGACAGCTTTGTTTCTCAGATAGGTGTTCCAATATTTAACTGAAATACTATATCTCATTAGCATGAGAAAGAAAAGAAACTTTTTCGCTGAGGAATGTGAGCCCCTTTTACTTATCAGACCCAGAAAGCCATTGAAATGTCACAGCAATAATGTCTTACATCGCCCCCTGCCTTAGCTCCCCCACCACTTAAGCTAAGTAATCATTTCAAAGCCAACTGCTACATGGACACTAGAGTGAGTTTTGCTGCAAATACCTTATAAATTAACCTAACAATGACCCAGGCTGGACACCGTAATTCATACCCTGCGGTTCAACAGTGCATAGGCAATCACAAATAAATGTTATTTCTGTAAACCAATGACAATTCTAGAAAAACAACTTTTGTGATTGCCTCCTCTTCCGATTCATCCTTTTATCTTTAAAAACTTGAACCTTCCCTTTGTTCTCTGGACCACTTCCCAGTGTTTCCCGGGCTACCGTCCTCAACTTGAGGCCAAATAAAATCTCTATATTAATTTGCCACAGTGTCTTTCTTTCTTTTTTTTTTCTTTTCTTTTTTTTTTTTAAATTGAGACAGGGTCTCACTCTGTCACCCAGGCTGGAGTGCAATGGTGCGATCTCAGCTCACTGCAGCCTCTTCCTCCTGGGCTCAAGCGAACCTCTCACCTCAGCCTCCTGAGTAGCTGGGACCAGAGGCATGTGCCACCATGCCTGGCCTTTTTTTTTTTTTTTTAATTTTTTTTAATTTTTGTAGAGATAGGGTCTCACTATGTTTTCCAGGCTGGTTTCAAACTCCTGGGCTCAAGTGATTCTCCTTCCTCAACCTCCCGAAGTGCTGGGATTACAGACATGAGCTGCTGCTCGTAGCCCTCCTTTCTTCTTGGCTGAGGTCTAGACGTTATTCGGTCTGCTTATTTCAACTCTCTCTTTCTAGAAAAGAGGTTCCATATTTTCCTCCGGACAAGAGATTCACATTTTAGGGAGATTTAAAAAGAAGAGGAAAAGAAAAAGAGAAGAAAAGAGAAGAAAAGGGAAGGGAAGGGAAGGGAGGAAGGGAGGAAAGAAAGGAAGGGAAGGGAAGGGAAGGGAAGAAACCTGCCTGCTCTACCCCTGCTTCACAGCTAGTGGTCCAGGTCATGGTATTAGCAGTCCAATGACACCACTGGTTTTACTTTTTTGGCCTAAATCACATAGCATTCTTTTCAAATGGCTGTTGCTTTGTATTGTTTTTAATTCAGACTTGTTTTTGTCTTATTTGTGACCAATGCTTCTTAGTTTTAAACTAAAATGTGCATGAAAGAGAGTTCTTTTGCCCCAAAGTTAAGGGATTTCAAAGTTTTGTTTGTTCATTTGTTTTTTAATACAGAGCCCTCTCGGTCCCTTGGAGATATAAATCTTACCATGTCCATGAAATGTTAACATCCAGGGAATTAGCTAAGCAACATTCCAGCTGAGATCAGATTTGAAACAGAGTTAAAGTCCTTTAGACCAGCACAAAATTCCTTTCCTCAGTGGGTAACTTTAGCTTAAGAGATAAATATTTATAAAAAATTAATTTGAATTACTTGTTTTAAATTATTTGTGTGACTCTTGACCTTTGAGGGCATACATTTGTAATCCTTTCTACTGAAGAAAACCAAAATATCCCTCTCTAAAATACTGGAGATTGTTGAGCTGAAGACAGGTATAATCCAGAGGGACTCTCTTTGCTTTTCCTCTACTTGTCTGATGGCAGGACAGCAATTTACAAAGACAAAGATTTTCCTGCCTGCCTTTTCCCACTGCATTAAGACTACTGCACTGCTATAAAGGAATACCTGAGACTGGATAATTCACAAAGAAAAGAGATGTATTTGGCTCACGTTCCTTCAGGCTGTACAAGAAGCATGATGCAACCATCTGTTTCTGCTGAGGGCTTTAGGAAGCTTCCGATCATGACAGAAGGTGAAGGGGAGCAGTGGTGTCACATGGTGAGAGAAGAGGAGGCAAGAAAGAGAGGAGAGAGAGGGGTGCCATATTTTTAAACAACCAGTTCTTGTGTGAACTATTAGAGCAGAAATTCATTACTTCATTACTCCAAGGACAGCACCAAGCCATTTATGAGGGATCTGCCCCCATGACCCAAACCCTTCTTTTACGCCCTACTTCAAACATGAGATTTGGAAGGAACAAATATCCAAACTATATCACCCACCTAATAGCAGCCTTCTTTACAACACTTGCTTATCAGCTCAGAGACAGCAGCAACAAAGGATCTAGAAGTCGACTTTACTCTTCCCATCAATTTACCCTCCCACATTTTTCCAACTTTTGGCACCATTCCCATGGCTGCTTTTGTTTTCCTTTTTTACTATCTCTTTTAATCGTCCATTTGGGCTTCGAACATAAACAGTTAGCTGAGAACTGAGACCTTAGAAAATATGGCCTAACACATGTGAGCTGCACTCTATTTGCAGCTAGACTCCATTTGCAGTTAGCAAAACCTTGACCATTTGTAAATCAGGTCATCTGCCTTTTTGTTTTTGATTTGTAAGAGTTTACTATATATTCTGGATACAGATCCCTTATCAAATATATAACTGACAAACATTTTCTCCCATTCTGTGGGTGGTCTTTTCACATTTTTGATGGGGTCCTTTGAAGCATAAAAGTTTTTGATTTTGATAAACTCTAACTTATCATTTTTTTTCTTTTGTTACTTATACTTTTGGTGTCATTTCTAAGAATCCATTGCCAAATTCCAGGAAGATTTTCACTTACATTTTCTTTCAAAACCGGCACAAGACAAGGATGCCCTCTCTCACATTCCTGTTCAATATAGTGTTGGAAGTTCTGGCCAGGGCAATCAGGCAGGAAAAAGAAATAAAGGGTATTCAATTAGGAAAAGAGGAAGTCAAATTGTCCCTGTTTGCAGATGACATAATTGTATATCTAGAAAACCCCATCGTCTCAGCCCCAAATCTCCTTAAGCTGATAAGCAACTTCAGCAAAGTCTCAGGATACAAAATCAATGCGCAAAACTCACAAGCATTCCTATACACCAACAACAAACAAACAGAGAGCCAAATCATGAGTGAACTCCCATTTACAATTACTACAAAGAAAATAAAATACCTAGGAATCCAACTTAGAAGGGATGTGAAGGACCTCTTCAAGAACTACAAACCACTGCTCAAAGAAATAAAAGAGGACACAAATGGAAGAACATTCCATGCTCATGGATACGAAGAATCAATATCATGAAAATGGCCATACTGCCCAAGGTACTTTATAGATTCAATGCCATCCCCGTGAAGCTACCAATGACTTTCTTCATAGAAATGGAAAAAACTACTTTAAACTTCATATGGAACCAAAAAAGAGCCTGCATTGCCAAGACAATCCTAAGCCAAAAGAACAAAGCTGGAGGCATCATGCTACCTGACTTCCAACTATACTACAAGGCTACAGTAACCAAAACAGCAAGGTACTGGTACCAAAGTAGATATATAGATTAATGGTACAGAACAGAGCCCTGAGAAATAACACCACACATCTACAACCATCTGATCTTTGACAAACCTGACAAAAACAAGAAATGGGGAAAGGATTCCCTATTTAATAAATGGTGCTGGGAAAACTGGCTAGCCATATGTAGAAAGCTGAAACTGGATCCCTTCCTCACACCTTATACAAAAATTAATTCAAGATGGATTAAAGACTTAAATGTTAGACCTAAAACCATAAAAACCCTAGAAGAAAACCTAGGCAATACCATTCAGAACATAGGCATGGGCAAGGACTTTGTGACTAAAACACCAAAAGCAATGGCAACAAAAGCCAAAATAGACAAATGGGATCTAATTAAACTAAAGAGCTTCTGCACAGCAAAAGAAACTACCATCAGAGTGAACAGGCAACCTACAGAATGGGAGAACATTTTTGCAACCTACCCATCTGACAAAGAGCTAATATCCAGAATCTACAAAGAATTTAAACAAATTTACAAGAAAAAAACAAACAACCCCATCAAAAAGTGGGCAAAGGATATGAACAGACACTTCTCAAAAGAAGACATGTATGCAACCAACAGGCACATGAAAAAATGCTCATCATCACTGGTCATCAGAGAAATGCAAATCAAAACCACAATGAGATACCATCTCATGCCAGTTAGAATGGCGATCATTAAAAAGTCAGCGAACAACAGATGCTGGAGAGGATGTGGAGAAATAGGAACGCTTTTACACTGCTGGTGGGAGAGTAAATTAGTTCAACCATTGTGGAAGACAGTGTGGCAATTCCTCAAGGATCTAGAACTAGAAATACCATTTGACCCAGCGATCCCATTACTGGGTATATACCCAGAGGATTCTAAATCATGCTACTATAAAGACACATGTACACATGTTTATTGCGGCATTATTCACAATAGCAAAGACTTACCTAGTTGCTAGTGAGAACAACATCTTTATTTCTTTTTAATCATTCACAATTTAATGATAGGTTATTTGTAGATAGCCTTTATAAGGTTGAGGAGGTTTCCTTTTACGACTTATTTGTTGAGTATTTTTATTATGAAATGTCATTAAATTTTTCACAGGCCTTTTTGGTGTCTTCTGAAAAACAGTATGTAGTTTTTGTCCTTTATTGTATCAATATGGTTGTACAACACTGTTTGATTTTAGTCAATCCCAAATTCCTGGAATAAATCTCACTGAGTCATGATATATAATCCTTTTTATATGTTGCCTGATTTGGTTGCTAGTATTTTGTTGACTATATTTGCATTTACAGCCTTAAGGTATATTAGCCTGTACTTTTCTTGTGATATTTTTTCTGGTTTTGGTATCAGAGTAATATTGGCCACATAGAATGAGTTAGAAAGGGTTCTTTTTCCTCTATTACTTATAAAAACATGTGAGGATTTCTGTTCATTCTTTTTGGTAATGTTTGCTCAAATTCATCAGTGAAGCCAGCTGGACCTGGATTTTTTTTGTGAGAAGTGTTTTTGTTACTAATTCCATCTCTTTACTTCTTATAAGCCTATTCAGATTTTTTATTTCTTTCTGAATCAGTTTCAGAAGTTCGCATCTTTCTGAAAATGTATCCATTTTATCCAGGGTATCTAATTTTTTGGTGTATAATTGTTCCTAGTATTCTTTTATTATAATTTTTTTCTGTCATGTTACTAATGACATCTTCTCTTACATTCCTCATTTTAGTAATTTGAGTTGCCTTTTACATGTTAGTTTTTAATTTCCTTTATCTTTTCAAAGAATCAACTTGCAGTTACACTGATTTCTCTTTTTTCTACTCTTAACTTTTGTTTTTCTGTTCTAATCTTTTCACTTACTTCCTTTTGCTTGTTTTGTATTTAGCATGTTCTTCTTTTCCTAATTTTTTAAGGTGAAGTGTTAATTGATATGAGAGCTCGCTTTTTTAATATAGGCATTTAATAGCTACAGATTTCACTGTAAGCACTGCTTTAGCTGTGTGCATAGTATGCTATGTTTTCATTTCCTTCTACTCAAATTATTTCCTAATTTCCTGTGATTTCTTGCTTTCCCGTTGGTTATTTAGGAGTGTGTTGTTTAATTTTCACATACTTGTGAATTTCCCAAATGTCCTTCTGTTGTTGATTTCTAAATTTCATTCTATTTTAGCTAGAGAACATACTTTGCATTATTTCAATACTTTTAAATTTGCTGAGACTTGTTTTATGGCCTAGCATAAGTGTTATTCAGGATGAAGTTATACAAGGGCTTGAGAATCGTATGTATTTTGCTGTTTTGAGTGTAGTATTCTATATATGTGTTTGGTCTAGTTTATTTATAGTGTTGTCCAAATCTTATTTTTTCCTTGTTAATCTTGTGTCTAGTTGTTCTTTTCATTATTGAAAGAAGCTGTTGAAGTCTCCAATAATTATTGTTCAATTGCCAACATTATTTTCCCTTCAATTCAGACAGATTTTGCTTCATGTATTTTGGGCTTTGTTGCTACCTACATGTATATTTGTAATTGTTATGGTTTTCTAATGGATTCATCTTTTTAACGTTATAGAATATCTTTCTTTTTCTCTAGAAATATTCTTTGCACTACAGTCTATTTTGTTCAATAGTAATATAGTTACTCCAGCTCTGTTTTGGTTACTGTTGCATTATATATATTTTCCATCCTTTTGCTTTACATTCATATGTCTTTTTAAATCTAAAGTGTGTCTCTAGTAGATAGCCTACAGTATGATCCTGATTTATATTTTATGCATTCTGTTACTCTGTACCTTTGAAGTATCCATTTTGCTATTTGTTTTCCACATGTCTTATCTCTTTTTGTTTCCTCTATTTCTGTGTTATTGCCTTAGGATTTTTGGCATTTTTAAAAATTTTATTTTACTATCAACTGAAAATTTATTAATTGTATATATTTATGTTTATGGGATAGCCTTGTTTTGTATAAAATAGACATTTTCAAGTGTACCATTTTAACTTCCTTTTTATTTCTTTTACCATTCTTTTAGTTATTTTCTTAATGGTCCTCCTTGTGATGACAGTTAATATCATATCTTAAAAAGAACTTGTTTAGATTAATACCAACTTACTTTGATCAGTATCCAAAAGTGTAGCTCTAATCCAACTTTGTTTTTTTCACCCTTCTTTGTATTATGATTTATTGACATAGAAACTATATTGTACCTTGGAAGCCTACTAATAGTTTTATAATTATTGTTTTATGTAGTTGTCTTTTAAGTCAGATAGGAGAAGAAAATAGTTACAAACAGAAATATACTGATCCTGTATTTTATATTCATCTTATGCAGTTACCTTTATTAGTGTTCTTTATTTCTTCATGTGGATTTGAGTTTTTGTCTAGTGAAAATTTTTTTTAGAGTGAAGGACTCCTTTTGGTATTTCTTATAGGAAAGGTCTACTCATTATGTCAGTTATTTTTTGTTATTTTTAAAATCTTGGCACGTCCTAATATCTCCATTTTTGAAACAGTTTGCTAGAGATAGAATTCTTGGTTAATGGGTTGCTTTTTTCACTTCAGCATGATACATATGTCATCCTACTGCCTTCTGCCCTCCACATTTCCGATAAGAAGTTAGCTGTTACTGCTATTAAAAAATACCTTGTATGTAGAGCTACAATTCTTTTACTGCTTTCAAGATTCTCTTTGTGTTTTGGCACTTTGTCTATGATGTGTCTGGGTGTAGACTACTTTGAGATTATCCTACTGGAAGATTGTTTTGCTATTTGAATGTGCAAATTCATGTTTTTTCATCAAATTGTGTTAGCCTTTAGAAATTATGTCTTCAAATATTCTTTCTGTTCTTCGAAGCTTTCTCTTCTCCCTCAGGGACTTCAGTGTCTCACATATCTTTGAGACTACATTAATTTTCTTTATTATTTCTTCTTTCTGTTCTTTACTATAATCACAATGAACTATATTCAAATTTTCTTATTGTTTCCTTGACAGTTGCAATCTGCTATAGAACTCCTCTAGTGAATTTCTCATTTCAGTTATTGTGATTTTTAAACTACTGAGTTACTATTTGGTGCTTTTAAAAAATAATGTCTATCTCTTTGTTGACACTCTCTCTTTAGTGAGAAATCATTGCCATACACTCCTTTATTTTTTTAGACAAGATGTTTTTTAGTTACTTGAACATATTTATAATTGCCTATTTAAAATCTTTATATAATAAATCTGACATCTTGGCTTCCACCATGACATTTTCTATTGACTTTCTTTTTTTTTTTTCTTTGTATGGGCCATTCATTCCTGTTTCTTTGTATGTCTACTTTTTCTTTAAAATACTTGACATTTTAATATAACATTGTAAATCTTGAAATCAGAACTTCTTCTCCCAGGGTTTGTTGGTCTTGCTGTTAGCTGTTTTGTTGTTGTTGTTTATATTGTTATTGTTCCTCGTTTGCTGACTTTCTTGGACTGATACTGTAAAGTCTGTTTTCTTTGACATATGTAGCCACTAAAGTGTCTCCTTGGTTAGGTTAGTGATTAGCAAGACAGAGGTGTCCTTAAATGCCATGAACCAGTAATTCTCCCAGCCACTGCCAAGGATTTGGTATAGTTTTTAGACATGCCTCAAATATTCCTGTAATTAACAACTCTGTTATCCTTACTTTCAACTTCTTCAGAGGCTTAAGATTAGTCAGACTTAAATTAGCTGGGTGTGGTGGTGGGTACCTGTAATCCCAGCTACTCAGGAGGCTGAGGCAGGAGAATCACTTGAACCTGGGAGGCTGAGGTTGCAGTGAGCCAAGACCGTGCCACTGCACTCCAGCCTGAGCAACAGTGCAAGACTCTGTCTCAAAAAAAAAAAAAAAAGAAAAGAAAGAAAGAAAGAAAGAAAAGAAAAGAAAAAGATTAGTTAGACTTGAGCAAATAGGGCATTCTGAGGACTTTCTTGAGCCTACAGCCTTGCACACCTGTGTGGCCTTCTAGATTCTCAGAAATATGTTGACATTTTCAAAGATTGTTATGAATGTCTCATTCACCAGTTTTTCCTTTTAAGTTTTTAGTCAACCTCTTGTTAATTGCTTCAGGTAGCTGCAGTGTTAAACAACTACCACTTTTTGTGAGAAAATTTTTTAGGTATAGGCTTATTTGTACAGAGTGAGCTCTGATTCAGGTCCATTAAAGACAACCCTGAGAATAGAGCTATTTAGGGAGTTTCCAGACATTTCAAATAGTCACATTTCTCAGGGAATGGGTTTTGTGGAAGAACATGCCTGTTTCTGCTTCCTCTAGTGGTTGCTAAAATGCAAGTTTTCATGACTACTGCAGTAGTGAGGCTGTTGATTTCAAGACTCTCACAAATCTAGGGAGTGAAGAATAGTAATAGAGCGAGCTAACACATCACAGAGATTGCAGTTCTTACAGAAGTTTAGCTGTTTTTCTTGGAGAAATACTCCTTGCAATGTTGCAAGCCTTTGATTAATTTCCAGAGTTTTAGAAAGGTTTGTTTTGATGATTTTTTCCAATGTTCCGATTGCTTTTCAGAAGGAGAGGTTTTTGTAAAGCTACTTTTATTAGGACCTTTGACAGCTTTGACTTTTTGTTCATAGCTGCAGAACATTATGTCTTCTACAATATAGTAATACATTCTTCTAATAAATCATCTTTGCACAGTGTGAAGGGAACATTTCAATAGTTGAATATTTGGGGATATAAACAAAACTGTCTGTTATATCAAAAGTATAGCCTCATTTAATTTTTATTTTTCAGAAAGGTTTTGCTGCCTCCATAGATAGCATGTCTTTGGGAAATATAATTCCATGAGAATTTTGGTAGTGATAGTTCTCATTTCGCTCCCTCCCCGCAGTACGCATACACATTTATTCTTCCTCTCTGGATATTAGCCAGCAAGGCTAATTTTATTGCAAGGCCCTGTGGCATACTAGATACTTCTATTTCAAATGATATAGACAGTTACAGAATGTTTATCATAGTCTACTGAAGTTTGAATGATACATATTACAAATACAGTTGTTACACAGTCAGCATTCTTCAGACCAGATGGGTCTGACATGGAGGATCACAGAAAGTTAGAAAGATCGCCATTCTCAGATTTATTTCAGTTTGTGTCTTTTCCAAGGAAATTTCAATTTAGTATCTTTGAATGTAACCCAAGAGTAACTCTCAGGTTTGGTCTCTGAGTGAGGTGTTCCAATCTCACATTTTATAATACTAATTTCCTAAATAATTAGCAGTGGGAATGGTCATTATATTTTTCAAGTGATGCCTGCAGATTTAAAAATTAGGGTTTTAAAAATCTGTCTATTCCAGAGTCTGAATACCTTGGCATTTGGAGCAACATGAAAGAAACACTATCTTGCCTATAGCAAACAGATTTTTCAGCTTAGGTTCTGCATCTCTTGCCCTTTCAGTAGTTTATTGAGCTGTTCCAAGTTTACCACTGGTTAAATGGAGTACAAGAAAATAGCATTCATTAAAGCTTGCTTAATCCAAGGAAACTTGGCCTGAGAATGATCTTTGATAGGGCCATTGTTGTACTTCAAATTACATTTAAATTACTCTAAGACAGATATTCAAATGTAAAATGTAAAAAGCACAAGTGTCACAGAAACACTTCTTGGGATCTTTGGGGAGTTACTTATACCAATAATGCCTCTCTCAGCTGCATGAAAGGTACAATGATATAAAAATCTCAAGCTCTTGGTTACTTATGAAGGGCTTTACTATGTGGCCAGGAGTTGACAGACTAAATGTACACTGTTTGAAACTGTGTATATTTCTCTATAATTTTTAGTAGTTACCCATGAAAACAATGCCATTTAAATACCATTACTCTTGGCTATTGCTGCAACAGTAATTTTCAAAGAAGAGTATTATCCTGCACATATGGGTGATATTTTTCATTGTCCAATGACTGGGATACCATATTAGCAACTAGTGACTATTAGTCAGAGACACCAAAAAGTCCCACATAACAAAGACTTGTCACACTCAAAATTTTAATATGGTCCCCTTTAAGAAACAGTGAGAAATGGAATTGCACTTTAGTCATAATAGGCAATATCTTATGATGATGATGCACTTTTTTCATAGTTGCATTCCTCAAGATGACATCCATTGCAACAGGTCAGAATTCTTTATGAGTGCTGCATTATGGCCCACTTCACGCTTAAGAACAAACATGAGGATTTCAGAGCTGAATCAACGTTAGACTCTTAAAAAACAATTGTATCATGTAAGTATCTACTTTGTAGCTCCACCTTAAAAGCTATGGATGGCCTTTGTATAAATTTACTACTACTTGCCTATGGAAAGGACTCTATTACTGAATTAGAAGTTAGGTCTATGATGGAACAAGTGTGACCATTTAGCATTTAAGTCTAGTTGCATTTCTGCATTGATGCAGGCAGACCTTTCTTTGTCCGGATCTAGGATAGATTAACTGAGATCCTGACACTTTTAAAGGTCTGAAAAAAACATGTAAAACGTATTCTCCCTGAGGGCTGCTAACAGTGAGGTTTCATCTACATAACAAGACCACCTTTGCTAGCCAGACCTCTTCTTCTCCCCTTCCCATAACCTGTCTTGCCACCATCACCTGATTTACCAACATAACTGTTCTGAGCCCCTATTTTTTTCTCTAACCTCAAGATGGTGTTTAAGCTTCTGTATCCCATTGCAGAGTTGGTGTAATTACTTTGTGATTCTTCCATGTACATGTTAATAAATTTGTATGCCTTCCTTCCTATTAATATGCCTTTCTAAAAATTTTATTTATAAAGACACGGTCTCACTATGTTCCCCAGGCTCAATTACAGTGGCTATTCATGGGTACCATCTCACCACTGATTAGCAAGGGAGTTTTCATCTGCTCCACTTACAACCTGGGCCAGTTCATCCCTCCCTAGGTGACTTGATGGTCCCCTACTCCCTGGCAATTACGATATTGATGGCAAACAGTGTGGACACTCTATCAGCATAGTGCACTACAGCCTGTTACTGGACACAAGTGATTCTCCTGCCTTGGTCTCTGGAGTAGCTGGGACTATAAGCATGCCCACTGTACCTGGCTAATCTGCCTTTTGTCAGTTGATATTTCAGTGAATCTTCAGAGAGTGAAGGGAATGTTTTCCTTCCCCCGTATAGGGGTTAGGAGATCAGTATATGAATTTGGGATTATGAAAGGAAAATAAAATCTTGGGACCCCAAACACACTAAGCCAAAGGGAAAAGTCAAGCTTGGGAATTGAGTCATAGAAAATTGTCTCCCATTTTTATTCCTACAAAAATTAAAGGCCACATACTTCCCCAGGAAGCCTCCCTCACAATTTGCTCACAAGGAACTTCCTCATAGGTCGCAAGATATTTACCCTAAAACAGTTCTGTTGAATTTCATGCTGACAAGGTAATTAACAGCTTATCTTCACAGGTACGGGACAAAGACAAGACCATCACGGATAAAGACAGGAGCAGATTTAGTATATGTGCTGCCACCATAACGGATAAAGACAAGAACAGATTTTAGTATATGTGCTGCCATTTGAGACCAGCCTGGCCAACATTGTGAAACCCCGTCTCTACTGAAAACACAAAAATTAGCTAGGCGTGGCGGTACGCCCCTGTGATCCCAGCTACTTGAGAGGCTGAGGCAGGAGAATCGCTTGAACCTGGGAGGCGAAGGTTGCAGTGAGCTGAGATCGCACCACTGCACTCCAGCCTGGGTGACAGAGCAAGACTCCATCTCAAAATAAATAAATAAATAAATAAATAAATAAATAAATAAATAAATAAATAAAATAAAATAAAATAAAATAAAATAAAATAAAATAAAATAAAAACAAATAAATAAAGGCAAGACCAGAAGCCATACTCCACCCAACTGAGACAAATGCGTATTAATGCAGATTCACTGAGCACAGGCCAGTGCATAATTGACTGTTCTTCTATCCCCTCCTTTTACATATAAAATGTAGATTCAGTGAACACTGATGAAAGCCTCAGAAGAATGGAACCACCTGCAGCTTTATCTACCCTACCCCAACATTTTGTTTCTTTCTTGGTTCTCCTACTGCCCACCCTTTCCCCTTGAAATACTGGAGTCCCCAAGCCCCCTTTGAAATAAAAAGCACAAATCACAGATGTCCCTGTGGGTTTTGTGTTTCTTTTCCCTGAGCCCATCCTCAACCTTGGCAAAATAAACCTTGAAATTGATTGAAACCTGTTGCAGATACTTTTGGGTTTACAAATTGGCCACTACAGGAGGAATTCTGAATGGAGGTGGCCCTTAACCTGTGGCAAATCTCCTATCCGTGGCTGGTACTGGTTGGGCTATTTTTATCACTCAAACCAATAAGGAAATTTGCTGAGGTCTGGAAGCTACCCAGCTCCGGAGAACACCTGATCTCCCAAATTTTGGGTGAGATTTAAGGCTTATTTTGCTGTACAGCTCATTTATGGAGTTCTGCTTTCTTCCCACAAGAGAGGCAAGTTTTTCCTGCTTTCATGATGATGGGGAGCAGCTAACTACTTCCTGGAGTTCTGCTCACTTCCAATAAGGAAAGTGCTTTCTTCCTGCTTCTAAAATGGTAGAGAGCAATCTGCAGCCTGGGCCCCACTCCTAGGTAAATAGCTGAGTTGAGATTTTATCTTAAAAATTCTCTTTAATGATTAAAATATAAGGTTGACAACCAGCTGGTCTTAACTTCTTACAATTAGAGTGCTCATTCATTGTATAAATCTTGCAATTGCTTACTTGATTTTTTTTTTTTTTTTGGTTGTTTTTGCTGTTGTTTTGGTCTCTTCTCCCATTGGATTTGACCAACTCTAAACTCCTCTAGTGTATGAGTGTGGAATTTCCACTCCAAAGAGAAAAAGCCCTTGCTCCCCTCAGCCTTTCAGGGCATTCCCAGGTTACTGAGAATCACATGCAGGTATCTGGGAGGAATGCTCCCAGTGATGCACAGCAGCTCTGACTAGGTTGCCCCTCTGAAAAGCGTACTTATGGTCTAATCTCAGCTGGCAGGTACATATAAGGTACCAACCCCCTCCACACTTTGAACCTCTGATGTGCTGTGTCAGGGGGCCATAATACAGCGGGACCAAACCGGCTCATGGGATAATGGCCCTGAGAATGTATGTCCACAAGACACACCTCTTGACTTGGTTAAATCTGAAGGAGAGTTCCAAATTAAGGGGATCAAGGCCTTTGAATTGGCTATCCCCCAAACCCTCAGGTCTTAAAGCTTGAAACTTACATTTCTTTTATCTAAGTTCCTTCCTCAGGAAAGGACCCTCAGACCTCTCAAAAAGTATCAAAGAACTGAAACTTACCAGATCACCGCATCTAGACAATGAGATGACAGACCCCTCATCTGTCATGATTGCTTCCTTACTCCTCATTAATTCCTGTTTTCCTAACCAAGAAACCAAGAAGACTTGCTTCTTGTTGACCAACTCCTCTCACTTTACCCCTCCCTATTTCCTATTTTCACACATATAGTTACATTTCTTCCTTGCTATATAAACCCTTAATTTTAGTCAGGGAGATTGATTTAAGACTGATCTCCCATCTCCTCAGCTACAGCACCTGATTAAAGCCTTCTTCCTTGGAAACATTCGTTGCCTTAGTGAATGGCTTTCTGTGCAGCGAGCAGCAGGATCTAGACCGAACCTCTGGTGTTTCAGTAACAGATTTTCGTTCCCTGATCAAAATCGCATTGCTCGTGGCTCAGCTGTCACAGGCCCAGAGAGTTCCTAAGCAGCTGCCTACCCATTTTTGGCCAGAGGTGGGGTTTGGTCTCTATCTCTTTGGCCCTGCCACTTCAAATCCCTACCATTTTCCTGATTGTGTAGGAGAAACAGTCTTTGAAATTAGACATCTGTGTCTAAATGGGTGAGTGTCTTTTGTGCCTACCAGACATGGGATGTGCTCCACTCAATTTGAGGACTTCTGAAGGAATTTCCATTTCCAGGTTGAAAAAGCCCAACCAGCTGAGAGGATAATGAACACTCTTGGGGCTTCTTAGTTGCTACTGCAGCAGTTAGATTATATTTGAGTACCTAGATTGCATTTTGATAAGTGTGTGCATGTGTCTCTCTCTCTCTCTCTGTCCCTCTGTTTGTGTGTGTGTGTTGATATAGTCATGGGAAATTAAAATTCAGTCCCAGAATGCAGCCCACTCTGGTGCATTCTTCAAAATTGGTCTGAATATAGTTATAATCCAATGGAACAAAATAAAATGATATTTTTGATAGTACAGTTTGGCCCCTATATTCTTTGTAATCTGGAGAAGTATGGCTCCTCAATGGGTCTTTATATTTTAATGCGATCTTAAAACTAGATTAATTTTGCTGTTGAATGGGAAAGAGGGATGAAATTCCTTGTGTCTAGGCTTTTATGTTTCTTTATCAGAGCAAACCTAATCAAATGTAAAATTTTGATACAATGGACAGAGACTTTTAAGAAAGGTGGTGAGTCTGCACTTTGCACTAAGGTTATCATATTTACCAGCAGAAGAAAACTCTCCCTTAGATGAGGAAGCCTGAGCTGCTATAACTTCTGAAACCCCAATCCCACCATCTCCGACCTCTGCCAGCTGCCCTGGAGTCAGCTTCTGCCTCTCCAACAGCTCCAACCCCTGAGACTTCTGAACCTCTGAAAAACCCTTTCCTGACTTTTGCTAGTCCTCTTCATCATGAACCTGGGACCCCTACCCTAGTTCCACCGGATCCTCCCTCCCTTTATCTTTTGTTCTCTCATTTCGTCAAGAAGATATCTGAGAACTCCAGGGGAATGGTCTCACCCTCTCATACCTGTCAAGGAACACAATTTAGCCAAGGTTCACCCCTACTCCTTGCAGGAAAATTTCTTCTAAGGCAGATCCCTATTTGGGGTTTAACTGAAGAACAGCCTGCTGGAATGATGTGGATATGCTGACCATTCACTACGTCTGACTTATATAATTGGAAGCAGAACAACCCAGCTTACAGGGATGACCCAAAAAGTATAACTTGCCTTTTTGAGTCTATTTTCACTACTCATCACCCCACATGGGCTGATGCTCAGAGCCTCCTTAGAGTCTTGTTGAAATCTGAAGAACATCAGAGTACTAGAAAAGGCTTGGGAGGAGGCTGACCGGTTGCATGCAGAAGATCCTAATAACCAAGTGAGGACTGATGCCAATATGGCAATGCCTCTCCATGACCCCAAATGGAATCCAAATGATTGTGATGAAAGTGAGATCCAACATTTCGGGGATTGTTCTGGTGGGGCTCAGAAAGGGGGTCCACAAAACCAAAAGGTTAGACAAGATTTAGGAAATTAGACAAGGAGTGAATGAGAACCCATTAGCATTTTTGGAAAGGATTTTGGAGGCTTATCAGAAATATACAGATATATATCCAGACAGTCCTGAGAATTCCAGGTTAATTAATATGACTTTCATAGGAGAGAGGATGCCCAACATTCAATATGAATTGCAAAATTTGGAGGGCAATCTAATGTTGCCAGTATCTCATTTGATTTATGTGCCATACAAAGTCTTTCTAAGTTGAGAGCAGACTAAGGAACAACAAAAGCAGAAATGAAACTGCAGGAGATGAAATAGCAGGCTAAGTTCCTAGCAGCAGCCTTAGCTAAGAGTGCAAAAGGTCCTCCTCAGAAAGGGCAAAGGCCGCAAGGGAGAAAATCCTTAGAAAGTTCTCCCTTAGGAAAAAACAAAACAAAACAAAACAATGTGCATTGATATGGTTTGGATTTGGGTCCCCACACAAATTTCATGTCGAATTAGAGAAGGGGCCTGATGGGAGGTGATTGGATCATGAGGGTAGATCTCCCCCTTACTGTTCTAATGATAGTGAGTGAGTTCTCACTAGAACTGATGGTTTAAAAGTGTGTGGCACTTACCTCTTCTCATTTTCTCTCTCTCCTGCTTCACCATGGTAAGACATGCTTGCTTCCCCACTACTTACCACCATGATTGTGAGTTTCCTGAGGCTTCCCATCATGCTTCCTGTGAAGCCTGTGGAACTGTGAGTCAATTAAACCTCTTTTCTTCATGAATTACCCAGTCTGCAGTAGTTCTTTATCGCAATGTGAGAACGGACTAATACATGCATACTACAGAAAAGAGGGACACTGGAAAAAATGTTGTCCCAAGCTGAATAGAATGGGGAGCCAAGACCCAGAATTGCAAATATTTAGATTCCATGGCTCTGACCTGGCATGACAGGACCTTAAGGCTCTTTCCGTGATTAGTATCACCCACCAGGAACCTAAGGTAGCTGCTAAAGTAGGTGATAAATTGGTTGATTTTTCTGATCAACACTCGAGCAATCTACTCAGTTTTAAATCTTAAATTGGCTAAACTTGGAAGGGAATCTCTGATAGTCACTGGAGTGTCTGGCAAATCATCCCAAAAATATTTTCTTCAGCCTCTAGAATGTATAATAGGAAAGTTTTCTTTGGCCCACAGTTTTCTCTATATGCCAGAATATCCTCTCCCATTACTAGGTTGTGATCTTCTTTCCAAGCTACAGGCCCAAGTGACATTTCAGAATGACTTTCCAGAATGAGCAAGTCCAGAACATGCATGCTTTTTGCAAATGGCCTTAATTGCATCTTTGACTGTTCTTCAGGCTCTGCCCTCTGAAGTCCTCAAGAAGGTAAACCATGAAGTATAGGCCACTGAGTGTCCTGGACAGGATCATATGGCACCAATCCACGTTAAGTTGAAACCAGAAATTACATTCCCCCACCCCAATTAAACAGTATCCTCTAAAACTTCAGGCTTAAAGGGGGCTCCAATCTTTGTCACAGCTTTCCTAGATTATGGGCTTCTCTGACCCTGTTGTTCTCCTTACAATAGCCCTATCTTTCTGGTTCAGAAGCCCGGCGTCCAAGAATACCATTTTGTCCAAGATCTAAGAGCAATAAATCAAATAGCAGAAGATAGTCATCCCATAGTAACCAACGCTTACACTCTTCTTATCACCCTCTCTGGGAATTTTGCCTGCTTCTCAGTAATAGACTTAAAGATGCTTTTTTTTTGCATCTTCCTGTCTCCTGACTCTCAGGAATTGTTTGCTTTTGAGTGGAAAGATTTGGAGTCTCAAGCTAAATGTGTCAGCATTGCTGGACTGTGCTTCCCCAGGGATTTAAAAAATTCCCCAATATTTTTGGAGAAATCTTAGCCAAAGACTCGAGGGAAACAACCTGCAATAAAGGAACTATTTTGCCATATGTATTATTTGTTATTTATTTTTATTATTGAGACAGGGTCTCACTATGTTGCCCAAGTTGGTCTCAAACTCCTTGGCTCCAGCGATTCTCCTGCCTTGGCCTCCCAGAGTGCTGGAATTACAGGTGTGATGCAATGCACCCAGCCTTATTTTGCAAATACAGATGATATCTTTATAGCCAGTGAAACAGAGAGTGACTTCCTTCTCTATGCCTTTAAAGTTTTAAATTTCCTGGTAGATAATGCGCCCAAAGCTTCGAGGAAAAAAGCATATATATTTCTTCCCCCTGTACCTGGGATTCGAACTATTCCAAGGGGCTCACAATCTTTTCTCAGATTAGATTAGGGTGGCAGTTCCCACTACTCACAAACAACTATGGGGCTCCCAGATTTTGTCAAATTTAAATCCCTAAATTCAAGTTAAGAGCGAGACCTCTCTTTGAGGTTTTAAAAGAAGATAAGGAGCCCCTTTCTAGGAGTGGGGAATGTTAAAAAGCCTTTTTAACCATCAAAGAGAAATTGATGATAGTCCCTGCCCTGGGTCTTCCTGACCTATGCAAACCTTTTGATTATTTTTTGTTCAAGAAAGACAGGGAATTAGACTTGAAGTATTAATTCAAGACCTTGGGACCTTGAAGCATCCTGTGATCATTTTTTTCAAAAAAGCTTGACATGGTAGCTAAGGGCTGGCCTACTTGCCTCAGTGTGGTGGCTGCCACCTGTGATATATTGCAGGAAGCTGAAAAGTTCACCTTGGGGTATCCCATGACAGTGAATACTATGCATTATGTGTTACTGTACTCCAGAAGAAAGTGGGCTATTGGTTGACGGCAGGCCAACTGGGAAAGTACCAAGCCATGCTTCTAGATAACCCAAATGTAACTCTTATGGCTGTTTCTACTCTGAATCCTGCCATCCTGCTCCCAAGAAATATCCAGCCTCCTGTTCATGACTGCATTCAAATAATAGATCAAGTGTATTCTAGTAGACCAGACCTCACAGATTTTCCATGAATGGAATGTGACAAAGAATTCTTCACTGATGGAAGCAGTTTCATGGAACAAGGAGTCAGAAAGGTCAGGTATGCTGTAGTTACAACCCAGCAGGTAATCAAGGCATGTGCCATACCCCCAGGGACATCTGCCCAAAAGGCCGAGTTCATTGCTTTGACTAGAGCTGTACATCTGGGTAAGGGAAAGAGAGTAAGTGTTTACAGACTCTAAATATACTTTCTTAATAGCCTATGCTTATGGGGTAATTTGGAAAGAAAGGGGGCTCTGTACTTCCAATAACAAAGAAATAAAGCATGGTCCTCCAATTCTTGAATTATTAGAGGCCATAAAAATGCCCAAAGAAATAGCAATTGTTCACTGCCAAGGGTACCACAAGGCAGGCACCAATGTTCCACAGGGAAATATTAACGCTAACCTACAGGTGAAAAAGGCACCCAGAGGCCCACTACCCAGCTGGTTCTCATTCCTACTCTGTCTGGAGACCTATCACCACAGATATTCAGAGGCTGATCTTAAAAGAGCTGAGGAATGGGGTTTTCTAAATATGTTGACCATAAATGGCTTACAAATAATGAAGGAATAATTCTCCTTCCAGAAACTTTTATTAGACCAATCCCTGAGCAAATCCATCAAAGCACTCATTATGGGTGGTAGACCACTCTATGCTGGATACATTCTTATCTTACTAGGCCTAACTTGCAATGAACAATACAAACTGTAATCCAAAGTTGTCTTACTTGCTTGAAAAATAATTCAAAGCCACCGGAAGGCATAAAAGCCCCCTTTAAGCAAGGAACTCTGTGTAGAGGAACTTTCCCTGGAGAAGACTCGCAATTGAATTTCACTATAATGGCTCAAGCCTCTGGAAATTTTTGATATTTGTTGGTTTTTGTTGATACTTTTACAAGCTGAGTTGAGGTTTACTCCATTAAGACTGAGGAAGCTACCAAAATTGTAAAGTTTCTAATGCAGAAAATAATTCCTCAATATGGACTCCCATAAACTCTCCAAAGTAACAATGGAGCCACTTTATAGCCCAAGTAACCCAGGAAGTATCAATGCTTAGTAAGTGCTGATTGGATTCTGCATTCATCTTAAAGACCCCAATCTTCTGGAAAGACTGAAAGAATTAATAGGAAATTAAAGAAGTGTCTTCCTAAAATTTGCTAAGAGTTCAGTCTTACCGGGGAAAAGGTCGTGCCCCTTGCCCTGCTGAAGATATGGGTAGCTCTAGAAGTAGGTTGGCTCTTATCTCCTTTGAAATGTTTGAGAGACCATTTCTCTGACCCCCAGGCTCCCTGACACTTGAGAATGTTTTCACCTTTGAAAAATAAACTAGATAATATATAAAACATTTAGGAAATATGTTCACTAGTTTCTCTGAGTTTGCTTCCAGCAGGCTGCAGTTCCCTACAGATGTGCGTTTCCACTCTGAAGCCAGGAGATAAGTCTTGATGAAGACCTAGAAATCTCATCAAGCTGAAAACCAACTGCAAGCACAATGGATCTGCCTTTTTGAGGTGTTGTTGACCACCCCACTTATCTGTCAAGTTAGCAGATGTTAAGCCTTGGATTCACCATACTCAAGTAAAACCAGTCCCTCTCTGGGATGTCTCCAGGGGAAACAGTCATGGTCTTGTGAACCCTCAGAGAAACTTAAGTTAATATTCAAAGCTCAGGTAAAGGCCCTAGATAAGAAATCATAAAGGGAACATGTGTTTTTCAGGATTATTCTCTTGTATTCCCCAGGAGATCCACTCCATATTCTTTGGTATTTTAAAATTTGGGTTATCTGTGTTGTCCTCACCATTATCCCATGATGCCCCTCCTCAGCATAAAGCAGCCAGAAAGATCAATGATCAGATTCTCCATGATTAAAGAATTTATAAATGAAAAAAAGAGACTGAAACTGATGCAATAGTCCCAAAGACAGTTTTCTGGATACACATAGAAATTGATTATTCTGGCTTACATTTGTTTTATTTGAGTTCCTTCCTTAGAAAACAACCCTCAGGCCTCTCAAAAACTATCAAAGAACTGAAACTCAGCAGATTATCAATCCAGACAATGAGATGCCAGACCCGTCATTTGTCATGATTGCTTCCTTAGCCCCCACACTCCAATTCCTGTTTTCCTAACTTCCACATGCTTCTTATTGACCAACTCCTCTTCCTTACCCCCTCTGTATTAGTCAGTTTTCACGCTGCTGATAAAGACATACCTGAAACTGGGAACAAAAGAGGTTTAATTGGACTTACAGTTCCACATGGCTGGGGAGGCCTCAGAATCATAGCAGGAGGCAAAAGGCACTTTTTACATGGTGGTGGCAAGAAAAAAATCAGGAGGAAGCAAAAGTGGAAACCCCTGATAAACACATCAGATCTTGTGGGACTTTTTCACTATCACAAGAATAGCACAGGAAATACCAGCCCCAGTGATTCAATTACGTCCCCCTGGGTCCCTCCCACAACAGGTAGGAATTCTAGGAGATACAATTCAAGTTGAGATTTGGGTGGTGACACAGCCAAACCATATCACCTTCCTTAGTTCTTGTTTTTCCACAAATGGTTACATTTCTTCCCTGCTAGGGGTTTGCGATACAAACCCCTAGTTTTAGTCGGTCTAAGAGATGGATTTGAGACTGATCTCCCATCTCTTCAGATGCCCTACCTGATTAAAGCCTTCTTCCTTGGCAATATGCATTGTCTCAGTGACTGGCCTTCTGTGCAATGAGCAGCAGGACCTAGACTGAACCCCTGGTGTTTTGGTAAGAAAACCTAGTTTTTGTTTGTTTGTTTACTTTGGACATACACTGAGTCAGCATTCTTTCTGTAATTTCAGAATGAATTTGGAAACTAGGTCTTCATTCTGAAGGCTTCCCTGTAGACATGTTAAAGAAACCTGTATACCTTTTCTCCTATTAATCAATCTGCCTCATGTCAGTGATTTTTAAGGGAATCTTTAGAAGGCCAAGAGCCTATGGCCCCACAGTATGGTGCTATAAGCAGAATGACCAAAGCTGCTCTTCTGTTTTGGAGGCTACAGTGAAGAGAAACCAGGAACCCAATCGTCCAGCAAAGGAGTAAAAATTTCTAACCAGCCAGGCTTCTGGCCTTTCTTTCTGTATGTTCTAGTGGAGCAGATGATAAAAATCACTGTTTGTCTAATCTGCAAGGTTTTGATTAATGGGATAAAAGGGTCTGTTTGACTAGTCTTGCCTTGTAGCTACTCTGGTGTATTTTTGGTACTTTGTGGTATGAATATTCTTTTTTTTTTTTTTTTTTTTTTTTTGAGACAGACTCTCGATCTGTCTCCAGGCTGAAGTGCAGTGCGATCTCGGCTCGCTGCAACCTCCGACTCCTTGGTTCAAGCGATTCTCCTGCCTCGGCCTCCAGAGTAGCTGGGATTACAGGTACGCACCACCATGCCCAGCTAATTTTTGTATTTTTAGTAGAGACGGGGTTTCACCATGTTGGCCAGGATGGTCTTGAACTACTGACCTCAGGTGATCCGCCCACCTTGGTGTCCCAAAGTGCTGGGATTACAGGTGTGAGCCACCGTGCCTGGTGAATATTCATATTGTTTGGCGACTTTTCCTCTCAGAAATAACTTTTTTGGGGCAGTCATTTTCTTTTGTCATTGTCTTTCCATGTCATTCTGTCATAAAGAAGAGTACCATAGGGTAGAATATGGGCCTAGTGTCCGTAAAGCCTGCTGTTTGAGCCAGCCCTGAACACTGGTGAGCTTGCACTTCTGGCTAGATATATGTCTGTTAAGATAAACTTTGCTGTTGGTCCCTGAAAGAAAAACTGGGTAAGGTTTCCCTCTTGTCTTGTTTTACGTCCTTGAGAGCTTGATTTTGTGACTAAGTGGCATATTCTCTCATAGTCTCTACTACCCAGAGGGCATGAATTTTTGTGGTCAAGTGGACAGTCTGAAAGACTGGGAGTCCAACACACATAATATTTTAAGCAACACACTCTTTGTACCAAGTGTGTCAAGCTCTTAGAGGAGTTTTGTCTTAAAAAAAGGCTTATCCCTATGACACCTTCATTGTCTTTTGTCTATGTTAAGTCTATTTCTGAGAGTAAATTTTTGGGGATCAGGGAGCTGCCTCCTCTACATTACAGAGGTTTTGGATTGAGTTGCTATTGGAATAAAGCCTACAATTGAGAATTCTAATCGTCAATGGCCAAAAGATAGAAAAACAAAAAAGATTTTAGAGATGACTTATTCTAAACAATTGGAAAAAAAGTTTAAATTTTTAAAAAGATACACAATAGTGTCATGGCTAGCCTTTAAAATTCTCTCAAGCAGTTAAAATCCTATGTAAGTTCAAAACTGCCTGCTCCAGAAGAGCAATGGTGACTGCCCCACACTGTATTTTAGTAGCTGAGACTCTGCCCTTTCACTGTGGCAATCTGGGTTCAATTCTTGGCTCAGAGAATGAATCCTTTCTGGTTTGATATTTGTGTGACTTTTGAAATATCAACTGTTCCAGCTAAAATATGATAGTGAGAGATTGGAAAGAATTTTTTTAGAACTCTATGGTTAAAAGTCAGCTTCATTAAAAGCCGATTTCTGTCAGGCCTCTGAGCCCAAGCCAAGCCATCACATCCCCTGTGACTTGCACGTATACGCTCAGATGGCCTGAAGTAACTGAAGAATCACAAAAGAAGTGAAAAGGCCCTGCCCCGCCTTAACTGATGACATTCCACCATTGTGATTACTTCCTGCCCCACCTTAACTGAGTGATTAACCCTGTGAATTTCCTTCTCCTGGCTCAGAAGCTCCCCCACTAAGCACCTTGTGACCCCCGCCCCTGCCCACCAGAGAACAACCCCCTTTGACTAATTTTCCATTACCTTCCCAAATCCTGTAAAACGGCCCCACCCCTAACTCCCTTCGCTGACTCTTTTCAGACTCAGCCCGCCTGCACCCAGGTGAAATCAACAGCCATTTTGCTCACACAAAGCCTGTTTGGTGGTCTCTTCACAGGGACGTGCATGAAAATTTCCAAGCTGTGTGTGTGTACATGTGTGTGTGTGGTGTATATGTGTTTATATATGTGTGTATATACGTGTGTGTGTATATATGTGAGGGTGTGTATATATATGACATCTGTGTGTATGTGTGTGGTATGTATGTATGTTTACGTGTGTGTGTGTGTGTGTATATATATATATATATATATATATATATATATATATATATATATATATATAAAATGACCTTTGTGTGTGAGTGTGTGTGTATAAAGACCTGAATGCTTTTTCTCTTCTAGGATTTTGTGGTTGTTGTTGTTGTTTTGAGAAAAAGTTTTTTCTTCTCAGTCAACTGACTTCTGTTTCTCCATTTACGTCTGACTGCCTCCCTCTTGCCACTATATGCCACATGTGAGACCTAACAAAAAAATAAGGAATTTATGATAGCCTGGGATCCCCTGAGAAATCACAGGACACTAACAACTCCTCTGAAAGGAATCTGTTTTCCTCAAGGAACCCCACAAGTTTTAGGCAGACAGATTCCACTTAGGTATAAAAATTCTACTCTCTTTTGTGTTGTATTACCTGATACTTTGGATTTTGGAGGAGTACCAAAAAAGTTATTTTGCATTATGAGAAAATTTTTTACTTTGGTGTGTGTAATAGCTAAGTAAGAGATACACTTTCAGAGATGGCTAATGGCGGTTGCTTACAGGAAGTAGTCATTACTACAGGAGCTACTCTTTGCATGTTTAAGATAAGAAAGGATGCAGTTTAAACTCTTAGAAAAATGTCTGTAAAAGAAAGCATTAAATGGCTTGGTTCCATGCCATTTCTCCCTTTTTGGGTACCCAGGATTCAGTGTAGGCTCCACCCTGAGCTCAGTGGTCCAGTTAAAAGACAGAGACTAAATTTAAAACTACCTATCTAGGCCAGGCTCAGCGGCTCACGCCTGTAATCCCAGCACTTTGGGAGGCCGAGGCAGGTAGATCACTTGAAGTCAGGAGTCTGAGACCAGTGGGGCCAACATGGTGAAACCCCATCTCTACTAAAAATACAAAAAATTAGCCAGGTGTGGTGGTACAAGTCTCTAATCCAAGCTACTTAGGAGGCTGAGACAGGAGAATCGCTTGAACCAGGGAGGTGGAGGATGCAGTGTGCCGAAATCATGCCATTGCACTCCAGCCTGGGCGACAGGGCAAGACTTCATCTCAAAAAAAAAAAAACAAAAACAAAAACACAAACAAAAACAACCTATCTAAATGAATTGGTCACCTTAAAAAATCTTATGGTAAATTTCTATGATTTTGTGTTGCCCTGGCATCTATTCTTAATCTTGCTCTAACACACCCAAACACACTCTGACTCTCTCTCTTTCTCTCCCTGTACTTTGAAATGTAAATTTGCTACCCTCTTTTCTCCAAAACTCAGTAAGGGTGTCTACCATGGCCATGTAAAACAAATAAACTTTAACCTTTTCACAATTTAACCCACCTTTCCTTTTAAACTAGTGAGTTTATCTGTTTCATGGCTAAAATTTTACAATCAACACTATAAAGTCTTTGTAATGCTCTGTATCTTTATGTGTACATGGGTATATGTCTTTCTGTGTACTGTCTACATGGGTATCAAATTGACTTACTCGTAAATTAAATAAATAAGCCCAAATGCCTTCCAAGTTCACATGATTTTAGTAATCTCTGGTAAATAAAGAGTTTTTTAATTATTGGTAAAATAGCATAGAAATGCATTTAAAATTTAGACATTTGGTCTGAATTAGTCACTGTTTCTGCTAGATGTTTTAAGATAAACGTGGGGAAAAGAAAGATGAGATTGTTACTGTGTCTGTGTAGAAAGAAGTAGACATAGGAGACTCCCATTTTGTTCTGTACTAAGAAAAATTCTTCTGCCTTAAGATGCTGTTAATCTGTAACCCTACCCCCAACCCTGTGCTCCCTGAAACATGTGCTGTGTCAACTCAGGGTTAAATGGATTAAGGGTTGTGCAGGGTATGCTTTGTTAAACAAATGCTTGAAGGCAGCATGCTTGTTAAGAGTCATCACCACTCCCTAATCTCAAGTACCCAGAGACACAAAACTAAGGGAACTTAGTATTTATAAATACTAAGGGAAGTCAGAGGCCGGTGCCGGTGTGGATCCTCCATATGCTGAACGCCGCTCCCCTGGGCCCCTTTTTCTCTCTCTATACTTTGTCTCTGTGTCTCTTTCTTTTCCACCTAATGAGAAACGCCCACAGGTGTGGAGGGGCAACCCACCCCTTCAGATAAAAATCTTTGTTTCTGACACTTGCCTGTCTAAAAATGTTTGTCCTTTGACTTGAGCCTTTAGGATTTGACAAAGCCTAACTCCAGGCATTGTCCTTTGCTCTTGGCTCCATACCTGGTACATATTAAAATTGTTTACCTCCCAGGTTTTTCACTAAGAATAAGAGTTACTAAGAGTTAACATTATAATTAATGAATGTAATTAAAACTACTAGGTACACACAAAGTGTATAAGAAAACTAAGATGCGTTTTTGGTAAAAGGTTATTAAAAAAAGGGAATGTGGTTTTTATTAAAGGGAAATTTGTCTAGTTTAGACATTTTTAAAGATTGTCTTAAGCAAAAAGAAAGGACACAACTGAAGGTTTAAGCAAGTTGTAAAAATTTTAAGGAAAATCAATCTTGTAAAAACAATTCTGTTCATAAACAAGTTGGCTAAACTTTAAAGAGGATTTTTTTGTCTGTAAATTAAACATTAAAATAAAAATCCACACTAATGCAGGGCCAGAATCTAGACCTCAGTGCCAAAATAACAGGGTTTTCTTGCAATGTTGATTTGTTCTTCTATATATATATATATATATATATATATATATATATACATATAAAGGGGAGTTTATTAAGTATTAACTTACATGATCACAAGGTCCCATAGTAGGCTGTCTGCAAGCTGAGGAGCAAGGAGAGCCAGTCCAAGTCCCAAAACTGAAGAACTTCGAGTCCGATGTTCGAGGGCAGGAAGGATCCAGCACGGGAGAAAGATGTAGGCTGGGAGCCTAGGCCAGTCTCTCCTTTTCACGTTTTTCTGCCTGCTTCATATTCACTGGCAGCGGATTAGATTGTGCCCGCAAGATTAAGGGTGGATCTGCCTTCCTTAGCACACTGACTCAAATGTTAATCTCTTTTGGCCACACCCTCACAGACACACCCAGGATCATTACTTTGTATCCTTCAATCCAATCAAGTCGATGCTCAGTATTAACCATCACAGTGAGTGACCTGTAATTCCATTTTGTGGTATCGAGTGTTTTGAACCTTTGATATTTGACAAACTTTCTAAAAATCAAATTGTAAATTCAGTCTCTTGGCCTAAAACTAACTTTTCAGAAGGCCAAGAGAGACATACTTGGCTTATTTGGCATGTTAAAATTATACAAGAAGCACTGTCAAATATAAAATTGTATTTAGATTTTTTTGGCTTACATTTATATAAATGTGTTATTAATATGTTTTCCAAAATTATATATATATATACTATTAGTTATGTCCCTCTAGAGAACCCTGATTAATACACTCACTTTGAAATAAATCATTCATTTATCCAAAGTGATAACGCAAAGATGTTTTTTAGAATAAGCAGAAAATTTTACTCTGATAAAAAGGAGACTAAGTTTCGCAAATAATAAAACCTAATCATATTAGACAGTGTGAAGCCAACTGAATCTGTCTCTCTCTCCCCCTCCCCCCCCCGTTTATTTTTTTTTGGTAATTTATTCAAAGAGGCAATTACATGAAATCTTGCTCCAGAGAGAAAAACAAATTTTACTTTTGCATTCGCATGTTATTAATGCTAAAGCTAATTTAATACATCTTATAAACAAATCTATTTAATTTTAATCAGGCGGAAGCACTGGTTATTTTACCAAGGCTTTGACTGGAATGGCATATTTTCAGAAATGAGAAGACTGCTTTAAGAATTGAGATTGACTTTATAGAGCCAATAACAGCCCTTTGGAAAAACTGGCCTCACACCTTATCTATGCAGTTCCTTTGCAGGTAGGTTCCTGATCTGCAGTAGGTAAAGAATGCCACTTTCTGACAGACCCAGGGGCCCCAAATTATTTTGGGACATTAAAAAGAGAGGAATCCACCCAATTAATATAAGTATATGCAGGCACAGATAAATCCTTGGCTGGCTGTGGCTTGAGGCTTTTATTTAGAAGGTCTAATCTGAGATTCTTCATGAAAAAAATACTCCAGCAAAGCCAATTTAAAAATGAGCCATATGGCAAATAATTATTCTTGCTGCACTTTATGCAAAAAATCAAGCCGAGTATAATAAGACGAAAACTTCTTTTGCAAATAAATTGATCCTACTACAATTTCATCTTTAGTTAAATTGGGGAGTTGGAAAGAGAAAAAATATTTTTCTTTTTTTTTTTTGAGACGGAGTCTCGCTCTGTCGCTCAGGCTGGAGTGCAGTGGTGCGATCTCGGCTCACTGCAGGCTCCGCCTCCCAGGTTCACGCCATTCTCCTGCCTCAGCCTCCCGAGTAGCTGGGACTACAGGCGCCCGCCACTACGCCCGGCTAATTTTTTGTATTTTTAGTAGAGACGGGGTTTCACCGTGTTAGTCAGAATGGTCTCGATCTCCTGACCTCGTGATCCGCCAGCCTCGGCCTCCCAAAGCGCTGGGATTACAGGCGTGAGTCACTGCGCCCCACCGAGAAAAATTATTTTTCAAAAGAAGCTATAGTACACCTGTTATTAGATTGTAGCCTTGTCCACTGTGTTTCAGGTTTTATTATTTTCTACAATTTGGTACGGATTCTGAAATTTTTCGTGGTTACAAGTCTCCAAACTAATATTTGCCTTTTTTTCTCCCATTTTTCTGACTTGAAATCACTAGAAATTAAAACTGTGGTTTTCTTAAATCCTTGCAAACTAATGTTAGACGACTTAAGCTTTGGGAGAAAATAACAGGAAATTATATATAAATAAATTTCGTACTTGCTTGCTGATGTATAGACATCAGGGTTATACGGCCTAAATCAGTTTTCCGGGATTGCTTTTCCCATTTGTTATTATGATATTTCCTCCCTCCTTTTCGTTCTTTTCCATTTTCTTTCTCTTTCTTCCTCTCCCCGTTTTTCTCCACAAGACGTAAGACTTCACAGCCTACTAAGAATAAGCTTTCCTAACGCTGTGGGACCTATTTGTCTAGGAATAAATCATCCTAGTGATGAGAGATCAGACAAAATATGAGACCATGAGACCAGAGACTCCTTTTCTTCCAATATGTTTTCCGTGAAAGATTTTTTTTTTTTTTTTTTGTGAGGGAAATGGGATAGGAAAATAAAATCTTGGGACCCCAAACTCACTAAGCCAAAGGGAAAAGTCAAGCTTGGGAACTGAGTCACACAAAATTGCCTCCCACTTTTGTTCCTACAAAGATGAAAATTCACATAGCTCCCCAGGAGCCCTCCCTCACAAGGAATTTGCTCACAAGGAAATTCCTTGTAGGCCCCAAGATCTTTACCCTAAAACAGTCTTGTTGAATTTCACCCTGACAATGTAATTAACAGCTTATCTTCACGGGTACAGGACAAAAACTGGACCAGAAGTCATCTCTGACACAATGACACACTTTCCACCTGACACAAATGCATATTAATGCAGATTCACTGAACATGAAACAAATGCATAATTGACTATTTCTGTACCCCCTCATTTCACATGTAAAATATGGATTCAGTGAGCATTGATCAAAACCTCAAAAGAGTAGTACCACTTGCCCCTTTTATCTGCTCCCCTTTCTCCGCTTGTTTTTCTTTCCTCTTTCTTTTATTTCCCACTCTTACCCCTTTTAAGTATTGAAGTCCCCAGGCCTTCACTGGAAAAAAAGCACAGATCACAGATCTTCCTGTGGTTTTGTGTTCTTTTTCCCAGGGTGCATCCTCAACCTTGGCAAAATAAAACCCTAAAATGATTGAGACCTGTTTCTGACACTTTTTTTTTTTAACAGAGCTTACATAAGCATTCAGTCCATTGCATATAGCAAGGTCAAGGGACAAATTTTTCCAATAGATGCTATATCACTTCCATCTCCCTTTCCTTTTATTCAGCTATACATGCACTTATACACTCAAACTCAAGAACAAAATCTCTAATAACTTTGTGAAAATCATCTCTTCTCAGGCTTGCTCACCAATTCATTGCCAAGAGTGCTCAGATATATCTGAATATTAGGCTAAAAGAAAGCTGATCTTCTACTATAGGTGCCTAAGGGTTTAGGTATTTTTTATGTCTTATTAATATATGCTATCTACATAAATATATTCTAGTCCATCTTCTTACTAACTTGCTATGGACGTTTAGCCAGAATAATTGGTCCAAATCTGATTTTTCTTATGTGCAATATAAGAAGATGGGACCAAAACTAGAAGTTATTTAAGCCTAAGATCATTTTCATTTCAGCTGTTTCATTGTTTCATTCAGTTGTTCCATTTAGCTGTGATTCTAAGGGCAGAATCAAAGAAGATGTATCATTAACCTAAATTTAAATTCCCTCTTAGATTCCCTGATAAAAATTCACATATTATAATGATCAGTCAATTGATAATCAATTTTATGGTACATTTACTATTCAATTGATAAGTACTCAACTAAGAAACTACAAATTCAAAGAAAGGGATTTGTTTTTTATGTCTCAGATATATATATTGGATGATAAATCCTCAGTGGTCTTTTGTCACCAATGAAGATTTATAACTTTTAATTTTTCTTTAATGAATCCTTCTGTCTGAACTTGCTGTGGTCACTGGTAATATCTCAAACAGGTAGCACACAAATGTCATTACAGAAAGATATTTTTGAGATGTAAATAATAACATTTATAATAAAATTGAAATCAAATGGGAAATCTTAATGAAAATATTCTGTAAATGACCTTTTTGGTAAATGGTTTGGTAAGTGGTTTAACATATAAAATTTCTCCACAAACCTTGTGCTTTAGTTTAGTAACCTAAAACAAACAATAGAAAAGAAAAACATAAATTAAACAAATAATTTATTTAAAAGTATATTTTACAATGATATTTCCTTTTATCATTTTATTCTATTATGAAAGCTACCAATTTGGTGCTTTTTGTGAAAATTATAATTTTTAATCCTATAAAACCATCAAAAGTAATGTCATTAATTGCCTAGCAGAATTGGAAATTCTATGGACTTTGGAGTAAGACCAACCTGGGTTCAAATCCTACTTTTCTATAGCCTGAAGCAAATCATTTGACCATTTAACCCCTGTGAGTCTTGGTTTGCTAATCTGTAAAATGAGAATATTGTTAGTTCATATTCTCTAGGATTTATCTTTTTAATTAATGAATAACATTTAGCTATTGGCTCCTGGCATATAGTAGGCAACCAGTAAATGTTAGTGCTAACCAAAATACCTTCCTCTAAATGCCCAACAAACACAATAAAATATAAGTTCCCCACAATAATACTTTCTCCCTCTATTATAGTTATCAGTGAATTATTTAATGATGGACATGATTGTTTGATCTAATTAAAATAGCCAGACTCCCCAATAATTGGTATCTTCCTTGTGTAGAGCTAATAGGTTAAAAAAATTAACCATCAATTTTGCCCAGAGTCATATAGCAGAAAAGGCAAATTTCACAGTAGAATAATTTGCTCATTCAACAAATACTGTACATCTACCTTCAGCTGGCTACTTTGTCATGCACTATAAATATAAAGATGAAAGACCAGTCACTGCTTTCAAGGTTTAGTGGGAGAAAATAATTTCAGAAGATTATTATAGTACACAGTGACAGAAGTGAGTGATGGGTACTTAGTGAAAGAAGAGTAAGTGAAGATGTTGTTTGTGGAAGACCATAGTAAGAGATTTCTGGAAGAGGGACACCTGAGCTGAATCTGAGGATGAATAGGAATTTACAGATTTCCAAGAGCAGGGAGACTTGAAATATTGTAATGACTTATGGTTGAATTTGGTATATGGAACATTGGTGGAATGTCAACAGGTGAAACCGGAGGTGTTTACAGAGGCTTGGAAATAATGAGCCTTCTATATCACAGTACAAAGTTTGTATTTTAACCAGAAGCTAAGGAGAAAAAAAAAAGGATTTTGAGCAGGAAATAAAATGATCAATCAGCATTTTAGAAAAAAAAAAATACTGGCAGTGGTGTAGAGAATACCATTTAAAAAGAATGGGATTAGTATCAGGTACTCTGGGTAAGAGGTTATTGGTCACAACCCAGGAGGAAATGATATGTACATGAACTAAGGCATTGACAAGGGAAAAGAAGACAATACAAACACTAATAACAAAATAGGATCAGCAGACTTTGAAATCTGTTGATATGAGGAGTTTTAGCAAAACAAAGGCGTTCTCACTTGAGCTATAGAGAAAATGGTATTTCTATTCATCAAGTTCAGGAATTCAGGGAGACTTGCAACTACAGCATGGTATGAATTGGGAGTAGAAGAAATGGTTTGCGCTACCTGTGAAACATCTCTGTGAGATTGTGCTAAAGCTCAACATAGATATAGATACAGACACAAATACAGATAGATACAGATATAGATAGATACAGATATAGATATCTGGAAGTCATCATGATCTTCACATAAGGGGTAGTTTAATCCCATAGGATGAGATGAAACTCTTCTGGGGCATGCTAAGAGTATTGTTTGTATGTGTTCTTCACACAGCCTACATCAGAAATATCTAGTGGGGAGGACACAAGCTCTTGACCCTCTAAAGGTTCACTAAAGATCACCAACATGAGGTAGATTGATTAATAGAAGAAAAGGCATACAAATTTATTTAACGTGTATATATGGTAGTCCTTCAGAATGAAGACCCAATTTGCCAATGAGTTATAGAAACTTATATGCCATCCTGAGGCCACAGTAACATATGTAGAGTTAGAGCATGGCCAGAAACAGCTACTGTTGGTAAATCAGGATTGGTGGCAAGACAGGTTAAGAGAGAGAGAAAGGAAGACACTTGGCTAGCAAAGGTGGCCTTGTTAGGTAGATGAAGACTTCCTCAAAGAGAATAACTGGTAAATTTTTCTTTTCAGATTTTTAATGATGTCAGACTCTCAATTTCTCTTGGATCCAGGGAAAGGCATAGAAAGGGAAGGGGGCATGGTTGCATCAATGGAGATTCTCTACAGACACAAACTTTCCCCACAAAAGACAGCTTTGCAAGACCACTTCTGTTTGCTGGCCAAGTGGTGGCCATTTCAAAGTATGTCAAAGAAATATATTTTGGGGCAAAATATTTTAATTTCCTTCACTAGAATGCATCATGACAATGTTCCACTCCTGACATCAAAACTTTTGAGAATTGGCTCAGGCACTCTATATTTTGGAAAAGGGATCCTTTAGCATAATAATTGTGAAGATAGGGACAGAAACCTGTTATGGTAGCCAGCCTCCAAATCGACCCCTAATAAGCTCCATTTCCTGGTATACACATCTTTGTACAGCCCTCTTCCATGTTTGACCATGTTTGATCTGTGTCACCAGTAAAATATGGCAGAACTGGGCCGGGCACAGTGGCTCACGCCTGTAATCCTAGCACTTTGAGAGGCTGAGATGGGAGTATTCCCTGAGGTCAGGAGTCCAAGACCAGCCTGGCCAACATGGCGAAACCCCGTCTCTACTAAAAATACAAAAAAATTAGCTGGGTGTGGTGGCGCATGCCTGTAATCCCAGCTACTCAGGAGGCTGAGGCAGGAGAACTGCTTGAACCCAGGAGGCAGAGGTTGCAGTGAACCGACATTGCGCCATTGCACTCCAGCATGGGTGACAAAGTGAGACTCTCTCAAAAAAAAAGAAAAAGAAATGGCAGAAGTTATGAACATGGTATGTCATTCTTACATTAGGTTACAAAAAGACTAAAGCTTACATCTTGAAGATTCTCTCTCTGATTGTTGTCTCTAAAAAAAGCCATCTGAGAACACTATGGTAGTCTATAGAGAGGCCCACATGTTGGGTAACCGAGGCCTCCAGCCTACAACCTGTGAAGAATTGAGACCTGCCAACAACCACATGAGTGAGCAAGTAAGCTGAGTATAAGACCCGTTGGACCCAGTCACGACTTCTGATGACAGCAGCCCTAGCTACTATCAAGACAGCAATCTCATGAGACGCCCTGTACCAAAACCATGCAGCTAAGTCACCCTTAGATTCCTGATGCTCAGAAACCCTGACAAATAAATGTTTGTTGTTTTAACCTGCTAAGTTTGGGGATAATTTTTTATGCGGCAATACATGTGACAGATTCCATATGAAAAACACAAGGCAAGATTCGAAATCATTAACTGAGGTTTTAATGAATATGTAAAAGCTCTTTTCTCTTTAATCAATTAATATTGGCTTATGAATTCACAGATACTTATCAGATGTCTTCTCTGTATGTACGTATTTATTGCCTGTTTCCTCTATTAGAATTACAGTCACTTGGACACAGGATGGGGAACATCACACACCAGGGCCTGTCATGGGGTGGGGGGAGGGGGGAGGGATAGCATTAGGAGATATACCTAATGTAAATGAAGAGTTAATGGGTGCAGCACACCAACATGGCACAGGTATACATATGTAACAAACCTGCACATTGTGCACATGTACCCTAAAACTTAAAGTATAATAAAAAAATAAGAATTACAGTAATCACCTCACCCCAGGTGTTAGCACTGAGATTTTTTGGTTTTAGCACTGAAAGTCCCACATTCCAAGAAACCTCTTATGTTCCATTTAAACCAGGACAGTTGGTCACTCTAATGAAAATGAACCAAGAAGTAAGGGACAGTTTATTGTTTATTACTAGACACCAGTATCTAGAACAGAACCTAACATATAGGTGGTGTCTAAAAAATATTTTGAATGAAGGAATCAGCGAAATAGCACTTTATGTGTTTGTTGATCATACCTTCCCTAATGTGGCAGCAAGCTGAGTGTTGGGCTCCATTTGAATGGCACACTGTGCATTTAAGTCACAATTGGAAGGAAAGTTGGTAGAGGGGTACTAACCATGGGATTAAAACCAATTAAAGCTGATTCTTTCATTTTACTCTACCTAGAATGAGAAATCATTGGAAGATATAAAACAAGAGAGTAAAATAATTTGATTTATAATTTTAGAAGATTACTTCGGATACTCTGTGACAAAGGACTGTCATGGAGCATGAGTGCCAATTAGCTGAGCATTGTACTAGACACTGTAGATAATTTGGAAGTATGCAAATACAATGTAGTTGGAAAGCAGAATTAATGAATAGAAAACAGTTACCAATATGAAGTAAGTATACAACTATGATGCATTAGTGGTGAAGATTCTAAAGGTGACAGAATTTCAAAGGGAGAAAATAAGAGTAAGTGATGTAGGACAACTAAATAGAATAGATAAGGGATGGCATTCCTGGCAAAAGAAATGAAGTCACAGATGGCATAATAAAGATGGTATGTTTGGGCCGGGCGGGGTCGCTCATGCCTGTAATCCCAGCACTTTGGGAGGCCAAGGCAGGAGGATCACGAGGTCAGGAAATCGAGAGCATTCCGGCTAAAACGGTGAAACCCCGTCTCTACTAAAAATACAAAAAAATTAGCTGGGTATTGTGGCGGGCACCTGTAGTCCCAGCTACTCGGGAGGCTGAGGCAGGAGAATGGCGTGAACCCAGGAGGCAGAGGATGCAGTGAGCCGAGATGGCACCATTGCACTCCAGCCTGGGGGACAGAGTGAAAGATGGTATGTTTATGATAAAGGTGATAGCTTGCACTAATTAAGCCTGAAGATTCTTTTTAGTGAGAGGTAGGCTATTGGATAGTTAGGCCAGGCCTAGTTCACACTTTGATGACGTTATCCAGGCAGTAGTTTGAAGTGCAGAAAGTTGGTTGCCACTCTTTCTTTTATTGATGTGATACAGTATGTCATTAAATGAAAGGTTATGGGGAATTGAGGATACAAAAGAAAAAAGACCTAAATCTTCTTCCCTCATTCTAATTACATTTGAGATACTTATCCAACTCACTGATTTTCTTTAGTAGATCTCGAGGAATAAGATCTACACAAGACACAGCTGGTACAAATACTCAATTGTCCTTGTGGCAGAAAATAGAGCTCAGAGGAGGGATTTCAGTGAAGGGCAGCCCCACAGGAGAAGACTGAATTCGGATACTCAAATTCATGGCCAACAGGCCCTGTCATCTCTAGGAAGATATTTGTGGCTTGTTACTCCACTTAAAGTTGACAGTAAAATTTATCCATCACTGACCTTGCCAACTGCCTATCATTTATTGCTTGATAATGAGGTTTTTATTATTTATTTATTTATTCATTTATGAGATGGGGTCTCCCTCTGTCGCCCAGGCTGGAGGGCAGTGGCGTGATCTTGGCTCACTGCAAGGATAATGAGGTTTTCAATGCTAACTTTAGATTAATGAAATCAATGACCAATAATATATTCTAAAAATTCAACAGCAGGACTACCCTTTTTAGTATGAAAGGGTCAAGATCCTTTAAATAGAATAACAATTTTATTATGGACAATCATTTTCTTTTTATTTAATAACTTAACAGTGGAAGAAATGGCTTGAGATCAAGCCTTTTACTATATAATACACTGATTCGTAGACAAGGTCAGAGCAATTTTTACTCAATGAAATATGACCATTTTACTCTTCAATTTCAGAATGAAAATCAGAAACATTTGTTTTATAAAAAAGTGTTCGTCTTTCTCACTCTGTGGAATCAACCTTGTAAATTGCTTGTGATGCTCCTGGCAGTAAGTTATTCCAGTTCATCTTTTCTTTTTTTATTTTTAAAATTTTAAGTCAAATGTATATATTTTTTCAACTTAAATTTCTCTCTTGGCTTATTATATGGATAAAGCCTGTGTGAAGATGGTTGTTTTAATTAGCTACCACAAATTAAATATTATTCTTAAAGAAAAAATTTCAACCAGTTCATAATAAATCACATTAAATCTGAACATACAAGTGACAAGAATTAGTGAATATTTATTAAGTATAAGTTTTAGAGAGTTAGCACTTGGGGACAAAGGCAAAGTTGGGACCTGGCCGGATCTATGCTCTCCAGAAGGACTCCATGGCCTGGACTATTTTTTCTGACTTTGCAGCTAATCAAATCTGCCTACCATATTTCCTATTATCTGGGGTCTACAAACCCCAACTGTTATATTTGAAAGTGACAAAATGACTAATCCTTTTCAGGGTATAAATGGGTGAATGTGGCTTAACGTGTTAACTTTCATCTTAACTAGGCCCTCCTAGAGATCTTGTAACTGCTACAGAGGATTTAATCCTAACGGTACCATCAAGCAGCTTGTAGCAAGAAAAGGAGGATAGATTGATACCATTGGTCATAGCTACCAAGTCTATTTTTATGGAAGGCTACATCCCTAATGATATCTTGTGAAAAATAAGTCTTATAAAAATATCTACATTAATTGGACTTTAAACTAGAAATAAGCAAGTAATGTAACAAGACATAGCAGACAATATGTGGTTTTATATATTCAGTAACACATGACTTCTCCAACCTGATGAGTCAATATTAGTGCATTACCATTCATTCATTCAAGAGACACATCATGAACCAGATACAGATTTATAAAGCAGAGGAGCAGAAGATAGTTCATTAGTTATTGTAGGGGATACACTACTCTAACAAAGACATCCACAATTACTGCGGATTTCACAATAATATTTACAATATGAGATATACATTTATTTTTCTGTCAAATCCAGACTGGGTTAGACAGATAAAATTAAAAAAAAACTTCTTTTCATCTTATTGCTCCATTCTCTTCTAGGGTGCTGATTTTGTCCACAAGGTTCAAACTAACCTTTGGGAAGGATAAACATCAAAATTCAGAGAAATCAGCATGTCTTTCTGGTAGAAATGGCTCAGATCTTACACACTTACTTACACTCACTTTCCATTGGTTTAAATTTGGTCATGTGGTTACACCTATATGCAAGGGAGGCTAAGAAATGAACATTTTAGCTAAGTGTGTAGCTATTTGAGTGAGAAAGGTAAAATAGGTATTGGTGGCATTAATAGTGGTCTTAGAATGGAGTGCTTTTCCATTCCATTCTAAGCTGTTTTGAGTATTCTACAGGTGCTGGGAATTACTTAAAGGTTTTACACAGAGTAGTGCTTTGAAGAACAGATTGGAGGGGTATAAGATGCTGAGATACCACATAGGATGCTGTGGCAATAGTTCCAGGGAAGAGATGACTAAGTCCTTAACTAAGGTAGTAGCCTACTTTTATGGTTTATACTAAGTTTTACACTCAACTGCTCAGCACATTCAAAAGGGGAAAAGATATATGCTAACTGGAAGGAGGGAGTGGCACCTACTTAATATAGTCCCATTCTCCTACCCTCTATTCCAAGGCAGAACACTCTGAACATTCTTCTCTTTGGAACAGATATAGCTAACGACAAATGTGATATTAATGGCTCCTCATTAACTATTGTACAACAATATGGGTTTTCATTTTTTTCTAACTGCAGAAAGCTGGCGAGAATAATATAGCAACAATCCCAGCAGATACAGTATTATAGGTGGAGCCCTAAGATAAATATTTTCACAAATTCCACATGATTCTTAAGAACAGTCAGAATGAGCAACACTATTAAATTATCAAGATACAAAAATTAGTAGTGATAATAGACATTTATTTACAGTATACTCTTAAAACACATTTTATAGATTTAAGGATCAATAACAGAACAAAATTCTATGATTGGGGCTGGGCATGGTGGCTCATGCCTGCAATCCCAGCACTTTGGGAAGCCAAGGCAGGTGGATCAGCTGAGGTCAGGAGTTCAAGACCAGCCTGGCCAACATGGTGAAACCCTGTCTCTACAAAAATACAAAAGTTAGCCAGGCATGATGGTGGATGCATATAATCCCAGCTACTCAGGAGGCTGAGGTGGGAGAATCTCTTGAACCCAGGAGGTGGAGGTTGCAATGACCCAATATCATGCCATTACACTCCAGCCTGGGTGACAGAGCGAGACTCTGTCTCAAAAAAAAAAAAAAAAAAAAAAAAAAAAAATTCTGTGGTTGGTAACATGGGTATTGATGAGCACTTTGACATAGGACCCTTAGAATTTGAGATAATTGATATTTAGACCTGCTTACTATATGCCACCAATATTGAAAAATCATGTCAATCACAACTATATTCCATATAATTCTTATTAATCAATTAATAGAAACATTCTTAGTAACATCACAGACTCAAGGTTGCCTTACAGACTCAACATATTCATTGCCCTTTCCTGCCTCACCTCATGTTACCCTAGCCATCACTTACTCGGCTTTTTCTGTTCTATATAGCCTCTACAAGAGTGCCCTGCCCTAAATCACTTTACACTTACATTTATAATGGACTCATTCTTCTCCACCCCTTCCAGCACTGTACAGATTTTACTTTTCAACTTTCTCGTGACCAGTTCTCTGCCATGCCCCAGCTTCCATGTCCTAGCACACCTGATATAACATGTCAGACCATGCCCTGATTTGCCTGACCTTGTCTTGTTCAGCTCTTCCTTGCTCTGGGTATCTCTGCTATGCCCTGCCTTATCCCCCTTTCTCTTTCTTTTTTTTTTTTTTTTTTTTTTTTTTCTTTTGAGACTGAGTTTCGCTCTTGTTGTCCAGGCTGGAGTGCAATGGCATGATCGTGGCTCACTGCAACCTCGGCCTCCCGGGTTCAAGCAATTCTCCTGCCTCAGTCTTCCAAGTAGATGGGATTACAGGCGTGAGCCACCACGTCTGGCTAATTTTGTATTTTTAGTAGAGGCAGGGTTTCACCATGTTGGTCAGGCTGGTCTCGAACTCCTGACCTCAAGTGATCTGCCTGCCTCGGCCTCCCAAAGTGCTGGGATTACAGGCGTGAGCCACCATGCGCCGTCCCCTTATCTTACTTTTTCTGAATCATACCTTTACTGAAAGGTACTATTCAATCCCTCCTGGACTTTTTCAAACCCTCCTTACTCTGTTGGGCTTGAACCTACCCCTACATTTTCTAATGTGCCCCACCCTGCCCTGAACAGTCATTTCCTGCCCTGCACAACACTTTCCTTCTCTGCTCTGCAATTTTTATAGCTCTCCTGATTCCTGACTGATGATACCTTTCTATCAAATAGACCTTGAGTAAAGCTCTGATGTCTGTTATTCAGCAGTAAGATGATGGCAATGACCTGAGACACTGCTAGTAAGTATCCTGGCACTAGCACAAGATCCCTGAATTCTGAATTTGTATGTGTCAAAATTTAACAAAGCCCCCTCTTTAAATTCAGGTCTAGAAACTGTCATAAGCTCTTTTTTATTTAATTCAAGCTTTATATGAACAGCTACAGATAGCCGAGACAGAGAGCAATTTTAACAACTATTTCAAAAATCATAAGTTACATTGAACTTTTCTAGACTATGATACAACAACAAAATATCAATTCAAACTGGAAAAGAAGAAATGAAAAACAACCAGACTGAATTTATATATGTAAAATAATGAACAATAGGCACAATTTATAAACTATTTTCTACTATTTTACTTCTATTTTATAGCATTTCAAAATTACCTAAAACATCTTTTACTAGTCTTATTTTCATGAAAACATAGGTATTTACATTTTGTATAGATAGACAAGAACTGTAGCAAAACAAGCTTGACAACAAGAGAGTTATATTGAATGCTAAAACAGTCAAGAGAAATTTGTTACATAAAATAAAGAACACAGAAAAGACATGTTTAATTTTGTTTTAAATTTTTCTCAATTTTGGTAGTCAGTAAGTGATTTTTAAATGTATATCCTTGTGTTATCAATAATTCGTATCTTTCAGCTTATCAGTGTAGAGACAGGTATTTACAACAGAGTACCTAATAGGCCATGTGATTATAGGTCCAAGGGTTTGCGTTATAATTTCTCTTTAATTAAAGTTGATTCTTTTAGTGTGTAGTGGGATGAATGGTGGTCTCTAAGAAATCAGGTTCCTAATTCCTGAAACATGTAAATGTTATCTTATTTAAAGAATGGGTCTTTGTAGATGTGATTAAGAATCTTGAGATGAGGCAATTATCCCAGATTGTTGAGGTGGGTCCTGAATGCCAATACAAGTGTCCTTGTAAGATAGATGTAGAGTAAGACTCCATTCATGTAAAAGAGAAGGTGTTGTAAAGATTGAGGCAGAGATTGTAGTAATATGGCCACAAGCAAAGGAATACTGTGAGCCACCAGAAGCTGGAAGACGCAAGGAATAGGTTTTTTCCAGAGAGAGCATGGCTCTGCTGACACCTTGATTTTGGATTTTGGACTTCTGGCTTCCATAACTGTGAGAGGATAAATTTGTGTTTATTCTTAAATGATCCACTGTATTAGTCCGTTCTTGCATTGCTGTAAGGCACTAAGTGAGACTGAGTAATTTATAAAGAAAAGAGGTTTAATTGACTCACAGTTCTGCAGGCTGTACAGGAAGCACGGCTGGGGAGGCTTCAGGGAACTTCCAATCATGGCAGAAAGTGAAGGGGAAGTAGGCACATTTTCACATGGCAGAGGAGGAGAGAGAAAGAGCAAAGGGGGTAGTGCCGCGCAGTTTTAAACAACCAGATGTCCTGAGAACTCAGTCACTATCATGAGAACAGCAAGGGGGAAAGGAAGTCCACCCCATGATCCAATCACCTCCCACCAGACCCTTCCTCCAACATTGAGAATTACAACTCCATGTAAGATTTGGGTGAGGACACAAATCCAAACCATATCATCTACCCAGTTTATGGTAATCTGTTACAAATGCCATAGGAAACTAATAAGAGATTTTTGTACCAGGAAATGAGATGTTGCTGTAGCAAATGTTAAAAATGTGGAATTGGCTCTGGTATTGACTAATGGGTAGAGGCTGGAAAACTTTTAATAACATGATAGATAAAATGTACATGCCTTGAGCAGACTGTTGATAGAAATGAGGATGTTAAAGACGCTGCCAGTGAGGACTCAAGAGGAAGTGAGAAAAATAGTAGAGGAAATCTGTATCATATTAGAGAATACATATTCTGCCTGTCATCATGAACAGAATGTTGGTAGAAATATGAACATTAAAGGCACTTACAGTGAGAACGCAGAAGGAAATGAGAAACATATTATTGAAACCGGAGGAAGGATGACCTTCATTATATACTGATATAAAACTTAGCTGAACTGTGTCTTATAGTTGTGTGCAAAGCAGAACTTGTAAGTGATGAACTTAGAGGTTTAGCTGAGATTTCCAAGCAAAATGTTAAAGGTACATCCTGGATTTTTCTTGCTGCCTGTAGTAAAATGTGAGAGGAAATAGGTAAATTGAGGGAAGAACTGTTAACAATAGCAACAAAAACCAGAACTTGATTTGGAAAAATCTCAGCCTATCCAGATTGCAAGACTTGCTAAAATTACAAGATTCACAGTTAATAAAGGATGCTCTAAAGAGAAGGCCAAGGATGTGGCTAGATAACCCTGGCTAATGCCATGAAGAAATCTTAAGTTTGAAGTATTCTCTCACACAGAGGGCTCTTTGTAGAGATGAAGCTTGTGACTCATGAATCTACTCAACAATCTCAGCAGACTAGAGATGAAATTATCTGGGAAAGGTATGAGAGGGATTCTCTTGTTTAATGGTGTGAGTATCTGTAACATATACAGAACACCCACAAAGTTTTTAAGAATGTTATATCAGCAGCAACACACACAGCTTGGCCTGAAAGGTACTGACAGAACAGTGAAGAAAGAATGCCTCTGAAGGCAGATCCTTGGGCCCACAGGCGGGGACTACAGAATCAGAACAATTCAACTTCTAAGTATTTACCCAAGAAAAATGAAAACACATGTTCACACAAAGAAGTGCACATGAATGTTCATAGTAAGTTTATTTACAATAGCCAAAAAAATAGAAAGAACCTGAATTTCCATTTGAAGAAAATAATCAAATTGTGACATATTCGTGCAATGCAATACTACTGAACAATAAAAAGGGATTATCTAAAAATATACATAAAATATGAATAAATCTCAAAAACTTTATATTGCACAAAAGAAGTCACACATGAACATTTTATACTGTAATATTCCATTCCCATGAAGTTCTGGAATAGGCAACATTAAATGTGTGAAGGGATTGATTGGGAAGGGGAATGAGGGAACTTAACTGGAGTGTTGGAAATGTTCTTGGTCTTGATAGGTGTGAGTTATAAGGGTGTCTGCATTTGTCAGAACACATCAAACTGTTCACTTACAATTTGGGAAATTTACTCTGTAAATAATAATTCATACTAAAAATTTTCATTCACAATCTCACCAAATTAAGTATTATTCTTAATACATTATTCTTCTTTATTCTTCAAGGGTCCCCTTGAAGGGGACCTTTATTCTTCAAGGGTCCCCTATTTGAATCAAAATAAAACACAAAGTTCATACAAAGCCTAGAAGAATATCCAAAACCTGACCCCACCAACCTTTCTAATATTTTTTTTCCTACTCTTCTTATGAATTCTGCTCCATCCACACTGGCTTTCAAACTATTTCTTGAATATTCTATGCACACTCCCAACTCAAGGCTTTTGATCAGCACTCCCTCTGCATGGGTCCCTCCTTACTTTCTTCAATATTTGCTAACATCCCACTTTATCAAAGAGGCTTACTCTGTCCATCCTATTTAATTTTTTAATGAGGTACAAGTCACATAACAAAAATTGTACCCCTTTATGGTACACTATAAAGTGGATTTTATCATATTTGCAAAGTTAGACAACCACTATCTAATTAAGGAAAACTTTCATCACCTTGAAAAGAAACCCTGTATCCATTAGGAGTCAATCCAGAATCCTCCCTCTCCTCATTTCTAGGAAGTCACTAATCCACTTTCTGTCTCTATTGATTTGCCTATTCTGGACACTTCATATGAAATCATATGATACCTAGACTAGTGTGTCTGGCTATAATGTTTTCATGTTGCAGCATGTAGCAGAAATGCATTTATTTTTATAGCTGAACAATATTCTACTAAAAAGATATAACACGTTTTGTTTATTATCCATCACTTGACGGACAATTTGGTTCCTTCAACCTTTTGGTTATTACGAATAATGCTGCTGTGCCCATCTCTATGCATGTTTCTGCATGGACATATGTTTTAATTTTTCTTGGATGTATGCATAGAAGGGGAATTATTGGGTCATAAGTTAAGTCTGTGTTTTAACTTGTTTCAGGAATTGCCAGATATACTACCAAAGCAGCTGCACTATTTTACATCCCCACCATAAGTGTATGGGGGTCCCAATGGTACTACATTCTCTAAACTACTTGTTATTGTCTTTTTCATTAAAACTGTCCTAGTGAGTGTGATACAATGTCTCTTTGTAGTTCTGATAAGCATTTCCCTAATGATTAATGATGTTAAACATATTTCCGTGTGTTTACTGGCCATTTGTATATCTTCTTCGGATAAATGTCTATCCTATCCCTTTGCTCATCCGTATTATTATTATTATTTTGCTCATCTTTAAATTGGTTTTTGTCTATTTTTATTGAGTTTATGGAGTTCTTTATATATTCTGTATACTACACCTTTAAGGGGTATATGATTTGCAAATGTTTTCTCCTTTTCTGTGGGTTGTCTTTTTACTTTTTTGATTGCATTCTTTGAAAAATAAAAGTTTTTAAATTTTAATTAAATTTATTTCTGTAATTGCTTGTGCTTTTGGTGTCATATCTAATGAGCAACCACCTAACCTAAGTTCACACAATTTATGCCTGTTTTCTTCTAAGAATTTTATCACTTTAGCTCTTACATTTAGGTCTTTGATTCATTTTGAGTTAAATTTGGTGTATGGTATGAGTTAGGTGTCCAAGTATTTTTGGCATGAGTGGATCTAGTTGCCCCATCACTATTTGTTGAAGAGACTATTCTTCCCCCAACTGAATGGTCTTGGCAACTTGCTAAAACAGTTGTGATCCCAGCACTTTGGGAGGCCGAGGCAGGCGGATCATTTGAGGTCAGGAGTTCGAGACCAGCCTGGCCAACATGGTGAAACCCCATCTCTACTAAAAATACAAAAAAAAAATTCAGCCGGGTATGGTGGCGAGCGCCTGTAATCCCAGCTATTCTGGAGGCTGAGGCACGAGAATGGCTTGAACCCAGGAGGCAGAGGTTGCAGTGAGCCGAGATTGTGCCACTGCACTCCAGCCTGGGTCACAGAGCCAGACTGTCTCAAAAAAAAAAAAAAAAAAAAAGGAAAAAAGAAAAAGAAAATCAGTTGATACATACATTTACCTAGGGACTCTAAATTAAATTCAATTAATCTATATGTCTATCCTTAATGCTAGTACCATAGTGTCCTGATTACAGTTGCTTTGCAGTAAGCCTTGAAATTGAGAAATGTAAGTCTGACAACTGGGTTCTTTTTTAGGAGTTTTTGGTTATTTGGGGTTCCTCAAGTTCTCATATAAATTTTAGGATCAGCTTGTCAATTTCTATAAAAAAGTTAGCTGCTAGGATTCTAGTAGGGATCACACTGAATCTGTAGATCATTTTGGGGAGTATTGCTATGTAAATAAACTAAGTTTTCTGATACATGAACAGGAAATGTCTTTCCACTTATTTAAGTCTTCAATTTTATTGAAAAATATTTTCTAGTTTTGAGTGTATGTTTTGTGCTTCATTCATAAAATTTACTCCTAAATATTGTATTCCTTTTGATGCTGTTGTAAGTTAAATTTTCTTAATTTCCTCTTTAGATTTTATCTCTAGTATATAGAAATACAACTTATTTTTAATATAAATTTGTATCCTACAACTTTGCTGTACTTGTTTATTAAGTTGAATAGGTCTAATAGTTTTACTTCTTCCTCTCCAATATAGATGCATTTTTATTGCCTGTTTGCTGTGCTAGATAGATCCTCCAGTACCCTCTTAAATAACAGTGGTGAGGTTGGAAATCTTTGTCTCATTTCTAATATTCATGGGAAATTTTTCAGTCTTTCACAATAGAGTATGATGTTAGCTGAAATTGTTCATAAATACCCTTTATTATGTTGAGGATTCCTCCTTTTTGTTTTTTTGAGACAGAATCTCACTCTTGGCTCACTGCAACCTCTGCCTCCTGGGTTCAAGCAATTCTTCTGCCTCAGCCTCCCAAGTAGCTGGGACTACAGGTGCGTGCCACCACGCCTGGCTAATTTTTTATTTTTAGTAGAGACGAGGTTTCACCATGTTGGTCAGGCTGGTCTCGAACTCCTGACCTCGTGATCCACCCACCTCAGCTTCCCAAAGTGCTGGGATTATAGGCGTGAGGATTCTTCCCTTTGTTCCTAGTTTTATGAGTGTTTTTTTTCTTTTTAATAATGAAATGGTGTTGAATTTTATCACATGCTTTTTCTGTTTCAATTGAAATGATCATGTGGTTTTTGTCTTTTTTTAATATGGTGCATTAGATTAATTGATTTTGTTTTGTGATTTTTGATTAGTCTATTCTTTGCCCCAGCTGTTACCTACTATCTCAGGCAGCCAGTTTCAACAATTGCTTCTCACTGATTTTAATAAATGTTCCCAAGAAAAAGCCTGTTCATACTAGGTAAGCTCCAAGTCAGGTCAAATAAAGACAATTTCATTGGCAAGTCTTCCTAGGCACCTTCAGGCAGGACATTATGGTCTGAATTGTGTCCCCAGAAAACTCACAAATAAAACCTTAACCCCCAATACCTAGAATGTGACTGTATTTGGAGATAAGCCTTTAAAGAGGCAACTAAGTTACAATGAGGCCATTTTGGCAGGCTCTACTACAGTCTGAGTAGTGTTTTTCATATTAAGAGTAAATTTGGATTCACAAAGAGACAGCAGGGATGTCAGTGCACAGAGAAAAGATTATTTGAAGTAGCAGCAAGAGGGAAGTCATCTGCAAGTAAAGAAGAGAGGTCTCGGAAGTACACAATCCTGTTCTTGAATTTCTAGCCTCCAGAACTGTGAGAAAATTAATTTATGTTGTTTCATCTATCCATTCTGCAGTGTTTTGTTATGGCAGCCCTAGCAAACTCATACATTCAAGTAATGACAATTCTCCAGAAATGGGGTTTTAAAGGATCTCCAACCCTATTTTGTCCCTCCTGTACCAACCAGGCTTTTCATCATGATTGTGAGTTGTTGGTTTTCAAGGCTACCATGGAGCTTGGGGACGTGGGAATAGTACAAGTTAAAGGCCACAAAACTTGCTGTTCTTAGCAAGATTCATCTATATTTCTTGAACAAACAATCCTCAGATTTGCTGCAAATATATGGTCATTTCCAGAGTTCTGAAAGTTTTTTCTGACCATTATTGACAGACTTTCACTGCTTTCGTAGCTAATAGAATTTTCAAAGGCTCTTACTTTACCACTTTTCACTGCCATCCTCTACCAGGTATAAAATGTAATTAACCACTGTCCCTGGCATTCCTGATCATCATTATCCTATTCACACTTTAAAAAACAGTATGTATAGGTCAGGTGTGGTGGTTCACACCTATAATCCCAACACTTTGGGAGGCCGAGGTGGGAAGATTGCTTGATGGCAGAAGCTTGAGGCCAGCCTGGGCTACATAGAAAGACTCCATCTCCACAAAAAAATAAGAAAATTAGCAGGGCATGGTGACTCACACCTATAGTCCCCACTACTGGGGAGGCTGATGCAGGAGGATGGCTTAAGCCCAGGAGGCAGGAGGGTGAGGCTGCAGTGAGCTATGATACAGCCACTGCATTCCAGCCTGGGAAACAGAACAAGATCTTGTCTCTAAAATTAATTAATTAATTAACATGTATAGCTTTCTAACATACTGATTTATTTATTATAATGTTTTCAACGTATTTATTATATCTTCTGTCTCCTCGCACTAGACTATAAGTTTAAGAGAACTGGGGTATTTTCGTGTTTTATTCCATGATACATTTGCAGTGTCTTGCATGATACCTGGCCATACTAGTAATCAACAAAATTCTGAAATAAATCAACAAATATTTACTAGCTTTAACTGACAAGACATTGTGTAAGGCTTTGTGTACTGATAGAGTTGCGAAATAAATAAGCTCTAAGTCCTGCCATCTATGTTTATGATATAGAATGTGGCTCACAAGTAATTGAATTTCAAGTAGCATGTACTCAATACCATAAGACACATAATAATGAGCAGCTAGGTGATTTTGGGGAGGTAGATATTGGTTTTGTTTAGATAATTAAGATACTCTGCATTGTGATGTGATGCTATTTGAGATGGGCTTTAAAGGGTTAGTATGATTGCTATGAGCAAAGTTAAGTGTAGGTGAATGTACAGCATTGGAAGAAGAAATGTGAGCAAGAAAACACTTAAAATCTTAAAGGATATCTGTGGGAGGTTGAGCAGAACACTATAACTGGAAGTCATTTTTATTTTTCTTGTGGATAGTGAGAGATAAGGCTAGAAGAATGGTAGGGGCAAGCTTCTAGTAAGCCTTAATTATTTGTTAATAAAAATAATAACTGTTGCATGTTTACTATGTGTCAAGAACTTGGAAGCCAGTGATTCCTACAATATAAACCATACCCTCAAGAAAATTGCAGAATGCTTTGAATGTCAGATTAAGAAAGGCATAAATTACCTTACTGTTACTATTGTGGTGAGACATCTCTGTCTTTTCTCAGAAAATTTTCTTACTCAGTGTTGCTTCTTCTAGAACATCATGTACAGGAAATAGTAGAGGGCATATTCTTGTGTCTAGCTTCTTTTGCCCAACATAATATGCTTGAGATTCATCCAGGTTGCTGTGAGTATATTTACTGGTTCCCTTTCATTGCAATCCTAGTGAGACATATGACAGATACACTCCAGAGTTTTCTATTTTAATGTATATCTGGCTTCAAAGATTAGCTGTACCACATTTTAGGATTATGAATAAATGGAATGGAGATAAAAACAGCCTGGGCATATAATATTGACAGAAGGCAGTCTGAATGAACAAGGAGAAAAGGGTTTTGAATCAGCAATAGGGCAAGAATTAGTATTAGCATGAGTAGAAGGAAAAGATACTTAAGTATTAAAAGGAGATTATAAAAGACTGCAGAAGCAGCAGTCGGCACTGGTGGTAATAATGAAAGGTAGATATAGAGGCTGCTAATACAACGCAGTGGTAAATCTCTATAACACAACTGAAAGAAATATGCAGAAAAACAATGGTCAGCGTAGTTGCTCTGATCAACAAACGAGAGAGATCAAGACTAAGAAGAAACACCCTGAAACAATGACCTTCCCCCCTTTAGTAAAAGATTAGCGACTCTATTAAGAAAGGATTAATGGTTGAATTTCAATTCACATCTCCAGAGTTTTTGAAGTGTTAATTGTAATTAGCTAATTGGTTTTATAATTAACTGCTCTGTTCTTTCTAATATAGTTTTCACCCACATTATGTTTACTGTGTTATTCTCAAATTATTTCTTATATTATTTAAATTTGTTTTTTAAAATTTATGTACAATAAGACATTCTTTTTGTTATGCCATTCTATAAACTTTGACAAATGCTTAGAGCCATGTAATCCTCACCACAACATGGGTGAATTACTTTTATTTTTAAGTCCTGGTTTTTTACAACTGTAGAAGGGTGTGTGTGTGTATGTGTTTGTGTAAGATAAAGGCTAGGGATAGAGATGTAATTTTTCCCCAGATATTTATGGATTAAAGAGTTAAACATAAAAAATAAAACATTGAAAGTATTCTAAGAAAATATGAAACAATATTTCATTACCATTTAGTGATACTTTGTTAATCATGAAACAAATCAGGAATTTTTATGAAAACACTAGCATCAGATTTGATTACATAGTTTATAAAAATTCATGTTTGGTAAAAGACTGTAAACAAAGCTAAATAAGAAGCAAGAAAATATTTTGCAATATAGAGGAAGCGCAAAAGATTTTGGTCTAGCAGAAGCATAGTGTAGTGGAATTATAGTGTAGAACATTGGTCTTGAATTAAGTCAGAAAAGACAGATACATATCCTAACTTTGCCACATAAACCGTAGATGACCTTAGTGCAATTATGCATCCTCTTTCTCCTCATTGCCACATTTGTAAAATTAGCAAAATAGTAGTATTTATCTCATCAGATTTTTGGAGGTTCATAATTTACATTAAAGACTTGTTACAATAATTTGCTCATAGTAAATCCTTAATTAATATTAGCTATAGTATTACTTTCATTGTTGATAAATGATTCTGCAAATCAGTAAGAAAACAGCAAGCAGACTGCGGCGGGTTGGGGGAGCGGGCGGAGGGGGGGACAGGGGGAGGCGGCGGAGGGGCTCACACCTGTAATCCCAGCACTTTGAGAGGCCAGGGCAGGTGGATCACCTGAGGTCAGGAGTTCGAGACCAGCCTGGCCAACATGTTGAAACCCCATATCTACTAAAAATACAAAAGTTAGCCGGGCATGGTGGCATGCATCTGTAATTGCAGCTACTCGGGAGGTGGAGGCAAGAGAATCACTTGAACTGGGGAGGTGGAGGTTGCAGTGAGCCAAGATCATGCCACTGCACTCCAGCCTGGGCAACAGAGCAAGATTCTATCTCAAAAAAAAACAAAAAACAAAAAACAAAAAAGACAAAAATACCAACAAGAAGATTTTAAAGAAAAAAACAGGAAATTTCATAAACATAAAATCTTCAGAAAATAAAATACATATGGCTAATAAGTATGCAAAAGATGCTAAACTACATAATTAACGATACACAATTATTTAAATGAAATAATAACTTCAATCAAAATGAAAAATATTAAAATTTGATGATGCAACTATATAGATATTTTTATACACTGTGTTAGCCAAGGTCCTCCAAGAATCAGAGACCAAGATATGATTATTCATATAAGAAATTTATTGAAGGCCGGGCACGGTGGCTCACACCTGTAATCCCAGCACTTTGGGAGGCCGAGGTGGGCGGATCACGAGGTCAGGAGTTCGAGACCAGCCTGACCAACATGGTGAAACCCCATCTCTACTAAAACTACAAAAATTAGCCAGGCGCGGTAGTGCGCACCTGTGATCCCAGCTACTCAGGAGGCTGAGGCAGGAGAATCGCTTGAACCTGTGGAGGTGGGGGTTGCAGTGAGCCGAGATCGCACCATTGCACTCCAGCGTGGGTGACAGAGTGGGACTCCGTCTTAAAAAAAAAAAAAAAAAAAGAAAGAAAGAAATTTATTGAGAGAACTACCTGTGATAGAAAATGGGGAAGGAGCTGAAAGAATCTGGGAGAACTGCCAAACCACAATGCAGAACTGGCTCTGGATGAAAGGGAAGGGTAAAGAAGGAAGAATTAAATAAAGGTTGGGAGAGAAAGCATTCTAGACTTCATTGTGGTTTAAGAGACTTCTGAAAGGTCGTTGGAGAGTCCTTGAGCCAAAATCCCCTATCAGAGCAGCCCTGCATGTCTTAGAAATGGACCTGTCTTAGAATCTCTGCTGTGCTCAATTGTTTATTGGCTAGAAGCAACCCTTAGGAAGAGTGGTCTGTGCACAGCACAAGTACTGTGATGGATTTCTAAGTGCTACAATTGGGCCGCAGGTCAGTTACACTCTCTTCCATCAGAGATATAAGAAGCACATTTTCATGGCACTATGCATGGTGTATTAGTCCATTCTCACACTGCTATGAAAAAATATCCGAAACTGGGTAATTTATAAAGAAAAGAGGTTTAATTGACTCACAGTTCCACATTGCTGGGGAGGTCTCAGGAAACTTACAATTATGGTGGAAGGCAAAGGAGAAGCAGGCACCTTCTTCACAGGGCAGCAGGACGAAGTGAGTGCAAGCAGGGGAAATGCTGTATGCTTATAAAACCATCAGATCTCATGAGACTCTCTCATTATCATGAGAACAGCATGTGGGAAATGGTCCCCATGATCCCATTACCTCCACCTGCCCCCACCCTTGACATGTACGGGTTATGGGGATTACAACTGAAGATGAGATTTTGGGTGGGGACACAGGCAAACCATATCAAATGGCAACATATATTTATATATTTGTAGGTCATTTTAGCAATAGTTTTTACATTTGGAATGTTCATTTCCTTTCACATGGCAGTTCTACCTCTAAGAATTTATCCTTCAGAAATATACAACTATATATATACATGATGACTTACATGGACTCTCATTCAGCTAATGACTTGCTGCTGAAACATGGAAATCTGATTTTTAAAAATATAAAATAAGTAAAAATATAAATAAATTAAAATAAAATAAATTTTTAAAATAATTACACGACTGTAAAAATCTATGAAAAGTAATGATTATTGCATCATCATCATGGGTCATTGTTGAAAATTAGAAACAATTTAAAAGTTAATCAATAGGGGACTGGGAAAAAAATAACATAGCATTGAATATGATATTGTCAGGATATATGTACATTGAAAGGAATACATGAGATAGTATTGAGCAATAACGGATTACAAATAGGATGTCTCCTGTGAACTTTCATGTCTATGAAAAAGAAAGTAAACCAAGTAAGTGGAATAAAAGTGCTCATCTTTCTGAATATAAGCTGAAATTTTAGCTCAATATTTTGTCTCATAAAGAAAATGAAACATAAAATTTTTCCCATAGTAGAGAACCCTTCTTAATTACTTTCTTTTATTATTATTATTATTATACTTTAAGTTCTGGGGTACATGTGCAGAACGTCCAGGTTTGTTACATACGTATACACGTGCCATGGTGGTTTGCTTCACCCATCAACCCACCATCTACATTAGGTGTTTCTCCTAATGCTATTTCTCCCCTAGCCCCCCACCCCCCGACAGGACCCAGTGTGTGATGTTCCCTTCCCTGTATCCATGTGTTCTCATTGTTCAACTCCAACTTATGAGTGAGAACATGCGGTGTTTGGTTTTCTGGTCTTGTGTTAGTTAGCTGAGAATGATGGTTTCCAGCTTCATCCATGTCCCTGCAAAGGACATGAACTCATCCTTTTTTATGGCTGCATAGTATTCCATGGTGTATATGTGCCACATTTTCTTTAACTACTTTATTTTGAACAACTACTTGGAAAAAATACATAAATCTAAAATGGCCTTAATCAATGTTAGTTTTGTATGTTAATAGAAATTATCAGCCAGAATTTATAAGAAAAAAAGGAAGACAAAAAATCAACACTGATTTTTATTTATTTATTTATTTATTTTGAGATGGAGTCTCGCCCTGTCGCCCAGGCTGGAGTGCAATGGCGCGATCTCGGCTCACCGCAACCTCCGCCTCCCGGGTTCAAGTGATTCTCCTACCTCAGCCTCCCGAGTAGCTGGGATTACAGGTGCACACCTCCACGCCCAGCTAATTTTTGTATTTTTAGGAGAGACGGGGTTTCGTCATGTTGGTCAAGCTGGTCTCGAACTCCTGACTTCGTGATCCACCCGCCTCGGCCTCCCAAAGTGCTGGGATTACAGGCGTGAGCCACCGTGCCCAGCCCAATCAACACTAATTTTTAAATTATCATCTGTGAAGACAGATGACCTCACAATTACGGATTTTGGATACCAAGTATAAACAACCCTTTTCAAGGCTACTTTAGAAACAAATATATGATAAGTGGTTTTATTAGGGATTTTATCATGAATAACAGATACATACTTGTAACTTGGGATAAAATTTTGAGTGATATGTGGATTCAAAAAGTGCTTTCTTTAAAATATCTTAGATAGAAGTGATTATGTTGTATTCTAGAAAAGTGTCAGATCTCTCCAGAAAAAAATCTTCAGTGATGATAGTAACGAATGTTAAATTCAACAGTAAAATATGAATAAAATTGTTTTATAAAACATGAGAAAGATACAACATTATATTATACCTAAATCTGCACTTTGTGTTTATTGTCCAAACCAATGGATTCGGTGCTCTAAAGGATAATAGAGAGAAGTGTGAAAGACAACTTACCCCAAAGGGCATACTATATTGTTGGATCATCAGAAACATTCATGAATTTTTTAAATATATATCTGTAATTAATTTAATCAACATTTGCAAAGTAAATAGGGATATATCATCTTATTTAATTGCCATTTACACAATTTTCTATATTCAAGTTAGCCATATATTCTTGAAAAAAAAGTTCTCCTTAAGAAAATAGAAACATTTCTTATATTCAAAATTATCTTATAATTGAATATATATGGAAAATGCCCCAGCCCTTCAGGAATCTGCTTCATTTCTCATATGGACGGAAGAATAAGGTTGAAAGGCTTTTTTTTGCTGTTATTATTGTTTATACCTGTTTACTATTGCTACCAAAACATATCACAAAGCCAGTGGCTTAAAATAGCACAACGTATTATACACCTCTGTAGGTCATAAACACAACTCACTGAGCTAAAATCAAGGCATCGTCATCAGGGCTGCATTCCTTTCTGAAGGCTATAGGGGAGAATCCATTTTCTTGCCTTCTCTGGCTTCTAGAAGCCATCTACATTCCTTGGTTCATGGCCCTCCTCCTCCACCTTCAAAGCCAGCAACATCAAACTTACTTCTCACACTACCATCTTTGGTTCTCTGCAGCTGGAAAAGGTTCTCTGCTTTAAAAGACTCATGAAATTAGATAGGATTTACCTGGATAATCCAGAATAATCTTCCCATTACAAGCTTCTTAACCTGAATCACAGATGCAAAATCCCTTTTGCCATGCAAAGTAGTGTATTAACAGGTTCGGAGGAGTAGGACACATATATCTTTCAGGGTCCATTATTCTGCTTTCCACACTTTTACTTAAAAATGAAACTTAAATCAGTTATCAATTCATGTTATTTTCAGATTCATGTCAATAGAAAAACATATCAACAAATCTGCATTGTGTGCTTATTATGCAAACCAATGGATTGGGTGCTATAAAGTATAATAGAGAGAATTGTAAAAGAGATCTTACCCTAAAGAGCATTCTACATTTTTGCATCATTCATGAAAAGACAATTAACGATAAAAGCCTATGTGCTAAGTGTCAAATTCATGTGTTCAACAATATTTATTGAGTATCTACTATGCTTTTCTAAGCTCTGATAATACAATGAAAGAAAACACAATGTCTCTACCTTCATGAAGCTTATTTTCATGTAAAAAAAGAAACTATGAAAAGAAAAGAAAATTTGGGGACCCCAAACTCACTATGCCAAAGGGAAAAGTTAAGCTTGGGAGATGGGTCACGCAAAAACTGCCTTTTGTTCCTAAACAGATAGCTGCAACAATAGAAGGCCACATATCTCCCAGGGGGCCTCCTTTACAAATTGCTCACAAGGAAATTCCTGTGGGCCCCAAAAATCTTTACCCTAAAGCAGAGTTATGTTGAATATCACCCTGACAGTACAAATTAACAACTTGTGTTCACAGGTGTGGCACAAAGACAAGACTGGCAATCATCCCTCCATGCACCCTAAGAAAAATACACATTTGACTTTCTCTTCCCTATGTTTACTTTATGTTATGTAAAATGCAGATTTACTGAGAGTGAGATAAATGCATAATTGACTATTCCTCTTTTCCTTCCTGCCCACTCTCCCCTTTCAATACTGAAGTTCTCAAACTCTCTTTGGAGAAAGCACTGGGCTACAGATTTTACTCAGGCACGTCCAGAACCTTGGCAAAATAAACCTCCAAATTGATTGAGATCTGTCTCAGACCCTTTTTGGTTTACAAATTTAATAGCTATACTGTAATATCAAGCAGGAATAAGTGCTATGGAGGAAAATAAAGTAGGTTAAGGGGATAGAAGAGATGGAATAGCTATTCCAAAAAGGTTAGTAGTCCTCTTTGAAAGCTGAATGAAAGAATGAATGAATGAGTGTTACAGAGAAATACTGTATGACTTCACAGTACAGCAGTGATCTCTCTTGACTAGAGTAATCCCAAAGACTTCATATTAAAAAATAGAACATACATCTTTGGAGGGTAAGTAGGGTTTTAGTAAGTAGAGCAATATTTCTCATTGTGCTATATGTATCATCTTCATCAGAATCCACTGCTAAAGTTGTGGATTCTCAGGTGCCACCAACAGACCTACTAAATCAGAACCTCTGTGGATGGAGCTTAGGGATGTAACCAGGTGATTCTTACCTACACTGAATTATGAAAAAACATCACAACAGAGTCTTTTTTTTTTTAACTGTAACTCGCTTTTATGTGCTAAAATACTCATTTCTAGCTACGAGGCAATTTATGACAAAAGCCCCAAACTTCCAGGAGTTTTTGTTTTTGTTTTTTATTATACTTTAAGTTCTAGGGTACATGTGCACAACATGCAGGTTAGTTACATATGTATACGTGTGCCATGTTGGTGTGCTGCACCCATTAACTCGTCATTTACATTAGGTACATCTCCTAATGCTATCCCTCCCCGCTCTCCCCACCCCACGACAGGCCCCAGTGTGTGATGTTCCCCTTCCTGTGTCCAAGTGTTCTCATTGTTCAATTCCCACCTATGAGTGAGAACATGCGGTGTTTGGTTTTCTGTCCTTGTGATAGTTTGCTGAGAATGATGGTTTCCAGCTTCATCCATGTCCCTACAAAGGACATGAACTCATCCTTTTTTATGGCTGCATAGTATTCCATGATGTATATGTGCCACATTTTCTTAATCTAGTCTATCACTGATGGGCCTTTGGGTTGGTTCCAAATCTTTGCTATTGTGAATAGTGCCGCAATAAACATACGTGTGCATGTGTCTTTATAGCAGCATGATTTATAATATCTTGGGTATATACCCAGTAATGGGATGGCTGGGTCTATAATTCTAGAAATACCATTTGAGGAATCAACACACTGTCTTCCACAATGGCTGAACTAGTTTACAGTCCCACCAACAGTGTAAAAGTGTTCCTATTTCTCTACATCCTCTCCAGTACCTGTTGTTTCCTGAATTTTTAATGATCGCCATTCTAACTGGTGTGAGATGGTATCTCATTGTGGTTTTGATTTGCATTTCTCTGATGGCCAGTGATGATGAGCATTTTTTCATGTGTCTGTTGGCTGCATAAATGTCTTCTTTTGAGAAGTGTCTGTTCATATCCTTTGCCCACTTTTTGATGGGGTTGTTTGATTTTTTCCTTGTAAATTTGTTTAAGTTCTTTGTAGATTCTGGCTATTAGCCCTTTGTCAGATGGGTAGATTGCAAAAAATTTTCTCCCATTCAAGACAGAGTCTTAAACCACTAAAACTTAAAAGAAAACTGCACTGTCCCTTCCTGACAGCAACATGTAGCCCATGCCATGCCTGGGAGGATTAGCGAGTAGACTAAACTGGTGAAACAGATGGTCAAAACTAGAAGGATGTTTTCTACCAGGCTGAGAAGTTTAAACTCTTTAAAGACCAGTGAACCATCAAGTATTAATGATCAGGTAATTAACGTAAAAAGCAATATTTTAGGTCTATTAGCAATATTTAGGACTATTAGTCGTGACATGTACAGGATGGACTGTAAGTGAAGGTATCAATAATGAGGAAAAGTATGATAAATCTATGGCAGTGGTACACACTTGAGGCATTACGCATCAGAGCCAGGTTAACTTCAATAATAATCAAAGGGGAAGAACAGATATGGAGGACATTATGAGGTAAGTAAAAATGAGACATTGTAATTGTTTTGATTGGGAGAATGAGGAAGAGTCAGAAATGACTCAGATTTTGAACACAGATAACTGGCTAAATGGGTTTGCTGATTATTATGGAACACCATTACCTAGCTTGATGGGACAATACTCATAAATGATTATATAATAGTATAGGAGAAAAAAGCTATTACCTTCTTCCTGCAATTTTTCTAAATTTGCCAGTAATCAAAGAAATATGATTAGAGCCCTCTCTTGTACTTCTACCCAAGTTAACACGTGAAATAACTTCCAGCATTTGGGAATCAGTGTGCAAGAAAAAAACACCTTAATATTGAAGAAAACTGGAACTAGTCCTTTATAGCAACTGTTACTAATTTATTAGCTGAGGAGTAAGTAGAATGTAATTATAGCTTTATGATTGTCAGTATCAGTAGCATTTTGGAGAAAACCTGTAGTACTTCATGTTTGTTTCTTCAGTTATAGCACATACACTTAAACACAATCACACACTAAGAAATAATTACTATTGTTTAGCAAATGATAGTAATTATGTCTTTCAATTATTTTTAATTTAAAAATTATGTATTTCAGTCACCTAGTAATCCATGTAAAGTAAACCTCATTAAAATAAAACTTTTTTTTTTTTCTTTTTGAGACAGAGTCTCGCTCTGTCACCCAGGCTGGAGTGCACTGGCACAATCTCGGCTCACTGCAAGCTCCACCTCCCGGGTTCACGGCATTCTCCCGCCTCAGCCTCCCGAGTAGCTGGGACCACAGGCACCCGCCACCACGCCAGGCTAATTTTTTTTTTTTTTTTTTGTATTTTTAGTAGAGACAGGGTTTCACCATTCACAGGATGGTCTCGATCTCCTGACCTTGTGATCCACCCGCCTCGGCCTCCCAAAGTGCTGGGATTACAGGCTGAGCCACCGCGCCCGGCCAAAATAAAACTTTTTAAAGGTTGAAGTACACATTTTTCTAAACCAAGATATAGTAGGATACTCAAAGATAAGAAACAGGTAACTAGTGATTAGAGTATTCCATGCATTTTAAATGAAATCAACTAGGAATGTGAAGAATATGTTCTTTAACATTCTCTGTGTGTGTGTTGGTAGGGGGGGCTTTCTACACTTATACACATACGCATAGAGATATATGCATATATGTATCTGAAAAAAATGAGCAGAGATTTAATACACATATAATTTGAGTTCCATATATATAGAGAGAGAGAAAGAGAGAGAGCGAGAGAGAGTGTGTTCACCACATTAATGCCTTTGGAATTATCTGTGTGTATCAAAACACATTTGGCAACATGTTGTTACTATTCTAGAAAACTACCATATCTGTTTTCACATCTCGTTTTTTCCACAAATATAGTTTACTTTGTCCACTTTATTTTGAAGAAAAATCTCTCTCTTCCCATAATTTTCTACTTGGAGAGAAATAGCTAACAACTAGAAGAAGCAAAACTACATCCTACATTTTCTTCTGAGGTCAAACCCACTGGGCAACTGAAGTTGGTATTATTGGGTTTTCATGTGATTACTTGTCTTCTCATGTGAAACATGAATACACAAAAGGGAGAATGGGTTCAGCTTCCTGTAATGGCCAAGTGTCTCCTTTCAGAGCAATCCTTGTACAAATAACACCACCAATTCTGAATAATATTTTTAATTAAGGCATTGGATTATGATTGAAAGCAAGCAGGAACTGGAGAGGATTTGACAGTCATGAGGAAGTAAAGGTATGAGGTGAGATTTCTTTTTCTTTTAATAGCTTTTAGCCTTATGGCAGGCCCCAATCTGTGCCCAGCCTTGTGGATAATGCCCTGATAGAAATGCTGTAGTCTAATAGGCTTGAAAAATGAGAGAAAGGAGTTCTGGGCAATCACAGCTACTGACAGTGAAGGAAAAAATTCACAGGAAAAAGGGAGCCAGGAAGGGAGATGAACATGTATTATGAATAGTCTCTGCCTAAATCTCTGGCTGACCCTTGAACTACACAAGGGTGAGGTAGACTACAAGGAGCTAAGCCAAAATAACTAAATTGAGATCTGAGCTGCCTACACACCAAGGGAGAGACATTGTTCACATTACGAGTTCGGCGAAGTTAAGAGGTTTTTTTTAATGAACATTCTTTAGGAAAACATAAAAATAAAAACCAGAATCTTCACAAGATTTACAACTTCCAGGTACAATTCAAAATACTTAGAATATGAAGAATCAGAGAAAAAATTATCAATTTCAAAAAAAGGAAAATTAATGGAAACCAACCTCAAGATTTTGTAACTATGTAATAACTATAAAACCCTAAGATTTTATAACACAGCTTTTATAACTATGATCAGGGATATAAAGAAAATACGCTTGTTATGAATGAAAGGAAATCTTAGCAGAAATATAGAAACTATAAAATGAACAAAGAGGAACTTCTACTTTAAAAAGTAGCTTAAATAAAATAAATTGTTTAATAGGGTTAACAGCAAAATGGAAACATCAAAGGGAAAAAAAGGCAAGGAATTTGAAGATAGATAAATAGAAATTATCCTGTTTGAAAAACGGGAAAAAAGATGATTGAAAAAAAATGAGCAGAGACTTAATACACGTATAATTTGAATTCCATAAAAAGACAAGAGAAAATGGAAGAAAAAAAGATATTTTAAAAGCTTTGTTTATGCAAAGGAGTAACTTTGATTTTAGATGCTTATTTAAATCTCCTTAAATTTAGCTGTTCTTGCAAATATTTGGGAAATCTGGTTTTTAAATGGTGATGTAAAGATAGAATTTTTTATTTTAACCTTCTGAAAATCACCCACAAATAAAAGGAGAATGAGGAAATAAAAAAGCAAATTCATTTTTTGATGAAATCACTGAACATCTGGAATCCTTAATCACAATTGACAAAGAACGGCTTCATATACATTTAAGGATAAACAGTGGCACAGGAAGACAGCAAGAGCGGATGCACATAACCATGGAACTTTCTTTTTTTAGACGGAGTTTTGCTCTATCACCCAGGCTGGTGTGCAGTGGCACGATATTGGCTCACTGCAATCTCCTCCTCCCAGGTTCAAGTGATTCTCTCGCCTCAGTCTCACGAGTAGCTAGGACTATAGGCGCTGGCCACTACACCCAGATAATTTTTTCCTTTTTTGGATTTTTGGTAGACACAGGGTTTCACCATTTTTGCCAGGCTGGTCTCAAACTCCTGACCTCAAGTGATCTGCCCGCCTTGGCCTCCCAAAGTGCTGGGATTACAGGCATGAGCCACCGCACACAGCCCCATGCCCATGGAACTCTGATGAAGCCCACAGATCATAGTTCTCCGAAATATGTAGCACATTCTCAAGGACAAAACTAACACTTATTTTTTATACAAAAACTATCCTGTGATTTGAATACATAGTTTGAAATTATGTTCTAGGTACATTTTAAATTACTTACCTTGAGGGTGCCTTTTGAGAAAACGTTGAAGAAAATAATATATTAGTGATTCTTTGGAGCTCACTTCTAATTTGAAGGGATTTAGTTCATTTTTTTCATTCCAATAAAAATGAAAATAGGCCGGGCACTGTGGTGCATGCCTGTAATCCCAGAACTTTGGGAGGCCGAGGCGGGTGGATCACTTGAGGCCAGGAGTTCAAGACCAGCCTGGCTAACATGGCAAAACCCCACCTCTATTTAAAAAATAATAATAATACAAATATTAGCTGGTCATGGTGGTGCATACCTGTAGTCCAAGCTACTCTGCAGGCTGAGGCAGGAGAATTTCTTGAACCCAGGAGGTGGAGGTTGCAGTGAGATGAGATCGCGCCACTGCATTCCAGCCTGGGTGACAGAGCAAGACTCCCTCTCAAGAAAAAAAAAAAGAAGAAATAAAAGAAAAGAAATTTTAAAATTCTAAACTCATTGATGTAGATCTACACTACCTCCAGATGGTCACTAAGGAGATCAATTTTCTCAGTTATAGCAGTTTAAAATGTCATCTTATTAGAATACAATACAAAAAAGTTCCCTTACCAGATTATCAATTAGCTGACTTGGGAAAATAATAAGTGTTCTCTATTTCCTCTATAAAGCATTCTAACTGATGCCCAGCACAGGCTAGATACTCACTGCTAGTTGGCTGTACTCATTACCTTCACAGGCTTCTCCTTCCACCATATGAATTTGATGCTTACCAAGAGTCTGTTGAGTTTATTCCAAAACTTATTTATGCCAGTTAATGTGTTATGCCAGTATTTATGCCAGTTAATTATACATGTTAATGTGTTAAGTAATTTAAGGCAATATTGCGTAAAATGATAAGATATGAATGCAAAATCAGAGTTGTTCTTTCCATAAAAACTAATTTGAATGCTTTGAAAAATATTACTAAAAGTACATCTTTAAACATTGCCTTTGAATTTGGTGTAGATGAGAATTGCAAATATAAGGAAAATTTATTAACATCTTAAAAATTTCTAAACTCAGACTGCTTGCCAATTTTCTTTAAGTCCCCTATTCACTTTAAATACACTCAAATTGTAAAAAATAAATTATTTGATTTATATATTATATTTTTTTGAATAGTTTTTTGAATTATTTGAATTAATTTTTTTGAATTATATTCATGTAAGAATAATGTGAAACACAAATGATTGATTTATATACTCAAAGGAAAAGCCCTATGTTAAAAAGAAAAGCCAAATATATATTTAATATTTTAAACATTTATGGCACAGTCCATCATTTTTATGTTTCCTCAATTTTGCTTACTTAAAAGAAAAACAGAAACCAAGAAACTACTACCATGACATAGGAGACAAAAAGAAAGATTTATCAATGCCCTTTGATGTGTTATTAGCCATAAAGCTACTGTTACCAGACAGAATTCTGGAGAAGAACTATTGTATTATCCATATCCCCCATTCAATACTATTTTAATAACATAAAATATGTGCTTTTCAAAATGGAGAAGTCATGTGAATAAATATAATTTTCAATTATCATTGTCCAACTCCACTTTTCTCCTATCAGCATTTTATTATTATAATTTAATTTGGCATGATGATAATAGTAAACAGCTTGTGTAGAAAGCTTTATAATCATCATCATGATAGCTAGCATTTATAGAGCCTTTACTATACGCCAGGCACCTTGCTAAGTACTTTATAGGAATAAGCGCCTTTAATTTTCGCAACTCTCAAACTAACTTTCAATTGAAAGTTATTGAAACGAAAAAAACTGTCATTGAATAGCCTATAAGGCCTACTTTTGTATCAATATATATAATAATGAGTCATCTCAGTACCTATTTCCTGAGTAAGTAATCCAGTATAATATAAATATCCTGCTGTTTGGGGAAGAAAACAATGCAAAGTAATGAACGTTCTTAGGCTTAAAAAAGTAAGCACATTCCAAAGAGTAGTATCTATCTTCTTTAATCGAATGCATGGAATAACCAAATTTAAGACCAAAGATAAAATTAAGGAAATGTATTTCACCAAAGGATAATTATAGTTCTATTACCAATTCATTAATTCATATTGATTCACATATTATTCCTACTTATTATGTAATTTATTTTAAGAATATGTGGTAAAATTTACAATCTTACAAGATCTAGTTCCCAAAAGTTATAGAACATTCCATTCATTGTATTGGGTTAATTTCTACTGAAATCAGGCCTTTCCCCTAAACATGTAAAACTACTTTCTCAAATTTTCTTGAACATTTAATCTGAACAAGCCCTTTATATACATACTTATTTAATCTTAAAAAAAACTGAAAGGGCAGGTAGACTATTCTTTCCAATTAAATCATAAGAAAATTGAATTTGGAAGAATTTAGGACACTTGCTGGGGAACACACAATTAATAAGTATGGGAGTCTAACATAATAGGACATTGAAAAGGACTTCCCTTGTTGTCTTGGGATTGTCCACTAGAACTCACAGCTAAAAAAAGATTTAAAAAATACTAAGGCACTACATATCTTATTCTAAAATGAGCTTCCAACGAGCTACCCAGACATGCATCCAGGTATCACATTGCAAGGTTTTCTAATTGGTGTCCCAACTCACCCATACCATAATCAACCAGTGCCCTACTACTTCACTCTGGTATATAAGGAGAGCACCAGGGAAGGTAGAGTGCTCATCAAAGTGATTCCTCTGCCTCCTTGTAATAGGAGGGAAGAGGCGTTTTTTTCCTCTTGAAACCATATAATGTGGTGTTCCAAGAGAAAATATTTATAAAATGTAGGATGCATGCATGTAAGACTAGAGAGACATTTTGTTCCCTGGCTAGATAATTGCTTAGGCAACAGGCTTGCTATTATGCCCCTTGTCAAAAGAAAAAAACTACAACAAATTTGGTTTAAAGATCAAACTGACTTTTACCTGCAATTTGAGAATCTGGTAACATCTCACTCTATAAAATAGAATGAGTGTTCCAATGAGCTGAGCAGAGGAGGTTGGCTTTATAGGCAGAAAAGGGCTGAAGAAGCAGAAACAGAACAAAAAGTGAGTTGGTCCTTTTGAAGTTACTGTCTTTACAGGTTAAAATAGAGGCGACTTTCTTATTATGTTGACTCTGGTTGACTAGACTCTCATTTTTCAGAAAAACTGGCCCGTTTCAAAGTTCAGTTTGATTAGCACTTAGCACAAGTGACTCCATTCTGGTTTGGTCTGGTCTGACTGGGACCTAGCACAGGAGGCTAATCCAAAACAATGGCTTCCCATAAACTTTGTTTCCCACCCTATACCTATCTGATCAGGAAAATAAAGAGAGACTTAAAGGAAGAAGGAAGAAATTAAAGAAGAGATGGCAGTGGAGCAGCCTGTACTTCCTACAGCTCAACACAGAAATAACACCTGAGTATGTATAGTTTAAGTGGTTATCAAGGACAGAAGCTGGCGTGGGTTCTTCAGTGAACCACTGTGTGAAGAATTTAATAGGCGATACAAGTGGTTGAGAACTGTGCAGCGGGGAAGTCCCAAGAGTCCTCAAAAATACTCATATGTGCACTCCATAAAAGAGTCAGCATTTGGGTGTCTATTACACAGAAGGCATAGAGAGCCAGTGTTTGATAGTCAGAAAATCAGCAACAACAACAATTGCTAAAATGCATATGTTGACATTTTAACCTTGTGCCCTTCTAAAAGAAACCTCAGGCTGGGTGTAGTGGCTCACGCCTGTAATCCCAATACTTTGGGAAGCTGAGGTGGGTGGATCACTTGACGTCAGGAGTTTAAGACCAGCCTGGCCAATGTGGTGAAGCCCCGTCTCTACTAAGAAAGATACAAAAATTAGCCAGGCCTGGTGGTGGGCACCTGTAATCTCAGCTACTTGGGAGAGGCGGAGGTTGCATTGAGCCAAGATCCCACCACTGCACTGCAGCCTGGGTGACAGAGAGAGACTCCGTCTCAAAAAAAAAAAAAAAAAAAAAAGAAACTTCAGAGAATTCCTTTTCTCCTTCCCCCATGTGAGGACACAGTAAGAAGGCAGTCTGCAGCCTAAAAGAAGGCACTCATCAGAACCTGATCATGCTGGCACCTTCATCTCATCTGGTCTGTGGTATGATGTTATTGCAGTCTAAATGAACTAAGACAACACCAAGTAGTCTGCAAAATGCTGTCAGTTAATTAAAGAGACAGTCTCCTCTCATGCCCCCTCCCCAAAACCTTCTTGTAGTCAGTAGGAGAGAAGAAGCAAAAACTGAGAAGAAAAAGGATATAGGCTCCTAGCAGAGTATTCCCTGTCTCCACTCTAGGCCTTGGAGCTCTATGAAATTAGATATGAGACTGAAGTTTGAAACTGGTCTAAGACATTTTTCTAACTGTGAATTATATTGCACACACAAATGTTTGTAAAATGTATCCATACATGATGGAAGATGACATCGTCATCAGCAAAAAGAAACAGTTTCAATTCTTCCTTTTCTGTAGCATGCCATTTAATTCTTTCTCTTGTCTAATTGCTCTGGCTAGGACTTCCAAAACTATGTTGAAAAGAAGTGATGAGATAAAGATAATTTTAAATCGAAAAAATTCAGTATATTGTTGGGAGCAAGCCCCCCAAAGTCTGGCCATAAACTGGCCCCAAAACTGGCCATAAATAAAATCTCTGCAGCACCGTAACATGTCCATAATGGTCCTAACGCCCAAGCTGGAAGGTTGTGGGTTTACGGGAATGAGGGCAAGGAACACCTGGCCCACCCAGGGCAGAAAACCACTTAAAGGCATTCTTAAGCCACAAACAATCAGCATGAGCGATCTGTGTCTTAAGGGTGTGTTCCTGCTGCAGCTAATTCGGCCCATCCCTTCGTTTCCCATAAGGGATACTTTTAGTTAATTTAACATCTATAGAAACAATGCTAATGACTGGTTTGCTGTTAATAAATATGTGGGTAAATCTCTGTTTGGGGCTCTCAGCTCTGAAGGCTGTGAGACCCCTGATTTCCCACTTCACACTCCTGTATTTCTGTGTATGTGTCTTTAATTCCTCTAGTGCAGTTGGGTTAGGTTCTCCCCGACCGAGCTGGTCTTGGCAGTATATGAAATATGTTGTCTTTTGGCTCAGAATTTGGTCTTGGTGGAAAATCTATGTGCACTTGAAAATAAAAATGTGTATTCTGAATTTTGGTTATACTGCCCCATGAGTATCAATTACATCAAATTGGTTAATAGCATTGCACAGATCTTACATCATTAGTGAAATTTGTTTCCACTTGTTCTTTCAGTTAAAGAGAGATGTGTGCAAATCTCCAGCTGTATTTTTTATATTTCTCTATTTCTCCTTTTATTTCTGTTGATTTTTACTTCATGAATTTTGAAGTTCTGTGATACAGGTTCATACATATTTAGAATTGTACCTCTTCCTGATTAATTATCCATTTATCATTATGATATTTCCTATTTATCCTTATTGAGGGCCTGTTAGTCTGTTCTTGCATTGCCATAAAGAAGTACCTGAGAGTGGGTAATTTATAAAGAAAAGAGGTTTACTTTTGCTCACGGTTCTGCAGGCTGTAGAGGAAGTGTGGTGCTGGTCTGTGCTCCTGGTGAGGGCCTCAGGAAGCTTCCAGTCATGACAGAAGGCAGAAGGGAAGCAGGCATGTCACATGGCAAGAGAGAGAGCAACAGAGAGAGGGAGAAGGTGCCAGGCTCTTTTAAACAACCAGATCTCTTGTGAACTAATAGAATGAGAACTCACTAAATACCATTAGGATGGCACCAAGCCATTCATGAGGGATTCGCCCCCATGACCCAAACACTTCCCACTGGGTCCACCTCTAACATTGGAGGTCACATTTCAACATGAGATTTGGAGGGGACAAAACATCTAAACCATGTCAGGGCCTAATTATGTTAAGCACTCTGCTAGTCAATTTATATGTATACTTTTCTTAGTATGTATGCCCAAATAAGCCAGGATCAGGGTGGGAAAGGAGTATAATTTCAGGCATAGCAAGCAGCAAGTTTACAGACAAGGCATGAATGAGATTGACCTTTTTGACAGAAGTGAGTAATTGTGAGAGGGGTTGATGGTGCTGTTGCAATTTGTTTTTTTCCCTTTTCCCTCTAAGCTCAGTAGCATACAGTATCACTCAGTCTTGTACTGCTGCCCTACCTTCTGGAGTATGTTTATAGCAATGTAAAAAGCAAATGCCTCTTTACCATGATAAAAATTCACATTACAGTCATTTCTAATCTCACTACCACTCCCAGACCACACAGGCGCTTTCCTGATCTCTGATAAGCAAGATCTTTTCCAAGTGGGTCCCAAATCTACCTCTTTGTTTTCTCTCAAAACTACTTTCTCCATGGGAAAAAAAAAAAAAAAATCTTGTCTTGGTGGATTCCTGGATCTAAACATAAACATATAAACTCACCCAAAAGGCAAACAACCTAATTAATAAATGTGCAAAGAATTTGAATAGCCATTTCTCCAAAGAAGATATATAAATGACCAACAAGCACATAAGACAATGAACATTATTAATTAGGGAAATGCAAATCAAAACCAAAATATGTACCACTTTCCACTCATTACTAGTGGCAGTAATAATAATAATTTCTTTTTTATCTATTTCACTCATTAGTAATGATTTTTTTTTTTTTTTTTTTTTTGAGACGGAGTTTCGCTCTTGTTGCCCAGGCTGGCTTGCAATGGTGCGTTCTTGGCTCACCGCAACCTCTGCCTCCCAGGTTCAAGTGATTCTCCTGCCTCAGCCTCCCGAGTAGCTGGGATTACAGGCATGTGCCACCAAGCCCAGCTAATTTTGTATTTTTAGTAGAGATGGGGTTTCTCCATGTTGGTCAGGCTGATGTCAAACTCCTGACCTCAGGTGATCTGCCTGCTTTGGCCTCCAAAGTGCTGGGATTACAGTTGTGAGCCACCACACCCAGCCTTCAAATTTTTCTTTTAATTATTTGAATCACCTTTTCTTTAATACTTGGGACACATTTTTAATGACTATTTAAAATCTTTCTCTACTTAATCCAACATATGGACCACTTTACAATTGTTTATTACTGATTGCTTTTTGCTTCACGATGGGTCATATTTTTCTGTTCCATTGTCTAGTATTTTTAATAGTATATTGACCTTTTGACTCACATGTTGTAATGATTTTGGATTCTTCTATCTTCCTCTGAAGAGTGTTGATTTTTTTTTTTTAATCCAGTAAGCAGTTCAATTACTGTCTAATTACCAGGAATTTGGATAGGCTTGGTATTTTCATTGTGTTAAGACAGATTTGTGAAAAATCTGAAGTGTTCTCAAAGCCCCTAAAACATGAAAAAATTCAACCTCCAAACTCTTCTCACCTAGGATTTTCTAAGGCCGTGGTTGTAGGCTTACTTAATGTGACTCTGTGTTAAGTCTTACTCCAGAGAAGGGGTCAGCAAACTGCGTGAGCCTGTTTTTCTATACTACTAAGCTAAGAATGAATTTATGTTTTTGAATGGTTCTTAAAAAGAAGGACTAGTAGCAGGAAGAGAACAAGAAAGAGGATGAGAAAGAAAAGTGAGAGAGCTATGTGTCCCACAAAGCCTAAAGTATTTATTACCTGGCCCTTTACTAAAGAACTTTGCCAATCCCTGCTCAAGAGCATGGTCCTCTTTCCTAAAGCACAACCTTTCTAGATGCCTCAGCTCGATTAGGGGTATCAGCATAGTGTTAAGCAGATCTTTCCTTTCTGACTCTGCCAGAACTCCAAAGTCCTCCAGCCCCAAAGGACCTCTACTACCACTGTGTTTTGTTCAGTCCCACTGCAGGCACACTATAAGCCGTAGGTAGTCTAATCCTTTGTATTTTCAGCCTACCTCTCACTCAGGGAAGCACAGGGGATGTTCACATAGACTCAGAGTCCACTTTTCACAGCACTTTCTTTGATGACCTACTTCACAGATTCTAGGGACTTCAGTTATTTTGAATTTGGATCTCTGTCCTTTTGTTCAGCTGGACTACCATGCTCTGCTTGAATTCCAGCTCTTACATGTACTTGGATAAAAGTGAATAGTTAAGAAGTGATAGTTAACCAACAACTCATTAAAGTCTTAAAATGACATTATATGCTTGATATTATTATCTCCATTTGACAGATGGAGCAACTGAGGCATGAAGAGTTTAAGCTACTTTCCGTAAGTCACAAAAACGTCTCTTTTATCAAAATATAGGAGATAATATATATGTGCAATATATAAAAGGCATTGCAGCAGATTTAGTTAAGGAAATTGATGGACATAGAACTTTCTTATATACCTAAAATTATCTCCATTCTAATTGTAGGAAAAAAGGAAAGCATCTTTTAAATTTCATGCAGTACTGTTCTGTAGACATTCTAAAATAGATAGGAAATTTTCAAAGTCTGAGACAATAAAGCATATTAACTTTTGCAGCATTTAATTACTGGAATAATCACTGTAATTATTTGAGTTAGCCAAATAGATTTTACATATCTAAATAAGTATATAAGGTACATACATAGAGCCACATCGAATATTTAATAAAGTGAAAGTTATGCAATTGCTCATTTTCAGAAAAATAATGGTGACTGACACATGAGTAGCAGAATAAGATTAGGAAAATATTTTAATTCTATGAAGAATTATATTGAAAAGACAAAATATGATATCCAGTAAATTTGGAATGGTTTGCTATTAAGTTGGTGCAAAAGTAATCACATTGTTTTGCCATTACTTTCAATGGCAAAAACCTCAATTACATTTGCACCAACCTAATATAGTCTAGAGAAAACACATCGATTGTATTCTCTTAGAAATACTATTACTATTTTACCAAAGTTCAAGATTTGAAATTCAGTTTGTTTTTATTACAGATAGTGAATGAGGCATTTTTATGGCTTTAAAGATAAATCTCTTGGTTGGATAATCACAAAATAGTGAATTCTTCTATATCTTTACTATTTTTAGCCTTGCTAGATCAAATATTTCTTTGAAAATCTGATAAGAACTATGTATTATCTCTCCCAGGAAAGAAATGTATAGATGGATATACATAATATTTTATGCACAATTTCAGGGCATTCACACACTCCATTAACCCCATTATGAAACTAAGAGCATATTAAAGAGCACTAGTTTAGTATAAATGTTAACAGGAGGAAAAGGGAAGCAAAAATGAAGCCCGCCATGAATGAGAAGGGTGTTTTGGTTTATTTAAACATGAGACCGAAAATTTTGCAAACAAATAGGAAATCTCTATCATGCAATATTTATTTTTCCTATGAGATTCCACACAAATAACTGTACTTAATTTACTTCTCATTACCCAGGGAGCAGGTGATGCTCTTGTTTTACAATGATAAATGTTTAACTGAAAATGAAGCGTGCTGTTTTAATAATCTGTTGGGGAAAAAAATCCACCATGTCCATCTATGCACATTTCTCACTGGGTATATAAAATTGCAAAGCTTTCATCACTCTCTACCTGGACCATTTCTTGGGGCTGCATTTGCACAAAGAAACTCTAAGGATGAGGAATCATCTCCTTCCAAACAAAGAGCACGCTCACTTCTGCTTTCTATAAAAGTGTTAACATTTCAAAGCTCAGTATTACTCTCCTGGAAAAAAAAAAAAATCCACTGCATATATAGGCATCTACCATGGGCCCTTTGGGTTGCCGTAGTGGGACATGGGTGGCATGGAGATCCTGTATGAATCAATATGAAGCTCTGAGGACTCCTTTTTCTGTGAGTAACAAAGTCCTTTGTCTCTGACCCAGGTCTTCTCTCATTCTGTCAGTTTACAAGTAGTGTAAAGTCTCAGCCTCTGTCTGCTGTTGTTGACACAAACTACCCCAAAACATGGTGGCTAAAGAATAACCCTTTCTTATAGCTAAGGTTTTTTTTTTTTTTAGTTAGGAATTCTCAAGTGCTTAACTGAGTGAATTATCTACTACACATGGTGTCAATTGGGGCCATTCAGTGGCATTCAGCTGATGGCTGAGCAAGTCTGGAGGATCCAAGACAGCTTCGTTCACTTGCCTGATGCCTTGGCAGTGACATCTAGAAGACTGCACTCTGGTAGGAATCTCTCTTCTGTGGTTCAAATGCATCTTCACATGATATTTACAGCAGTGTAATCATAAATAAGCAGATTCCTTACATAAGTAGAAAAGCAGGCCTTCAACAGTAGGTGTTCCTAGGAGTGCCCTCGACAAGATGATGAAAAAAAAAGCCCTAGACTCTTCTTGCCCCAAGGATACAATGATTCAACAGTAATACACAGATCAATTCTCTTTGTGGGAAATGCAGAAGATAGTTGAGAGGCTCCTGCACTGTGAGTGAGTGCAAAACCACCCACATTGAAACCAGTAGGAAAACTGGAGAAATTCTCACACCATATTCCTCACCCCTGTAAGGAAGTCTCAAGATCCACTCCTCCTCACAGAAAATTCAATTATCAACTATCCAAAGACTAGAGCATCCTTTTGAAAACTCAGTACATGAAAGCAAGCCTGAGAAACCCGTGTGGTCCACAGAACAGAATAAAAGCCAAATGCAAAAGATAGAAAGAATGATCTTACTCTGACCTTGATGCCCCACCCCTCCACAACCTCAAGTCAGTACAGTGTTGGACAGAGAGGATTTCCCTGGGCCCACAGTTTATACAGGGGAAAACAGAATGGGAGGCAGTCATCTGGCATCCCTAGCACTTTGATATGCTTCCCAGGAAGCTGATTTGTCTCACCTCACTGAAAACACTAGGGTAAACAGCACACTTAAACCACCCAAGATCAGGTAGAAACAGAGAAAAGAGCCAGAGATCGTGACCAGCACACAAATCTTGGTAGTACCTTCATGTTCCTGCCAACTGTGGCACCAGATCATAGACACTAGCCAACCTCATAGCCCACCTGCAAGGCTGAGCCGGTTTGGTTGCCTTCAGAAGCACAGTGGGAAGTTTAACCTAGTTTGAGTACCTAGATTACTAGTCTCCATACCCAGCCTCAGAGCCTACCCTAATGACCCCACCCAGGCAAAGAGACTCCCACCTCTGTTCATTTTGGAGAATTTAAAGGACTAGGCTGGCTTAACCTGCCAAGTCAAGCAGCAGCTCCACTCAGCCAATGAGCCCAACCAATGACCTTGCCCAGGAAGGAAGACTCCTACTTCTGCACATTTTGGGGAAAGAAAAAGGTTAGATCAACTTGACCTGGGAAGTCAAGCAGCAGATTCATTTAGCCAAAAAGTTCACTCAACAACCCTGTCCCGGAAGGTAGACTTCCACCTCCATGCATTCTGAAGAGGCAAGGGGGCTGGACCAGCTTGACTTGGGAGGTCAAACAGCCACTCGCCTCAGCCAAAAGCCCACCCCATGACTCCACACTGACAGGGAGGCAATCCTCAATCATGTGGCAGTTCTAAGGGGCATAGCCCTTGGTCTCACACATCTCAAACAGCATCTCTACTTAATCTTGGAGCCCAGCCTGCAGACCTGCCCAACTGTAGGTCCCAAATAGTGGAATTGCCCAGACAGGAAATACACGTTATGACCAGCCTGAGTAGAAGACATTGCTATACCCAGCTAGTATCTCCACCTGATAACAGAGCCCAGCCAGTGGTCCTACCGGACAGTGCAGCCCATCCAGCAGCCCCATTTGACATCAGAGTAAAGGCAGTGGCCCAGCCAACTGCATGGAAAAAACCAGTTTGTTCTTCTAGAATCACAGGCTAGACTAAACAGTGAAGGCCTATCTCTGCCAAAGACTATCTATAAGGGCCAGAAGAGGGGGCTGACTCCTCAAATACACAAACAACGATGAAAGGACACTGAGATTATGGAGAATCAAGGAATCATGACACCTCCAAAAAATATGAATAAATCTCTAATCATGGACTCCAGAAAAATGGAGATCTATAAAATGGTAAAAAAAAAAAAAATAAATAAATAAAAATTCAGATTGATACACATAAAGAAGTACAGTGAACTACAAAAATATGCGGAAAAAAATTTATTGAAATTTGGAAAATAGTACATGAAGTTTGACAAAGAAGTAGAAATAAAAAACCACCAGACAAAAATCCTAGAGATAATAAATAAAAGGAATGAACTAAAAAAGTTATGGAGAAAGCCTGAACAGGATACCACCAAGAGAACAATCCATTGCATCATAGGAGTTGTGGAAGGAAAAGAAAGAGAAAAGGGACCAGAAAACACATCTTAAAAAATAAAAGCTGAAAAATCCCAGAATTTCACTTCTGCCAGCTTCTATTAGTTATGTCAGTCAATGAAAAGGAAATTAGGCCCAAAATCTTAATGGTAGGAGTGTTGTAAGTTTCCAATTATTTCTAAACTGTGTTGAGGCTCAGAAAATGATATCCTAAAATATGGCACTTAATATGCTGAACTGAGGAAGCCTTAAGGTATCTCTGACCACTCCCTCCCCAACCTCCTGTTTCTCAGCCTTCTGTCTCTCCCAAAGCACAGAATGAGGCTTTACTCTGATATTCCCTCACCTGCCTTAAAACTGGACCCTTCAAAAAAAAAAAACCACAATTGCCTTCCTCTTGCTCACATCTCATTATCTATCTTAAGAAGGAAGACTGAGGAATGCAACCACAAGAACTGACTTTTTCTGCAAGATAATGTCTGCCTCTCTGGCTCATTCAAATTCTAAACGGAACCATTTACAAGTAAATTTATGTATCCTGGCTCTATTCATTCTCTTTAATGACTATTTACTACTCCTCAAAAGAATTGCCTACATTCCCCATTTCCCCTCTCTTCTATGAAAGGTATACAAGCAACTGTACCACATTGGGTTATTCGGTAATCATTCTCTCGCAATTTCTCCATGCTATGGATGTTAAGTTAATTTAGTATGACTTTTTTTTTCCTATTAATCTGTTTATTTTCAGCTACCCTTCAAAAGGCAGAGGGGAAGCTTTTCCTTGGCCCCATAATTTTTTTTTTCTGAGACTATCGCTTCAATTTCCAAGTCTATCTGAGCTTATTATTATAAAAATATTTGGCTATAGTCTTTCATACCTGAGATTATAAATATATCTTATTTATCTACCCTGGTGAAATAAGTTTGATGCCCTTAAAATTCCTTAATGCGGGATGGGCGCGGGGGCTCACGCCTGTAATCCCAGCACTTTGGGAGGCTGAGGCAGGCGGAGCATGAGGTCAGGAGATCAAGACCATCCTGGCTAACACAGTGAAACCCTGTCTCTACTAAAAATACAAAAAATTAGCCAGGCGTGGTGGCAGGCGCCTGTAGTCCCAGCTACTGAGGCAGGAGAATGGCATCAACCCGGGAGGTGGAGCTTGCCATGAGCCGAGATCACGCCACTGCACTCCAGCCTGGGGACAGAGCGAGACTCCGTCTCAAAATAAATAAATAAATAAATAAATAAATAAATAAATAAATAAATAAATAAAATTCCTTAATGCATTTAACTGGGGGCTCGTGATTGGAGGTTGAGAGAAATAAAATAAGTGTTTAATATTTAGTACCATTGTTTTAATATGAGTCATCTTGTCTTTATTAACTCTAGTCAGAAGTCTTTATTAACTCTAGTCAGAAGACATATTCTATTTGTACTGTTAATTAAGAAGAAATAATCTATTGTTAATTCAATCTAGCATTTCATTTTGTTTGGAGAACTTTAACTATCAAGTAAGCTTAGTGAAAATCTCCTTAATATGCAAAATAATCATGTAAGCATGGGGGATAAGCCTTGGTAGTTGAAATGGGATCTTTGCTGAGTTGTTTTTCTGTTTTCTGGGAATTACATTTTTCCACATTTAGGCCATCGATATATTTGAAAATAACACAGTAAATTATTTATTATTTCGAGAACAATTGTAGAGCTAATACACCTGTTGCAATTGGGTTGTTTTTGATTCAATGATAATGATTGTATTGCTTGATATATGGCTTACTTTCTTCTGACTCTCAATTGTATCAATCAGAGTTAATGGTAACAGTTTAAAAATGTCTAAACCCTTTGTTTTAAAATGTCTAAAGGTGTAAAATGTTATTAAATGATTTAAAATGCATTATCAGAGATGTAATCGGGAAAGACTATCAGTTTGTGCAATAAAATCAACGTGAAAACATTCCAAGATCTAGGACATAGCTGTCAGGCCTCTGAGCCCAAGCTAAGCCATCATATCCCCTGTGACCTGCACATACACATCCAGATGGCCGGTTCCTGCCTTAATTGATGACATTCCACCACAAAAGCAGTGAAAATGGCCTGTTCCTGCCTTAACTGATGACGTCACCTTGTGAAATTCCTTCTCCTGGCTCATCCTGGCTCAAAAGCTCCCCTACTGAGCACCCTGTGACCCCCACTCCTGCCCATCAGAGAACAACCCCCCTTTTTCCTTTACCTTCCTAAATCCTATAAAACGGCCCCACCCCATCTCCCTTCGCTCTCTTTTCAGACTCAGCCTGCCTGCACCCAGGTGAAATAAACAGCCTTGTTGCTCACACAAAGCCTGTTTGGTGGTCTCTTCACACGGACACGAGTGAAATTTGGTGCCGTGACTCGAATCGGGGGACCTCCCTTAGGAGATCAATCCCCTGTCCTCCTGCTCTTTGCTCCGTGAGAAAGATCCACCTACGACCTCAGGTCCTCAGACCGACCAGCCCAAGAAACATCTCACCAATTTCAAATCCAGTAAGCGGCCTCTTTTTACTCCCTTCTCCAACCTCCCTCACTATCCCTCAACCTCTTTCTCCTTTCAATCTTGGTGCCACCCTTCAATCTCTCCCTTCTCTTAATTTCAATTCCTTTCATTTTCTAGTAGAGACAAAGGAGACACGTTTTATCCATGGACTCAAAACTCTGGCACTGGTCACGGACTAGGGAAGGCAGCCTTCCCTTGGTGTTTAATCATTACAGGAACGCCTCTCTGATTATTTACTCAGGTTTCAGAGGTGTCAGACCACGCAAGGATGCCTGCCTTGGTACTTCACCCTTAGCGGCAAGTCCCGCTTTTATAAAGGAAAGGCAAGAACCCCTCAACCCCTTCTCCTTCACCCTTAGCGGCAAGTCCCGCTTTTCTGGAGGAGAGGCAAGAACCCTGACCTCTTATCCCTATGCCCCGATCCCTTATTTCTGCGCCCGGACCTCTTATCTCTGCGCCCTGATCCCTTATTTCCACGCCCCGACCTCTTATCTCTGCACCCCAACCCCTTCTCTGCTTTTCTGGAAGGCAAGAACCCCCCCCGCCGCCCCCCGACCCCTTCTCCGTGTCTCTACTCTCTTTTCTCTGGGCTTGCCTCCTTCACTATAGGCAAGCTTCCACCTCCATTCCTCCTTCTTCTCCCTTAGCCTATGTTCTTAAGAACTTAAAACCTCTTCAACTCTCACCTGACCTAAAATCTATGCGTCTTATTTTCTTCTGAAATGCCGCTTGACCCCAATACAAACTCAACAGTAGTTCCAAATAGCCAGAAAACGGCACTTTCAATTTTTCCATCCTACAATATCTAAATAATTCTTGTCGTAAAATAGGCAAATGGTTTGAGGTGCCTGACGTCCAGGCATTCTTTTACACATCAGGCCCTCCCTAGTCTCTGTTCCCAATACAACTTATCCCAAATCTTCCTTCTTTCCCTCCCGCCTGTCCCCTCAGTACCAACCCCAAGCGTCGTTAAGTCTTTCTAATCTTCCTTTTCTACAGACCTATCTGAACTCTCCCCTCCTCACCAGGCCGAGCTAAGTCCCAATTCTTACTCAGCCTCCGCTCCTCCACCCTATAATCCTTTTATCACCTCCCCTCCTCACACCTGGTCCGGCTTACAGTTTCGTTCTGTGACTAGCCCTCCCCCTCCTGCCCAGCAATTTACTCTTAAAAAGGTGGCTGGAGCTAAAGGCATAGTCAAGGTTAATGCTTCTTTTTCTTTATCCCAAATCAGAAGCGTTTAGGCTCTTTTTCATCAAATATAAAAACCCAGCCCAGTTCATGACTTGTTCGGCAGCAACCCTGAGACGCTTTACAGCCCTAGACCCTAAAAGGTCAAAAGGCCATCTTATTCTCAATATACATTTTATTACCCAATCTGCTCCCGACATTAAATAAAACTCCAAAAATTAAATTCCAGTCCTCAAACCCCACAACAGGATTTAATTAACCTCGCCTTCAAGGTGTACAATAATAGAAAAAAGTTGCAATTCCTTGCCTCCACTGTGAGACAAACCCCAGCCACATCTCCAGCACACAAGAACTTCCAAATGCCTAAACCACAGTGGCCAGGCGTTCCTCCAGAACCGCCTCCCCCAGGAGCTTGCTACAAGTGCCAGAAATCTGGCCACCAGGCCAAGGAATGCCCGCAGCCCAGGATTCCTCCTAAGCCGCGTCCCATCTGTGCAGGACCCCACTAGAAATCGGACTGTTCAACTCACCTGGCAGCCACTCCCAGAGCCCCTGGAACTCTGGCCCAAGGCTCTCTGACTGACTCCTTCCCAGATCTTCTCGGCTTAGCAGCTGAAGACTGACGCTGCCCGATCACCTCAGAAGCCCTGTAGACCATCACAGACGCCAAGCTTTAAGTAACTCTCACAGTGGAAGGTAAGTCCTTCCCCTTCTTAATCAATACGGAGGCTACCCACTCCACATTACCTTCTTTTCAAGGGCCTGTTTCCCTTGCCTCCATAACTGTTGCGGGTATTGACGGCCAGGCTTCTAAACCTCTTAAAACTCCCCAACTCTGCTGCCAACTTAGACAATACTCTTTTAAACACTCCTTTTAGTTATCCCCACCTGCCCAGTTCCCTTATTAGGCTGAGACACTTTAACTAAATTATCTGCTTCCCTGACTATTCCCGGACTACAGCTGCATCTCATTGCCGCCCTTCTTCCCAATCCAAAGCCTCCTTTGCATCCTCCTGTTGTATCCCCCCACCTTAACCCACAAGTATAAGATACCTCTACTCCCTCCTTAGTGACCGATCATGCACCCCTTACCATCTCATTGAAACCTAATCACCCTTACCTCGCTCAATGCCAATATCCCATCCCACAGCACGCTTTAAAAGGATTAAAGTCCGTTATCACTCGCCTGTTACAGCATGGCCTTTTAAAGCCTATAAACTCTTACAATTCCCCCATTTTACCTGTCCTAAAACCAGACAAGACTTACAAGTTAGTTCAAGATCTGTGCCTTATCAACCAAATTGTTTTGCCTATCCAGCCCGTGGTGCCAAACCCATATACTCTCCTATCCTCAATACCTCCCTCCACAATCCATTATTCTGTTCTAGATCTCAAACATGCTTTCTTTACTATTCCTTTGCACCCTTCATCCCAGCCTCTCTTCGCTTTCACTTAGACTGACTCTGACACCAATCAGGCTCAGCAAATTACCTGGGCTGTACTGCCGCAAAGCTTCACAGACAGCCCCCATTACTTCAGTCAAGCCCAAATTTCTTCCTCATCTGTTACCCATCTCAGCATAATTCTCGTAAAAACACATGTGCTCTCCCTGCTGATCGTGTCCGACTAATCTCCCAAACCTCAATCCCTTCTACAAAACAACAACTCCTTTCCTTCCTAGGCATAGTTAGATACTTTCGCCTTTAGATACCTAGTTTTACCATCCTAACAAAACCATTATATAAACTCACAAAAAGAAACCTAGCTAACCCCATAGATCCTAAATCCTTTCCCCACTCCTCTTTCCATTCCTTGAAGACAGCTTTAGAGACTGCCCCCACCCTAGCTCTCCCTGACTCATCCCAACCCTTTTCATTACACACAGCTGAAGTGCAAGGCTGTGCAGTCAGAATTCTTACACTAGGACCAAGATCATGTCCTGTAGCCTTTGTCCAAACAACTTGACTTTACTGTTTTAGGCTGGCCATCATGTCTCCATGCAGCAGCTGCTGCCGCCTTAATACTTTTAGAGGCTCTAAAAATCACAAACTATACTCAACTCACTCTCTACATTTCTCATAACTTCCAAAATCTATTTTCTTCCTCACACCTGACACATATACTTTCTGCTCCCCAGCTCCTTCAGCTATACTCACTCTTTGTTAAGTCTCCCACAATTACCATTGTTCCTGGCCCAGACTTCAGTCCAGCCTCCCACATTATTCCAGATACCACACCTGACCCTCATGACTGCATCTCTCTGATCCACCTGACGTTCACCCCATTTCCCCATATTTCCTCCTTTCCTGTTCCTCACCCTGATCACACTTAGTTTATTGATGGCGGTTCCACCAGGACTAATCGCCACACACCAGCAAAGGCAGGCTATGCTACAGTACAAGCCACTAGCCCACCTCTTAAAACCTCTCATTTCCTTTCCATCGTAGAAATCTATCCTCAAAGAAATAACTTCTCAGTGTTCCATCTGCTATTCTACTACTTCTGAAGGATTATTCAGGCCCCCTCCCTTCCCTAAACATCAAGCTCAAAGATTTGCCCCTGCCCAAGGCTGGCAAATTTGCTATTCTACTACTTCTCAAGGATTATTCAGGCCCCCTCCCTTCCCTACACATCAAGCTCAAAGATTTGCCCCCGCCCAGGACTGGCAAATTAGCTTTACTCAACATACCCTGAGTCAGATAACTAAAATACCTCTTAGTCTAAGTAGACACTTTCATTAGATAAGTAGAGGCCTTTCCTACAAGGTCTGAGAAGGCCACCACAGTCATTTCTTCCCTTCTGTCAGACACAATTCCTCAGTTTAGCCTTCCCACCTCTCTACAGTCTGATAACAGACCAGCCTTTATTAGTCAAATCAGCCAAGCACTTTTTCAGGCTCTTAGTATTCAGTGAAACCTTTATATCCCTTTACAGTCCTCAGTCTTCAGGAAAAGTAGAATGGACTAAAAGTCTTTTAAAAACACACCTCACCAAGCTCAGCCACCAACTTAAAAAAGACTAGACAATACTTATACCACTTTCCCTTCTCAGAATTCAGGCCTGTCCTCAGAATGCTACGAAGTACAGCCCATTTAAGCTCCTGTATAGATGCTCCTTTTTATTAGGCCCCAGTCTCATCCCAAATACCAGACAAACTTAGACTGTGCCCCAAAAAACTTGTCATCCCTTCTATCTTCTATCTAGTCATACTCCTATTCACCGTTCTCAACTACTCATACATGCCCTGCTCTTGTTTACACTGCCGGTTTACACTGTTTCTCCAAGCCATTACAGCTGATATCTCCTGGTGCTATCCCCAAACCGCCACTCTTAACTCTTAAAGTAAATAAATAATCTTTCCTGGCAAGGCTATGCTGAACCTCTTTAAGCACTCTCTAATTAGATGTCCTAAATTCTCCCAATTCTTAGTCCTTTAATACCTGTATTTCTCCTTCTCTTATTCCGTTTAGTTTTTCAATCCATACAAAACCGTATCCAGGCCATCACCAATAATTCTACATGACAAATGTTTCTTCTAACAACCCCACAATATCACCCCTTACCACAAAATCTTCCTTCAGCTTAATCTCTCCCACTCTAAGTTCCCAAACTGCCCCTAATCCCGCTCAAAGCAGCCCTGAGAAACATCGCCAATTATCTCTCCATACCACCCCAAAAAATTTTCACCGTCCCAACACTTTACCACTATTTCGTTTTATTTCTCTTATTAATATAAGAAGACAATAGCAACTAATAAAAACTTAAAAGAACTCAAAGAAATTTTAAAATACTTGTGATATTGTGACTTATTATAAGAAATATAAATCTGGTGTTTATCCCCATTTCCTGGCTTACAGCTCCGAAAGCCCTTGCATTCTCTGAAGTTATAAGTGTCTTTTTGTATGCTAATAAGATGACTGATGGCTGGGGCCTCCTGAGCTGCCTCAGGATGAAGGCCAATTGCCAGGTAAACAACCATGTGATGAGAGGACTGAAACTTTCAGCCCCATCCCCTGAACTCCAGAAAGGGGAGAAGATCTGAAGGTTGAGTTAATCACTAATGGCCAATAATTTAGTTAATCATGCCTATGTAATGAAGCATACCAAAAATATCCCAAATGGCAGGGTTCAGAGAGCTTCTGAGTTGCTGAACATTGGAGGTACTAGGAAGGTGGTACACCTAAATAGGGCATGGAAGCTCCACGCCCCTTCCCCCTTACCTTGTCCTGTGTATCTCTTTTGTCTGAATACTCTTGAGTTGTATTCTTTTTTTTTTTTTTTTTTTTTTTGAGACAAAAATCTCACTCTGTCACCCAGGCTGGAGTGCAATGGCGCAATCTCGGCTCACTGCAACCTCCGCCTCCCGGGTTCAAGCGATTCTCCTGTCTCCACCTCCTGAGTAGCTGGGATTACAGGTGTGCACCACCATGCCGGGCTAATTTTTTGTATTTTTAGTAGAGATGGGGTTTCACTATGTTGGCCAGGCTGGTCTTGAACTCCTGACCTCAGGTGATCCACCTGCCTTGGCCTCCCAAAGTGCTGGGATTACAGGCGGGAGCCACCACACCTGGCCCGAGTTGTATTCTTTTAAAATAAATGAGTAGGCCAAGCGTGGTGGCTCATGCCTGTAATCCCACCACTTTGGGAGGCCGAGGGGGTGGATCACCTGAGGTCAGGGGTTTGAGACCAGACTGGCCAACATGGCGAAACCCCGTCTCTAGTAAAAATACAAAAATTAGCCAGGCGTGGTGGTGGGCGCCTGTAATTCCAGCTAGTTGGGTGGCTGAGGCAGGAGAATCACTTGAATCCGGAAGGCAGAGGTTGCAGTGAGCCGAGATCGTGCCATTGCACTCCAGCCTGGATGACAAGAGTGAAACTGCGTCTCAAATAAAATAAAATAAAATAAAAGAGTAATAGCAAGTAAAGCACTTTCCTGAGTTTTGTGAGCTGCACTAGCAAATGATTGAACCTGAGGAGGGGGTGGTGGGAACCTGCAATTTACAGCCAGTCAGTCAGAGGTACTGGAGGCCTACACTTGTGATCAGCATGTGAAATAACGGGCAGTCTTGAGGAACTATATTAGCTGGGAGTGGTGACACCCACCTCTAGACCCAGCTACTTGGGAGGCTGAGGTAGGAGATCATTTGAGCCTGGGAGGCAGAGGTTACAGTGAGTCGAGATCATGCCACTGAACTCCAGCCTGGCCAACACAGTGAGACTCTGTCTCAAAAAATAATAATGAGACCAGGCGAGGTAGCTCACACCTGTAATCCCAGAATTTTAGGGGGCTGAGGTGGGTGGATCATCTGAGGTCAGGAGTTCAAGACCAGCCTGGCCAACATGGTGAAACTGTCTCTACTAAAAATACAAAAATTAGCTGGACGTGGTGGTGCACGCCTGTAATTCCAGCTACTAGGGAGGCTGAGGCAGGAGAATTGCTTGAACCTGGGAGGCAGAGGTGGCAGTGAGCCAAGATTGTGCCACTGTACTCCAGCCTGGGTGACAGAGCAAGACTCCATCTCAAAAATAATAATAATAATAATAATGATAATGATAGGGACAGGAGGCAGGGAAATTTTGGGCAGAAGAGGGCAGGGCCCGGGCAAGGACCCCATCCTCAGGCTGAAAAGCCTACCTCTCCAGCATTTAAAAAAAAAAAAAAAAAAAAGACGAGCCTTATGCGCGCGTCTAATTGAAGACACAACCTGAACCGGCTAAGTGTGAGCAACGAGGCTGTTTATTCACCCAGGTGGGAGAGGGCTGAGTCTGAAAAGGGAGTCAGCGGAGGGTGGTGGGATTGGAGCTGGTTTTCTAGGTTAGGGGTAAGCTGTGGAAAGTTACAATGGGGGCCGTTTTTTGCCGGCAGGGGAAGGATGTCACATGGTACATTATCACAAGGTGGGAGGGGTCACGAGGTTGATTGATCAGTTAAGGTAGAGCATGTTACAATGATAGAATGTTGCAAGCTTGGCTAATGGACTAAGACAGGAACTAGCTGTTTTTCTTCTCTTGTGCTTTTCCTGTTGTCTCAGACTTTCTGGCTCCAGGAAACCTTCTGGATGTGTACGTGTGGGTCACAGGGGTCACGATGGCTTGACCATGGTGCAGCCTGCTCAGAGGACCTTACAGTGAGGGGTCCTGGCACAGTGGCTCATGCCTATAATCCTGGCACTTTGGGAGGTGAATTGCTTGAGCCTAGGGGTGGGAGACCAGCCTGGGGCCACATGGCAAAACCCCATCTCTACAAAAAATACAAATATTTCCTGTGCATGGTGGCGCCCATCTGTTGTCCCAGCTACTTAGGATGCTGAGGTGGGAGGATCACTTGAGCCTGGGAGGCAGAGGTTGCAGTGAGCCAAGATCCCACCACTGCACTCCTGGGCAACAGAGCGAGACTCTGTCTCAAAATAGTAATAATAAATTATAATAAATTATAGCCGGGCGCGGTGGCTCAAGCCTGTAATCCCAGCACTTTGGGAGGCCGAGGCGGGTGGATCACGAGGTCAGGAGATCGAGACCATCCTGGCTAACACGGTGAAACCCCATCTCTACTAAAACTACAAAAAATTAGCTGGGCGTGGTGGCGGGTGCCTGTAGTCCCAGCTACTCCGGAGGCTGAGGCAGGAGAATGGCACGAACTCGGGAGGCAGAGCTTGCAATGAGCCGAGATCGCGCCACTGTACTCTAGCCTGGGTGACAGAGCGAGACTCTGTCTCAAAAAATAAATAAATAAATAAATTCTAAAATACCAAGAAAAGGCAGCAATGTTTAGAAGCCCAACACTAAGAATGCTCTAAATTTTTTTTAAAAAGTGTTTTAACTCTACAGTGCAACAAAACAAATATGGAAAAGACTGTAAAACTCTAAAATCAGTCTGTTTATATCAGTGGTTCTCAACCATAACATTTATGCTTAAGGCACACTGTCTGCAGAATACCCAGAATTATTTATGCATATTTTATGGCACCATGAATATTATTTCACCCATTTCTTTCTTGCTCAAGAAGGTCTATCAAAATGAAAGTCAATGTTAATATAGGAATAATGTAAATTTCCTTTTGTTGAAAGGAAATAAATACAAAAAGATCTTTAGTACTTTCATTTTCACTAGTAAAAGACTACTGATTTTTCTGCCCGGAATATTTTTTCCTGACATCCTTTGTCTTGCTAAGTTCTAAGTCTTCCTTCAGCTCTTAGCAAGGAGTCACTTCTCCAAAAAGGCCTAGCTTAATACTCCCTGCTGACATTCCATTTAAATGAGGTCCTTTCTGCCAGATGGCTTGGGTTTGAATTGTTTTGTTATTTACTAATGTAGTCACTTTAGACGTTAGTCTCTGTGCCTCAGTTTCCTCATCCGTGAAGTCGGAATTGTCATAATACCTACTCATGGAGTTGATAATGAGGATCAGGTGAGTCATGTTAAATGCTGCAGAGAGCACCCACCATTTGGCATGTACAATACAAGTGTTAGTCATCATTTAAGCCCTATGTCAAAACATGCCTAAGATAAGACCCTCCCCTTGATTTTTCAGTTCTAAGAACAATAAATTCTCTTTTGTATTAGCCAGAAAAAAATAAGTCCATTCTATTATTCTTTGTCATTGCCCTAGCTATCTTGCCTTCATAAGACAATTTTTAATCATGTATATTTTCCTTTTATATTGTTGTTTTCCCCTACCTCTAGAATAGAAACTCACTGAAAGCAAAGATTTTGTCTTGTTCATTGCTATATACTGCAGTTCTTTGAACAATGCCTACCTAGCATATAATGGGCTCCCAATAAATGTTTTTTGAAGAAATGAATGCACGATGGTTTCACAAATACTTAATTATTTTTATTTTTTTTTTACTTTTTGAGACACAGTCTCACTCTGTCACCAGGCTGGAGTGCAGTGGCACGATCTCGGCTCACTGCAACCTCCACCTCTCAGGTTCAAGTGAATCTAGTGCCTCGGCCTCCAGAGTAGCTGGGACTACAGGCATGCACCACCATGCCTGGCTAATTTTTGTGTTTTTTCAGTAGAGATGGAGTTTTGCCGTGCTGGCCAGGCTGGTCTCGGACTCCTGGCCTCAAGTGATCTGCCCGCCTCAGCCTCCCAAAGTGATTACAGGCATGAGCCACAGTGCCCGGCCCACAAATAATTTTAATTCACAAATGGAATTGATGAAAAAAAGGAAAAAAAGTTTACAACCATTTAAAAACATTGCAGTTGGCAACCAATATTATTTGACTAGAGCCCTTCCAAGGATCAAACCATGACATAGATATAGGTTAAACTAGAAGGGACTGAGAGAGATAAAGATATAGATTGCACTAGAAGGGACTCTGATTTTGTTATGAGTTTGAGTCACAAAGTGAATATTATCTTCTGTGTTCTTGTTACAGTAGGTAACCAGCCAGGCATGAGTGGGGCAGGATAGGGCTCCCCCAACCTACCCACCAGGAATGTCACGTGACCATCAGGTGATGGTTCGGCAGTTATCACACTGCCTCTCTAAAAGTCATAATTGGCAACTAGTGCCAGGGAGAGGTAATCTCCTGATGGTCCACAGTTGTCAAACTAAAGTGATAATTGATCACAGGCACCAGGGAGAGGCAGTTTCCCGAAAAGGTAAAAACACTTGAAATTTGTAACCAGCTTCCAATAACATTTCAGGAATTGGGCGAGTGAGCCTGGGCATGTGCATTAAGAGACAAAATGGCAGAGCATGACCTTCCGGGGGCATTCCACTGGCAAAGGGAAGAAAGCTTCAGGTGGGCATGCATACAACACTGCACATGCTCACCTCCCAAGGGTAAGGAGGCCACTGTGTGTGCAGGCAGCTCATCCTTAAAGAAGAATGAAGGGAAAGGGGCTCAAGATGCCGGAAGTGGGCCAGCATATAAAGTCTTAGGATCAACTTAGGGTCAAGGTGAAATGGGGCACTTGTCCTTCAAGTCACCCGGTTGGGTCCCTTCCAAGTGCACTTTCCTTTCTTTCCTGCTCTAAAGCTTTTTAATAAACTTCCACCCTTACTCTCAAACTTGCCTCGGTCTCTTTTTCTGCCTTATGCCACTCAGTGGAATTCTTCTTCTGAGGAGGTAAGAACGGAGGTTGCTGCAGACCTGTATGGATTTGCCACCCCCTAACATTCTAAACGGGCACAAATATAGAGAGTCAACTCTCAAATTCATGATTTTACTAATTCAGTCAACAAACATTTATGAAGTACATGTGTGAGTGTGTGTAGGGGTGTGTGTGTGCATCAGGCATGGTATTACGCACTGGAACTATGTTTTAGCCATGGTAGGCCAGAATTATCCAGAGCAAGGCCACATCTTATTTGAAGTGGATATATACCTGAAAGGAAAAAAGAACTGACATATTTGTCAAGCAGCATAAATGTCTACTGTCAGGCCTCTGAGCCCAAGCTAAGCCATCATATCCCCTGTGACCTGCACGTACACATCCAGATGGCCAGTTCCTGCCTTAACTGATGACATTCCACCACAAAAGAAGTGAAAATGGCCTGTTCCTGACTTAACTGATGACATTATCTTGTGAAATTCCTTCTCCTGGCTCATCCTGGCTCAAAAGCTCCCCTACTGAGCACCTTGTGACCCCCACTCCTGCCCACCAGAGAACAACCCCCCTTTTTCCTTTACCTACCCAAATCCTATAAAACGGCCCCACCCCTATCTCCCTTCGCTGACTCTCTTTTTGGACTCAGCCCGCCTGCACCCAGGTGAAATAAACAGCCTTGTTGCTCACACAAAGCCTGTTTGGTGGTCTCTTCACACGGACGCGAGTGAAACCTACCACAGTTCATCCTTCCAGTTCAAAATATTTGGCTCATTATCCTTCTTGCATGCAAATATACTCCCTCTTTCTTTGAGGAAAAACAAACCATAAAATGTGTGTCCTTCAGGAAATAAAGCCTAGTATGATGGTTAATAGTAGGTGTCGACTTGACTAGATTGAAAGATGTCTAGGTGGCTGGTAAAGTGTTGTTTCTGGATATGCCTCTGAGGGTGTTGCCAGAGGAGACTGACATTTGATTCAGTGGACTGAGAGAAAAGACCCACTCTCAATGTCTATGGTTACCATCCAATTAACTGCCATATGGCTAGGAAAAAGCAGGGGGAAGAAAAAATAAGCAGTTTGCTGACTCTCCGAGCTCTCTCTCTTCCCGTGCAGAATGCTATCTTCCACTCATGTCCTTGGTCATCAGACTCCAGGTTCTTCTGCCTTTGGACTCTGGGACTTGCACCAGCAGCCTCCCAGTGGTTCTTGGGCCTTCGGCCTCTGACTGAGGGCTTCACTACTGGCTTCACTGGCTTTGAGGCTTTTGGACTTGGACTGAGCCACACTACCAGCTTCTCTCTTTCCCTAGCTTGCAGACAGCCTATTGTGGGACTTCACCTTGTAATCTTTTGAGCAAATTCTAATAAACTCCTTTTATATATAAATAAATGCCATTGGTTCTGCCCCTCTGGAGAAGACTAATACACTTAACGATCTCTGAATTATTGCCTACATCAGATATTCTCCCACTGAATATGCCTATACCCCAGGTCATGGTATATCTTGGGGTTCAGGGGGCCCCTTTTACATGGACACCTCTTTCACAGAATCATAGACTGTTTGAGAAGCCTTATCAAATTTGTGTCCCTCATGGGCCTTACAGATGCTTAATAAAACATTGGGAGTAATTATAAAAAAAAAAAGGGAAAGGAAAAAGGGAGTCAAAATGCTTGCCCCAGAAGAGTGATAGAAATTTTTGGATGGTTATTCACTATTTGCCCCAGATTGGAAAACTAAGAAAAAAAAAATCAGAAGGCAAAGGTTATCAAGAGAAATTTAACATTGCCTGGAGCAATGCTGACGCAAATTAAAATAAAAATTGACAAAAGAATCTGAATACCTTGGCTCAACTCTTTGCTGGGAAATGAAACCCTTTTTCACCAGAAGAGGTAATACGGTCTGGGGGTAGAAAAGAAAAGCTCCTGGGACCTTTTAAGTTCTGAACACAAAAAACATACAAGTTGGCCGGGCGCGGTGGCTCACTCCTGTAATCCCAGCACTTTGGGAGGCTGAGGCAGGTATCACCCACCTCAGGAGTTTGAGACCAGCCTGGCCAACATGGTGAAGCCCCATCTCTACTAAAAATACAAAAATTATCCGGGCGCTGTGGCAGGCGCCTGTAATCCCAGCTACTTGGGAGGCTGAGGCAGGAGAATGGCGTGAACCCAGAAGGTGGAGGTTGCAGTGAGCTGAGATCCCACCACAGAACTCCAGCCTGGGTGACAGAGTGAGACTCCATCTCAAAACAAAACAAAACAAAAACAAACAAAAAATGTACAAGTTAATAGAATTATGAAATTTGACATGTTTAAGCAGACTTTACGTAAGGTAGTTGTGACTCTACCTAAATGTCTTATGAAAATAGGTATTGTATCTAACTGGGGGATGTTTCCCCTATCTAGTACTATAAAATTGAAAGCATGTAAATCTGCTCTTTGAGAAATATGAATCGGACATGCTAAATGGGAACTAGTAAGATTACCTGAGCCCACAATCTGTAGGGTAAAAGCTGGAGTGCCAGTCAGGACAAATCCTCTCCTTCATAGCCTTTTGTGGAGCATTAATTGGGGCTTATGGCAAAAGACTGTGAGTACTTCCCAACAACAATGACTGGACTAGAGAATTTCCACTTGAGGGGCATTTACTGCCTTGCTATGGAATGTTAACTGAAGCTACTCCTATGCTGATGGAAGTAATGCTGTGCAAAGAGTTTCATGATAAAATGAAAATAGCTTACATAGGATCTTGGTACCTGAGTGTATTAGTCCATTTTCACACTGCTGATAAAGACATGCCCAAAACTGGACAAAAGAAAGAGGTTAAATGCACTCACAGTTCCATGTGGCTAGGGAGGCCTCACAATCATGCAGGAAGGTGAAAGGCACACCTCACATGGCAAAACAAAAACAAACAAATAAACAAAATGGCAGCAGACAAAGAAGAGGGCTTGTGCAGAGAAACTCCCAATTTTAAAACCATCAGGTCTCATGAGACTTATTCACTATCATGAGAATAACACAGGAAAGACTCACCCCCGTAATTCAATTACCTCCTACCAGTTCTCTCCCACAACACGTGGGAATTCAAGATGAGATTTGGATGGGGACACAGGCAAACCATATCACTCGGGATACAAGGAGGAGATACTCATGGACAGGGAGCCTCTTTTTTCCCTAGGACTGATTCTAACTATGTGAGGAGCTACTAGATTCTACAGTGCCTGATACAGACAGCCCTCATGAGCTGTTTGGCTTCTGAATGGCAGTTCCAAGGTGAAAAAACATCTTGTTTGAAAGGCTGCTGCTCTGATTAAAGAAAAATCAAAAAACATTTTTTTCTTTCTTGATACAATTCTATTTTTTTTTTCTCAACATAATTTTTTTTTTTTTTTTTTGAGACGGAGTCTCGCTCTGTCACCCAGGCTGGAGTGCAGTGGTGCGATCTCGGCTCACTGCAAGCTCCGCCTCCCCGGTTCACGCCATTCTCCTGCCTCAGCCTCCCAAGTAGCTGGGACTACAGGTGCCTGCCACCACGCCTGGCTAATTTTTTGTATTTTTAGTAGAGACGGGGTTTCACCGTGTTAGCCAGGATGGTCTCCATCTCCTGACCTCGTGATCCCCCCGCCTCGGCCTCCCAAAATGCTGGATTACAGGCGTAAGCCACCACGCCCGGCCTTCTCAACATAATTTTTTAAAGTTATTTGTAGTTAGAGCATTTGGGTGAAGTATGTTTATGTAAGCAAATTTACTTTTCTATTTGAGTTCCCCAAAATTTGCATTGTTACTTTATGACAATATAGTTATTTGCATACGTTTAGTAAGAGTCTTTTAGAACAGAACAATTGGAGACACTGATCGTTTTACCAAGACTTTGACTAAAATAGTATATTTTTAGGTAAAGTTCCAGCAAAGCCAACTTAAAAGGAGCCTATATAATCAATCAATTCTTGCTGCACTTTATGTGAATAATCAGGCTGATAAAAGAAAAACTTCAGCCAAATTAAACTTAAAGGAGTTTAATTGAGCAATGAACAATTCGTGAATCAGGCAGACCCCAGAATCACAGCAGATTCACAGAAACTCCAGGGGTGCCTCGTGGTCAGAACAAATTTATAGACAAAAACGGTAAAGTGACGTACAGGAATCGGATGTGAGGTACAGAAATAGTGAGATTGGTTGCAGCTCAGCGTTTGCCTTATTTGAACGCAGTTTGAACATTCAGCAGTCTGAGTGGTTGAAGTATGTCCACTGAGTTTGGCCAACACTCAGCAATTGTTACAGGTATATACTATTAAGTTAGGTTTTCAACTTTGTCTGACTATTCAGCTAGGTTACAGTTCATTCTCAAGGACTCAAATATAGAAGTATGGAGTCCTTCTCAGGCCATATTTAGTTTGCTTTGACAAAGCAAACTATAATAAGCCTAATACTTACGTTGCATACAAGCTGCTAGTATTAAAATTTCTCTTTAATAGAAAAAGAGGGCTAGAGAGAGACAGAGAAATTGTTTCAAAAGAAAAGTGTATAACATTTGTTACTAGATTTTAGCCCTGATTTTTGTTTTCCAGTGCAGAGTGAACCATGAATTATTTCTTGGCTACAATAATCCTCTAAAGGATGCTAGATTATAATTCTTATTCATGGTTTTAGCTGATGCCCTCATGGAATAGATTCATTTTTCTGTTCTGACACACAAGTACTCTTTGTCAAATTATTAATGTTTTTTATTTCTCCTTGTTTTATTTCCAGGGAAACCAAATCATGGTATTCTGAAGACCAGAGATGATAATCTCCCTCATTTGGCTTCCCACTGGGTCCGATCTGTTATTCACTACAAATGCCCAGCTGCTAAGACTACACAAGCACACTCCCTGTAGGCCCAGGAACTATTGCAGAAGAAATGGGTGTATGAGATTTTAAGGGCTGGTTTTTGAGGGATATAATTAAGTCAAGGTCACAACCTCCAAATGAAGTTTGGGTACAAAGATGCCTAAACAGCTGGTAAAACAATGGCCTTTGCTTCTTGAGCTATTATGGGGCACCTTTGCATCCACCCCAGCTATTAAGAATTTCCTTCTCCTGGGCCAGGCACGGTGGCTCATGCCTGTAATCCTAGCACTTTGGAAGGCTGAGGCAGGTGGATCACGAGGTCAGGAGATCGAGACCATCCTGGCTAACACGGTGAAACCCCGTCTCTACTAAACATACAAAAAATTAGCCGGGCATGGTGGTGCACACCTGTAGTCCCAGCTACACTGGAGGCTGAGGCAGAATTGCTTGAACCTGGGAGGTGGAGGTTGCAGTGAGCCGAGATGGCACCACTGCACTCCAGCCTGGGCAACAGACTGAGACTCCATATTAAAAAAAAAAAAAAGAAAAGAATTTCCTTCTCCTGTAGAATGAAAAGAAAATAATTTTTGATAGGATAAACATACGCCGTGACAAAGCCTCCTGGGTATAAGACTCCCAGCTATGAACTGTACAGATAGATATATATTTCTTTAAAAAAATGTTTTCCAAACAATGCTTGTGTTTTATAGAGCTAATTGCTATAAGTCTGTAACTGAAACCAAGATTACAGTAACTCAACAAATAGAAGTTTAAAATAAGCCAGCTTTGGGCCAGGCACAGTGGCTCATGCCTGTAATCCCAACACTTTGGGAGGCCGAGGTGGGTGAATCACTTGAGGCCAGGAGTCCAAGACCAGGCTGGACAACATGGTGAAATCCCGTTTCTACTAAAAATACAAAAATTAGCCAGCTAATATAATTTACTTTTTTTTTTTCTGAGACAGAGCCTCACTCTGTTGTCCAGGCTGGAGTGCAGTGGTGCGATCTTGGCTCATTGCAACCTCTTTCTCCTGGGTTCAAGCTACCTGGGAGACTGAGGCAGGAGAATCACTTGAACCCAGGAGGCAGAGGTTGCAATGAACTGAGATTGCACCACTGCACTCCAGCCTGGGCAACAGAGTGAGACTCTGTCTCAAAAAAAAAAAAAAAAAAGTAAATTTTGTAACCTCTCCTTTGGCTTTTTGTTTGTTGGCTTTCTACTTTAAAAAATAATAATAATTTTAAGGGGTAATAAATGCCTGTCCACGTCCATTTCTATCTCACCTAGAACAATTAGTTGGATGTAAGTCTTGTTGACCCTAAGTCCCTTGGCCACTTAGCCAAAGGGAGGGACAGAATGGACCCAGGGCAGGCAACCATGGCATCCCGGCAATGCTTACGGGACAAAAGCGAGGACTAAGCTATGATGTTTTTATCTTGCCCAAATTCCTATCTAAGGGGTCTGGGGAGTCATGCCGTACAAACTATAAATTCTCATCAGATGGTTTTTATTTAACCCTATATATTGTGACATACTTTCCAACCTGACTCTGCCATAACACTACGAGACAAGGAAGAAAATAAAAATATTTTACCCCAAAACATATTTCTTTGCCATATCTTGAAATGGCCCTGTAAAGCTGTTTTTTTTTTTTTTTTTTTGGTGGGGGGAAATTTGCATCTGTAAAGAATCTCTATTAACATAGCTAGATCTTTTTATTCCAGGCCCTCCCAATCCTAAAAAAATTAACTAAAGTTCTAGCGCCTTTTAAACATCTGAATAGGAAACATTTGTCATCTATTGTCTCTAAGGGAAGCCACTATAAGACTTCAAAAGAACCTTGATCTCCACAATCTTTTTTTTTTTTTTTTTTTTTTTTTTTTTTGAGATAGCGTGTCGCCCTGTTACGCAGCCTGGAGTGCAGTGGCACGATCTCAGCTCACCGCAACCTCTGCCTCCCGGTTCAAGCAATTTTCCTGCCTCAGCCTCCCCAGTAGCTGGGATTACAAGCGTCTGCCACCACGCTCAGCTAATTTTTTATATTTTTAGTAGAGACGGGGGTTTCACCATGTTGTCCAAGCTGATCTCGAACTCCTGACCTCAGGTGATCCACCTGCCTCGGCCTCCCAAAGTGCTGAGATTACAGGCGTAAACCACTGAGCCCAGCTGGTCTCCACAATCTTTTATCTTAACCTGTACATTTCTTTCTATCTATCCCAGGTCTTTAGACAAACTCAACCAGTTGTCAACCAGAAAATGTTTAAATTTACCTACAGCACTTTGAGTTGTCCCGCCTTTTGGACCAAACCAATGTATTTCTTAAATGTATTTGATTGACCTCTCATGCTAAAACCAAGTTGCACCCCGACCACCTTGGGCACTTGTTCTCAGGACCTCCTGAGGGCTATGTCATGGGCCACGATCACTCATATCTGGCTCAAAATAAATCTCTTCAAATGTTTTACAGAGTTTGACTCTTTTCATTGACAAAAGTACAATTTTGTGGCCATTGATGTTGCCTCTGAAAAATCTTGGCCAGAAAGGGGAGAATGTAAACGAAAAATAAAATTTAAAAGTCCTCCAGCAACCCAACTGAATGGACTCCCTCCTTGGCCAGGGCACCCTAAAATGTAACCTGAAAGACTGGTTGAGGCTGTGATGGGAAGTGGGGGTTGGACATGCCTCATTATACCCCTCCAGTATTAACATCGACACAAACCTTAAGTCTGTTAATAAACATTTACAGTCTGTTCTCTCTAATGCCTGCTACTTGGAGGCTTCATCCGTATGATAAAACTCAGGACTCCACAACCCCTATCGTAACCCTGACATTCCTTTCTGTAGATAATAACTCTTTCAACCAATTGCCAATCATTTATTTATTTATGTATTTTTTGAGACGGAGTTTCACTCTTGTTGCCCAGGCTGGAGTGCAATGGAGCAGTCTCGGCTCACTGCAACCTCCACCTCCCGGGTTCAAGCAATTCTCCTGCCTCAATCTCTCAAGTAGCTGGGATTACTGGCATGTGCCACCATACCTGGCTAATTTTGTATTTTTAGTAGAGATGGGGTTTCACCATGTTGATCAGGCTGGTCTCAAACTCTTGACCTCAGGTGATCCACTCACCTCAGCCTCCCAAATTGCTGGGATTACAGGTGTGAGCCACCGCACCAGGCCCAGGGTATGTTTAAATCTACCTATGACCTGGAAGCACCCACAACCCTGCTTCGAATTATCCTGCCCTGCCAGATAAAATCAATGTAAATCTTACCTGTATGGGTAGATGCATTGTAGCAGGACGAGCCACAGACACCGAGTTGAGGAAGGAGAGGGCTTTATTTGGCCAGGCGCGTCGGCAGAGTTACGTCTCAAAAAACTGAGCTCCCAAGTAAGCAATCCCTGTCCCTTTTAAGGGCTTACAACTCTAAGAGTGTCCGCGTGAGAGGGTCGTGAATGATTGAGCAAGCAGTGGGTACATGACTGGGGGCTGCATGCACTGGTAATCAGAACGGAACAGAACAGGACGGATTTTCACGATGCTTTTCCATACAATGTCTGGAATCTATAGATAACACAAGCAGTTAAGTCAGGGGTTGATTTTTAACTACCAGCCCCAGGGTGCGGCTCCGGGCTGTCTGCCTGTGGATTTCACTTCCGCCTTTTAGTTTTTACTTCTTTTTTCTTTGGAGGCAGAAATTGGGCATAAGACAATATGAGGGGTGGTCTCCTCCCTTAGCATTATGTCTCCCTAAAATGTATAAAAGCAAGCTGTACCCCAACCACCTTGGGCCCATGTCATCAGAATTTCCTGAAGCTGTGTCACATGCACGTCCTTAACCTTGACAAAATAAACTTTTTAACTTGATTGAGACTTGTCTCAGATCTCAAGCTCCTTGTCTCAAGAAATTCTCCCCGCTCAGCCTCTCAAAATGTTGGGGTTACAGGCTTGAACCGCTGCACCTGGCCACCTTAAGACAATTTAACTGGGAGGGAGTGTCTACTGAATTGTTGTTTTTCAAAGGCTTTCTAAATATTATATTTTTAAAGCTGAGAAGCAGTTATCTTTTATTTTTCAATTGCCAAAAAGATAGAAATTTCTTAACTCTCCATCCTTTTTTTTTTTTTTTTTGAGACAGAGTCTTGCTCTGTGGCCCAGGCTGAAGTGCAGTGGCATGGTATCAGCTTACTGAAACCGCTGTCTCCCAGGCTGAAGTGATTCTCATGCCTCAGCCTCCCAAGTAGCTGGGATTACAGGTGTGCGCCACCATGCCTGGCTAATTTTTGTATTTTTAGTAGAGATGGGGTTTTGCCATGTTGGCCAAGCTGGTCTTGAATTCCTGGCCTCAAGTGATCCTCCTGCCTCGGCACCCCCCAAAGTGTTGGGATTACAGGCGTGAGCCACCACACCCAGCCCCAGAATCATTTTTTGAAAAAGTGATGTTTGAGCTGAAATCTGAAGACTGAATAGTCTTTGACTAAATAAAATAGGTAACAAAATCAGATTTATCTTATGAAAAGTTTACTCTGGATTTAGTGAGGAAAGTGGAAGAGTGGGAACAAAAATGGACATGAATAAGATTGTTAGGAGGCTATGGAAATCATTTAGGTAAGAGGTAATGGTTGCCTGATTTAGGGTTGGTCCTGGTGGTTGGGCGAAGCGTCTGGATTTGAGAATTATTTGTGAAGCACACAATAGATGAGGTTCAGTTATGGATTGTGTATGGGAGATTAAGGAAAGGGAGGTCACAAGAGGGACTTCTGGGTTTCTATTTAACTGGATGAATCAATTATTATTATTTTAAATTGATAAATAATAATTGTATATATTTATAATGTTCAATCTGATGTTTGGAAATATGAATCCATTGTAGAATGGCTAAATGAAGATAATACTCATATTACATTATATACTTATTTTTTTGTGGTGAGAACACTTAAAGTGTACTCTGAGCAATTTTGAAGTATATAATACATAACTGTAGTAACTACAGTTAATAACAATGTATTATATACTTCCAAGTAACCAAGTTGTATACTTGGTTACTACAGTTAATAACAATGTATTATATACAGACCTCTTGAATTTATTCCTGTCAAACAGAAATTTGGTATCCTTTGACCAACATTTTCTCAATCCTCCCCACAAACATACACACAGCCTCTGGCAACCATCATTCTACTCTCTGTTTCCATGAGTACAACTTTTTCAGATTCCACATATAAGTGAGAACACGTGATATTTGTCTTTCTGTGCCTGGCTTATTTCACTTACCGTAACATCCTGCAGTTTCATCCATGTTGCCACAAATGACAGCATTTCATTATTATGGCTGAATACCATTCCATTGTGTCTATATACCACATTTTCTTTATCCATTCATTCACTGACAGACAGACATTTAGATTGATTCCGTATCTTTGCTATTGTGAATAGTGGTGCTGCAATGAACATGGGAGCACAGGTGTCTCACGGATAGACTTTATTTCCTTTGGATGCATACTGTGTAGTAGGACTGTTGGGTCATATGCTAGTTCTATTTTTAATTTTTTAAGGACCCTCCATACTTTTTTCCATAATGGCTGTGCTAATTTACATTCCCATCAGCAGTATACTATATCACAGTCTTTACAGCCTCTGATAGCAGCTTGCTAGTTGCACCCCTCCCAATCATTAAGCTAATGCTAGATAATTTAGAAATATGGTTTTGCAACATCTACTTCTATGTATCTAATTCTTGTTTCAGTCAGATAAAGTAGGTTATGCTGAAGTAGCACCACCAAAATGTTATCAGTTGAACACAACAACAGTATATTCTTCACTCATTGGAAGTGCTTTAGGTCCAGGTGAGTCCCTAGGGAAGCTGTGCTTTATATAGTGGCACAGTATGCCCTATTGCTTTAATCCTGTGACACCTTATCAACACATGTTCTCATTATATATGGGATCTGGGAAGAGAGAGCATGGAGAATTGTGCACAGGCTCTTAAATGCTGCTTAACAAAAGTGACACCTCTGATTACAGTTTATTGGCCAAAACAAATCACATCTGTATACTTAAATTTGAGAACAAATGTGTTTGAAAGTAGAAGAGAACAAAAAATCTTTAAAACACTAGCAATTGTCTGTCACATAATACAATGTACAAGACAGTCCTAATGATGTGATTAGACATCAGCTAAAAGCTGTGAATGAAAACCTCTGTCCTTGCAGGCTTATACAATACAAAAGTTGCTAGATTGACTTCAGTGTCTCTTTCATTTACTACCTTGGAACTTATGAGGAAAGTAGTGAGAAACATATGTAGCTAAGGTTATATAAGGGAGGTAGAGTTGTTTCCAGGATAGGAGGGAGGTAAAGGAACTAGACTACACTAGAGTAAAGGAAGATGGGTGTTTATGTGTGTGTATAAAACTGGCACTATGAATAAAACAATTTAAATATCTGCCCTCATCAAGCTTACATTCCAATGGGAAGTTTATATGTTTATGTTTAGGTCCAGGGAGCCACAAAGACAAGATGTGTGTGTGTTTTTTTTTTTTTTTTCATGAAGAAAGTAGTTTTGAGAGAATACAAAGAGGCCTGATTTGGGACCCACTTGGAAAAGATCTTGCAGTGATCAGGAAAGCTCACGTGTGGTCTGGGAGTAGTCGTGGGATTAGAGATTACTGCTTTAAAGTGACATTTGCATTTTGTTTGTTTGTTTGTTTGTTTTTTGCTCTTTCAGACGGAGTCTCACTTTGTGGCCCAGGCTGGAGTGCAGTGGTGTGATCTCGGCTCATTGCAACCTCCGCCTCCCAGATTCAAGCAATTCTCTGCCTCAGCCTCCCGAGTAGCTGAGATTATAGGCGCCCACCACCATGCCTGGCTAATTTTTTTGTATTTTTAGTAGAGAGGGGGTTTCACCATCTTGGCCAGGTTGGTCTTGATCTCCTGACCTGCCTCGGCTTCCCAAAGTGCTGGGATTACAGGCATGAGCCACCGTGCCCTGCCGACATTTGCATTTTTTATCATGGTAAATAGGCATTTGCCTTTTACATTGCTATAAATGTTCCCAGAAGGTAGGGAAGCAGTACAGGACTGTGTGATATTATGTGCTACTGAGAAGTAATGAAGAACTTAGAGGACAATTATGGGGAAAGAAGAATAGCAACCACACCATCACCCCTACAAACATTACACACCTTTATCAGAAAGTCAACCTCATTCATGCTTTGTCTGCATACTTGCTGTTTGCTCTTGCCTGGAATGACACTGCTTTCCCACCCCCATCCTAGCTTATTTGGGCACACATAATAATAAAATTATATATGTAAGGGCCTGGTGCAGTGACTCACACCTGTAATCCCAGCACTTTGGAAGGCCAAGGCAGGTGGATTGCTTGAGGCCAGGAGTTTGAGACCAGTCTGGTCAACATACAGAAACCCCACTTCTACTAAAAATACAAAAATTAGCTGGGCTTGGTGGCACATGCCTGTAGTCCCAACTACTCGGAAGCCTGAGGCATGACAATGCTTGAGCCTGGGACGCAGAGGTTGCAGTGAGCCGAGATCGTGACACTGCACTCCGGTCTGGGCGACAGAGCCAGGCTGTCTCAAAAATAATAAATAAGGCTGGGCGTGGTGACTCACACCTGAAATCCCAACACTTTGGGAAGCCGAGGCGGGCCAATCACTTGAGGTCAGGAATTCGAGACCAGCTTGGCCAACGTGGTGAAACCCCATCTCTACTAAAAATACAGAAAATTAGCCGGGCATGGTGGTGCACGCCTATAGTCCCAGCAACTTGGGAAGTTGAGGTGGGAGAATTGCTTGAACCCGGGAGGTGGAGGCTGCAATGAGCCAAGATCATGCCATTGCACTCCAGCCTGGGCGACAGAGAGAGACTCGGTGTCAATAATAATAATAATAATAAATATATAATAAATAAAATAAAATTATACATGTAAATTTACTAGCAGAGTGCTTAACATATATTAGACTCTCAATTCTTTCCTTTTAAGACTGTATGAAGGGAGCAGATTCTGGATGTTATTCTCTCCCCTTGGGACAGCTAGACCCACTAGATAATTTGAAATAATTGGTGGAATTTAAAATTCACTACTTTTCACAGTTCTGTGTACTAACCCAGGGCTTAAAATTTAGAGAAATGGGATACTGTATTTGAAATATTCAAAGAAGTTCTTAGTACATACTAAGCATCCAATGTCATTGTTAACTTATTCCCATGTATAGAAGAATATTTTTGGAAAAGCACTTCTTCAGTTTTGGAGAAACTTTAAAAATGCATTCTCAGCCGGTCATAGTGTCTCACGCCTGTAATCCCAACACTTTGGGAGGCTGGGGCAGGCGGATCACAAGGTCAAGAGATGGAGACCATCCTGGCTAACACGGTGAAACCCCGTCTCTACTAAAAATACAAAAATTAGCCGGGCATGGTGGCAGGTGTCTGTAGTCCCAGCTACTTGGGAGGCTGAGGCAGGAGAATAGCTTCAACCCAGGAAGCAGAGGTTGCAGTGAGTGGAAATCGTGCCACTGCACTCCAGCCTGGGCAGCAGGGAGACTCCATCTCAAAAAAAAAAAAAAAATGCATTCTCACACTTTTGTAAAACTCATAGCTGTTCCTCACCAAGTGATATGGTTTAGCTGTGTCCCCACCCAAATCTCAACTTGAATTATATCTCCCAGAATTCTCACGTGTTGTGGGAGGGACCCAGGGGAAGGTAATTGAATCATGGGGGCTGGTCTTTTCTGTGCTATTCTCATGATAGTGAATAAGTCGCACGAAATCTGATGTGTTTATCAGGGGTTAACACCTTTGCTTCATCCTTATTTTTTCTTGCCACCACCATGTAAGAAGTGCCTTTTGCCTCCTGCCTTGATTCTGAGGCCTCTCCAGCCATGTGGAACTGTAAGTCCAATTAAACCTCTTTTTGTTCCCAGTTTTAACTATGTCTTTATCAGCAGTGTGAAAACAAACTAATACACCAAGGCTATGCAAATTTGTCTGGAGCAAAGTAGTAGATTAAGACCCTAGTAATGATAAGGCTTGGCACAGTGGCTCACGCCTGTAATCCCAGCTCTTTGGGAGGCCGGCGCGGGTGGATCACCTGAGGTCAGGAGTTTGAGACCAGCCTGACCAACATGGTGAAACCCCATCTCTACTAAAAATACAAAAAATTAGCTGGGTGTGGTGGTGGGTGCCTGTGACCCCAGCTACTTGGGAGGTGGAGGCAGGAGAATCGCTTGAACCCAGGAGGCGGAGGTTGCAGTGAGTCGAGATCGCGCCATTGCACTCCAGCCTGGGCGACAAGAGCAAAACTCCCTCTCAAAACAAAACAAAACAAAAAAACTCCAAAAACCTAGTAATAATAGATTTAAAGTATCTGTCTCAGTGTCTAATATATAAGAAATTGTGGCTGGGCGTGGTGGCTCACGCTTGTAATCCCAGCACTTTGGGAGGCCAAGGTGGGCAGATCATGAAGCCAGGATTTTGAGACCAGCCTGGCCAACATGGTGAAACCCTGTCTCTACTAAAAATACAAAAATAAGCTGGGCATGATGGCGTGCGACTGTAGTCAGAGCTACTCGGGAGGCTGAGGCAGGAGAATTGCTTGAACCCAGGAGGTGGAGTTTGCAGTGAGGTGAGATCTTGCCCACTGCACTTTAACCTGGGCAACAGAGCAAGACTCTGTCTCAAAAAAAAAAAAAAAAAAAAAAGAGAGAGAGAAGCTTAAGAAATCGAAAATAAATTCCCTCCCCGTGTACACAGAAATTTGCACATAAAAAACCCTCTACTTACAGAATTTATCAAAATTATATACAAATATAAAATGGAAGTTGAGCTTTGATACTTGTTTTGTTTTAAAATCATACAATCTTGATAGCAGAAGTCAGTTTTTCAAAAGCCGGGATGTGTACCAGAGGAATATATGGGGGCTAAACAAATTCAGCTTTGAGCACAATGATATCAAGCATGGCAGCAGGATCAGCAAGGGGCAGGGAAGGAATGTGGCTATCTTCCCCAGTGCCAGTCAGTCTAGTGCTCTGCTGAGTCAAGTTATAAGAAAAGCAATAAAAGGAAGGAACAAAACAGAACGATTCAAGGAACAAATGACATGTCCACAATAGAGCCACTATGTAGCTTATATTGGAATAGTATATAAAAAATTATAACAGAAATTGCCACAATAAAATCCATCATAGACACATCTGGACAGGTCTGGGCAAGTTTAAGAAGACAGGCAGTCCATGTCTCAGGACCTAGCAGATGGTGAGAAGGAAGTGGGTAGTGTGACAGGGCAACAAAAAAGCGCATAAAGGGGAGGAAAATACATGACTGTTGCCACAGATAAACACTGGATATGCCATGGTGGTAAAGTGAGAAGCAAATTTTGCTATCCGGGTCTCTCTCTGTCTTTACACACATGCACCCAGCCATGAACATGTGCACACACACACACATCACCACCACCATCACCTTTGAAAAAAATCCTGAGTATCTTCTGAGTGCCATGAATACTGACAGAGTCAGATTATCTTCTGATTAGATAAGTGAGGTCAAAAATCCCATTGTTGACCTGCATTCTCGTGTTCCTTACAGAAGGTAATTCAAGTATCTTCTGACCTGCTCATACTTGCCAAGCTGGGCAAGAATGATGATGGTGAAGAGCAATTTGGAGAAAAAAAAATTATCAAGAGGGTGAAGTAAAGCAGTTCATCATGTTTGTTACCTGTCTGTTAGTGATACTGTCCTTTTGACTCAAGAAAAATCCTGCAAAGCTTCAGAGGAACTAGTGTAAAGGTGAAAACAGGGAGAGTGGGAAGCCAGCTGATCTGACCTCAGTGAGTAGTGCTGAGTTCACAATGTAGCCAGAATAACAGAAAAGAAGAGCAAGCAACTATTTTCACCACATCAATAGCAATGTTATTTAGATGTTAAATAACTCAAAAAGGAAGAAAATACAACTCAGACCAGAAGGAGGGTATGGTAGGCAAAATAATGACCCCTCAAAAATGTCCATGTCCTAATCCCTGGAACCTATGAATATGTCAGCTACGTTTGCAGATGTGATAAAGTTAAGGACTTTGAAATAGGGAAATTATTCTGGATGATCAAGGTAGGCTCAATGTAATTACCAAGGGCCTTAATAGTGGACAAGGGGGACAGAAGTGGTCAGAGTGATAATGATGAGTAAAGGCCTTGACCTATTGTTGCTGGCGTTGAAGAGGGAGGAAGGGCCCGTGAGCCATGTCATGTGGGTTGGGCTCTAGAGCTCAAAAAGGAAAGAAACTGGTTCATTGTGAAGATTACATAGCATAGGTACCCTAGTCCACCACGCAAAAGATCTGACAGTGCACCACCTAGTTTGGCCAGGCAAAACCAAGAATGTCTGAATTCTATCTTACACACTAGCTAGCATTTTTACAACATCAAACCTGAAGATCTATAATCATAAAGTCTTTGAGCAGGTATGCTGGAGGATGCTGTAAAAGGAATTCACATTTTCCTAGGAGGTTGAAAGTGGTGACACCTAAGGCTTATTTTATTTCTGATCAGCAGTAGCCATCTGGCCCCATAGTATCCCTCAGTCTGCAGCTTTAGAAGTTGCAGAAAGGATGATTATAACTTCGGGGAACAAGGAGTGAATTGTAGTTAGCACCTGGCTTTCCAATATAAATAAACTCTACAGGTCTGTGTTACCTTTCATAGGGCACAGGTTGTTTATAATAGAATGTGACATGTATGTTGTTAAACACTTTTATGTTTCATTCACTGTTGTATCTCCAGAACCTGGAGGAGTTTCTGGCATACAGTAGCTACTCAATAACTATTTCTGGAATAAATAAGTGAATGTTGGCTACTGAACACTAGAGACGACATAGATTTTACAGAAGGTAATTCAAGTATCTTCTGACCAGCTCCTCTATAAAAACAAGCCACCATCAGCCAATCTTTTCTTTAATGTATTTACTAATTTGTAGATAAGGGAATTTCAGAAGACATAGTATACTGAAACAAAGCAAGGTCTTTGACATGTGTGATTACTATTTTCCTGTAAACAAATATGGACCGTAGCTGAATATGTGGAGGTTAAAAAACAAAACAAATCAAATGTGAGCTAAATGCAAGAATATTCATGTAGATTAATTTCTGATTAAATAACCATATTGAAAGCTGCCTCATTATTTAATGAGCATCAATCTGGAGTGAAGTCCCTTGTGACCTGCAAGGCTCTATCCTTGTTGCTTGCAATTATTTATACATTTTTAAAATTTTGTATTTTTAGAGACAGGGTCTCACTCTGTAACCCAGACTGGAGTACAGAGGCATCATCATACCTCACTGTAACTTCAAACTGTTAGGTTCAACCAATCTTCCTACCTCATCCTCCAGAGTAGGTAGGACTACAGGCATGTGCTGCCATGCCCGGCTAATTAAAAAAAAAAAAAATGTAGAGATAGGGTCTCACTGTGTTGCCCAAGCATGTCTCAAACTCTTGGCCTCAAGTGATCCTCCTGCCTTGGCCTCCCAAAGGCTTGGGATTCCAGGTATGAGCCACCAGGCCAACCAAATACTTGCATTTAAGTACTTTTATCTGTGACTTATTTGGATGCAGATATGAGAACATGCTCACAGAATATGCAGATAATACATAACTGAGAGTAAGAGCCTCTATGATGAATAGCAGAGTCCAGATCCTCAAATGTCTTGCCAGCTTGAATAATGCACTGAATCTATGATGGTGATATATAATAAGGACAAGTTGGGGGAGGGTTAGCAACAATAAATTCAATGTGAAGCAAAATGTAGATATGGCTACCTAAAATGTAATGGCTCTTAGGCCATAATAGTGATATAGTATCTAAACTCCGCATAGTTTCATAACCACCTAGAATATCTGTTCTGGGAATCACATTCTAAAAGAAAATAAACAAATTGCATTGCATTTAAAGGAAGGCAAATAGAATGATGGAGCTGATTTCTAATATCAGATGGTGAGAACAGACTGAAGATATTGTTGATGTTATAAGAAAGGCAGAAGCAGAAGGTTGCATGACACTCATATGCAAATATTTTAAAGAAAGGTAGTAATAATATAGTGGGAAGGTGGATTCTAGAGAAACGCAGCCTAAGTTTAAATTCCAAGTCTGCCACTTCCCAAATTTGTGATGTAAGGAAGAAAAAAATAGTATCTTTTCCTCATCCATCGCAAGGTTCATGGCTGATATCCCTATAAAACAGATTAACAAGAGAAAAGCATACCAAACTTATTTAGCCAAAGTTTTATGTGACACGGAGCTTTAAAAAATGAAGACCCAAGACCCAGGGAAAACTACGTATTTTTATACTAAGTGTGATATAAGAGGTGGATAGTTGTAGAGAAATGTGATTGGACAAAAAAGGGGTATTATCTAATGGTAATAAATTGGGGGGAACTCAGTAAGGCCTGTGTCCTCAGATTCTTTCCTGTGTTTCTGTGTAACAATCTTTCCATCCCCCCGACCATCTCCCCCTTCTTTATTCCATACGGTAGGACACTTGTTATATGAGAGTCTCCAAGTCAGAAGGGAGGAGGTCAGCAAGTGACATCCCTAGGTTTCCCTTCCCTTCCCTTCCCTTCCCTCCCCTCCCTTCCCCTCCCCTTCTTTCTCTTTCTCTTTTCTTTTCTTCTTTTCTTTTTTAAAACAGGGTCTCACTCTGTTGCTTAGGCTGGAATACAATGGCACTATCTTGGCTCACTGCAACCTCCAGTTCCTGGGCTCAATCAATTCTCCCACTTCAGCCTCTTGAGTAGCTGAGACTACAGGTGCTCATCACTACGCCCAGCTAATTTTTTGTAGTTTTCGTAGTGTCAGGATCTCACCATGTTGCCCAGGCTGGTCTCAAACTCCTGGGCTCAAGCCATCTGCCAAGGCTTGGACTCCCAAAGTGCTGGGATTACAGGCGTCAGCCACCGCGCCCAGCCCCTTCCTAGGTTTTCTCATTTGCTTAAAGGGAGAGGAATTCTAGCTTCCCTAACCCACTTCAGGGGAGAAAGGAGGGTGAGAGAACACTGGAGAGACCTTCCTGCTTCTGTAGCCCTCACAATCTTCTTGAGTTAAAAATATTCAGCATGCGAAAACTTTGTACTTTTGGGTATCGTGTTCTGAATTCTGGCAGTGACCTTCAGCAAATTACTTAACCTCTCTTAAAGTCTCATTTTCCTCTTCCGTAAAATTTGTACATGAACAGCATGAAGCATGTCTATATGACATCAAACGTTTTTTAAGCCATATTATTTAATATTTAATAAATACAGCAAAAAAAGAATGTAATGTATGTTTTGACTACATATATTATGATAAGCATAGAAAAAGACCTAGAAGAATAATATAAAATAAAAATAGAGGTTACTTCTCTTTATAACTATTATGATGATGTACTGAATTATTATTTGTAAAGTACTCAAAACAATGCCTGATAGGTATCAGCTGTGACATAAGTATTTGTAAAACAAAGCACAAAGAGGTGTTGTCAGGATTAAAGAACTTAATGCATATAAAGTACTTAGAACAGGGCCTGCTGGATAATGAATACAAGAAGTATAGCTGCTATATTTCTGTAACTTTTATTTTAGTTTAGGGAGTACATGTGAAGGTTTGTTACTTAGATCAACATGTGTCACAGGGGTTTGTTGTACACAGTATGTCATCACTTAGGTACTAAGCCCAGTAGCCAATAGTTATCATTTCTGCTTCTCTCCCTCCTCCCACCCTCCCCCATCAAGTAGAACCCAGTGTCTGTTGTTTCCTCCTTTATGTCCATGTGTTCTCATCATTTAGCTCCCACTCATAAGTGAGAACATGCAGTATTTGGTTTTCTGTTCCTGTGTTAGTTTGCTGAGGATAATGGCCTCCAGCTTCATCCATGTTCCTGCAAAAGGCATGATCTTGTTCTTTTTTTTTTTTTTTTTTTTTTTTTTGAGATGGAGTCTCACTCTGTCACCCAGGCTGGAGTGCAGTGGTGTGATCTCGGCTCACTGCAACCTCCACCTCCAAGGTTCAAGTGATTCTCCTGCCTCAGCCTCTCAAGGAGCTGTGTGTGCTACCATGCCCAGCTAATTTTCATATTTTTAGTAGAGATGGGTTTTCACCATGTTGGTCAGGATGGTCTTGAACTCTTGACCTCAAGTGATCTGTCTGCATTGGCCTCCCAAAATGCTGGAATTACAGGCATGAGCCACTGCGCCCAGCCAGATCTCATTCTTTTTTATGGCTGCATGTTTTTTAAGGACTGTAATGTGAAAGTGGGATTAGACTTGACCTCCAAAAACAGTGTTCTAGGAAAATAGCAGAAATGTATAAGGAGTTGCATCTCAACAGACAAAAGAACTTTTCAATAGTAAGAGTTTTCCACTTGTGCTGGTGAGGGTATATAATCTGTACTCTTGATTCAGATAGATATGTTTAAATCTCAATTCTTTCCTTTTTGAGCTTTGATTTTTCTCACCTATAAACTGGGCAAACGTTGAAAGTAATTCTAACTATTAAATAAGAATATTTTAAGAGGATCATTGTCTTATTCTAGAACAGTGTCTGGAACTTAGTAGGCACTCAATAAATATTTCTTGAATGGGTTTGCTAAAAGAAAATGCTTCAGTGTTAGTTACCGTAGGATCAGGGAGAGCTTCCACCTTGGCCCTCTGAAGGTTCACCAAAAAATTGAGAGAGGAGAAAGGAAAAAACCCAGTCAGGCAGGCAGTTAGTGTGGGTCCTTGGATGAATTCTTTCAAACAAAAGAACAGCCTGCTGGCACAGATAAGGGAACTTGCACAAGGGGGCTTGCCTAAGCCATGGCCACAGCTACACAGACAAGAAAGGCTACACAGCTGACTTGCCCAGACATGCCCGCAATGGAAAATTCTGTCCCCTGGCACGTGCGCACAGTAAGGAGAACAAAGCAATATGGAGTAACTCAAGCTGAGGGCCTGCATGCACATTAGGAGGATTGGGTGGAGCTACCACAAATTTGTGCCTTATGCAAATAAGACGCCCAGCCCTCATCAGTTTCTTATAAAAGCCTTTGCGTTCAATTGCAAAAATGGCAACCCTCCTCCAGGACTCCTCTCTGTGGCAGAATGCTTTCTCTCTTTCTTTCACTTTTTTAACTTCTGCTCTAACCTCACTCTTGGTGTGTCCACGTCCTGGATTTTCTCGCCATTAGACAAAGATCTCCAGGTAATACCTAACAACAAGAGACTGCTACATTGTGGTGCATTGGCGAGACTGTAACAAAATCAACTCACAAAAGACAGATTAATTGGAGAAAAGGCAAATTTGTTTAACATATATACACGGGAGCCTTCAGAATGAACACCTAATCCCCCAAGGATGTTCGGGAGCTTATATACTCTTAAAAGAAAAACTTCAGTTGAATTAAATTTAAAGGAGTTTAATTGAGCAATGAATGATTTGAGTTTGAACACTCAGCAGTGTATGAATGGTTGAAGTATGACTGCTGGGATCAGCCAAGACTCAGCTATTGCTACAGATGCATATTCCTAAGTTAGGTTTTCAATCTTGTCTACCTATTAAGTTAGGTTACAGTTCATCCACAAGGACTCAAATATAGAAATACGGAGTCCTTCTCAGGCCATATTTAGTTCACTTTTACAATACCATCCTGATAAAATAGGTTATGGAAGGGTGGAGAAGAGGAATTCTGTTGAGGGAATTACGAGGGAGAATGAATGGATCCAGGAATAGAGATTAACTTGTAAATAGTTCTGTTTGACCGTGCAAGGGTCTGTTCAGGTGTGGTTACATTCTTGGTCTTATAGGGAGGGGAAGAAAAAACAATTTTTCTCCTTGGTGGGTCTGGATATTAGGCAGATAAAGGAACTTCAGCTTCTTTGGGAGAGGCTATGGGGGCAGTGGGGAAGGTCAGAGAGACCTTGAGAGTTCTTCAGTTCAGCATGTCAACACCTATTTGGGGATATTAGTTTCTGAGCCCCAACATTATCTTTCCTATTTCCTGACAAAAATCCAATCTTTATAGAGATTTCAAGAAACACTTCAACTTGCAAAAAAGAGGCATGGAAAGAATGGGACTGTTTATAATAATGAAAAATGGGGAAAAGAAAACTAAAAGGAGAAATTCACAGCTAAGTACAACCCATGCAGATGAAAGTTCATTTCTCAGATAGTGTCTTTGTAAGTTGGAGGGGGAGGGTCGAGATCTCTTCTCCTTCTCTTCAATATCCCTTTCCTCCAAGGCCATCCAGGAAGCCTTACACAGTAAAACACAGTTTAGGAACTAACACCTTTAAAGGTCTCAGGGATTTGAATAGATTGAAATTGTCTGAGGGAATGTGTTTTCTGAATCGTTTTTGATAAGCCATTCAAAGAAAAGAGAAAGAGTCCTTCAAATGACTCTCTATACCAACTTTTCCCCTGATGAAACACCTGTTTTCAGATATTATTCTTAACTTTTCAATGAAAGACTCAGGAATGAAGAAAAATAAGAAGCACAAAATAATAAAAAGAACAGAAAAAGAGATTATTATATGCAAAGGATCTGAAAATTGCCCTGGGAACCAACAGGAAGTTGATATGTCCCAGTGCCCCAGGAGAATCAAGGAGGTTTTTAAATCAACTAGATGGAGAATGTGAACGAAGTGCAACATTTATCTATACATCGACAATACTTTTCATAGTAATGTTTTATTGCATGAAATGGCTGTTTTTTCTTTTTTCTTTTGTTTTGAGACAGACTCTCACTCTGTTGTTCAGATTAGAGTACAGCAGAGCCATCTCAGCTCACTGCAACCTCCGGTTCCCAGGTTCAAGCGATTCTCCTGCCTCAGCCTCCCGAGTAGCTGGGACTACAGGCGCACACCACCATGCCCGGCTAATTTTTGTATTTTTAGCAGAGACAGGGTTGCCCAGGCTAGTCTTGAACTCCTGGCCTCAAGTAATCCACCCGCCTCAGCCTCCCAAAGTGATGGGATTACAGGCATGAGCCACTGTGCCAGGCACATGAAATGGCTTTTTAACTGTAAAACAAACAAGGAGATGAACAAAATTGGGATGATTTTAGTCTTCACGTGATATTTCTCTCCTGTGAAAAGAAAAAGATGCAAGGGTATTGAAAATCTGCTGATTCGGTTGCTGCAATGCAGTCTTGAAATCTCATTGCCAATTTAAGTAGGATAGCAGGGGAAAATATTTTATAGATTCAAAGAACAGCTTCTGTCACTTTTTCAGCCTCTCCTTTTCCAAAGGCCAAATGTTAGGATAAGTTGTGTTTATGTTGTACAACGTTTTTTAATTCTTAAACTCTAAAACCTCCTCCAAGTTAAGCAGATTTCAAGGGCTGAGAAACAAAAGTGAGTGAACAAAGGAAGCAAGTCTGACCACCAAGGGGAAAAGAGGCGGTAATAGCAGCCTGCAGCATTTCAGGTCTTTTCAATAGTGCCCAGTGCCCCTCGGGAAACAGAATATAACTGGAAATTGCCAATTAAAACATGAAGTCAGAATTGCAGATTTTCCAAACAGGTGATTTCTCTGGCATGCTATAAGGCTGTGCAGAATCAGACTTGAGACCCTGAATTGGATAGCATATGGGGAAAATATAATTTGCAAGCAGAAGTTAAATTTGTTTTCTATTTAAAATTTCACAGGACCTGGAACTGATTAGTCCTTTCTTTATGGAAAGCAGAAAATGAGAAAATCAGGGTAATGATCATTAGTGAAATGTGATACACATTGATATTCTGTAACCAGCCGAACTACAGGTGATTAATCATTAAGGCAATCACATATTCTTTACTATTTTTAGGAATCTCAGATATTTCCATTATAAATGCACAATGATGAAAGTGCCTCTTTAGAAGCAGCTGATCGTTAAATGGGTTATAAGCTAAATGAAATACAAATCAGCTAACATTTTAAATTTACTGTCATTATTACATAAAAAATGCTTTGGCTTTTAATATATATAATCTGTTAAATGAGAGAAAGCTATGTATATCTGTAAGTAAATAACTTGTTTATGTTCAAAATTTAAACTCATAAAGTTTGGAGGGTTTTTTTTTTCTTATATTCGGACACAAACCAGATACTGAATTAAAACAAAATTTTTTTCTTTAAGTTTTAAAAAGAGGGAGAATTTACTTAAAGTATATAAAAGAGTAGACTCTGTGGCAATCATAGCAGTGACTCAAAACTAAGAAAGAAAAAAATTTGCTATTGCTACACGTCAAGTAACAAAATTAGATGAAGAATTTTGCTGTTGCCCAGAAGTCAAACATTAAAACTTTTAATTCTTAAAATATTTTTATAGGTACTATTGGAAGTGTTACTAGTAAAGGTAAGAGTGTTTGATAGTTCCACAATGTGAAGATACGCTAAATACGTGGTAAATGAAGATTCATAATATCTATATGTGATTATTCATGTAAAGGTAAAGAATCATACATTATTTTAATACATATTTTTCTCTCACTTGTTTCTTCCATATTTTCTTTGTAATAGTGGAAAAATATATATGGGGGCCATCTAGTGGCCAATGCAATACTTTTTTTTTTTTTTTTTGGCTTTGAAATTAATTATTAGTTTTCCAGAATTGTATTCTATCTCTTCTGCTGTCAAAACAAGGAGAGATAAACATGATTTCCATGATGATAAGAATCCCTTAGTAGGTGTTTTCTCCATTGAACTGTCTGGATGTCATCCTTTAAAATTTGTTAACCGGTGGTGGAAGCTGGGAGGTGGGGGAAACATGAATAATGACAAAAGCCTTAAATGTCAAGAGAGATTTGCTTAATCAGTTCAGTATTTAAGCAACTTGATCAGCAAAGGTGCTTGGCTTTAACAGTTTTTTAAAGAATCATTTTTGAGTGCAGGTTTAAAATTGCATTACTACCAATCCGAGTGACATAGTAAATCAATTGAGGACAGGGCTGTAATATTCAGCAGGTATGCACTTCAACTGCTGAGGCTTCACAGCTAGTATCTCTTCTGATCTGTTAGTGCTTCTGCTGTGCCTGTTGACTATCATGTTGAGTGGTGGATGTGAAATATCTATGTATAGAGGAATATGCCTGTGCCTAGTTCCTATAATAAATCAGGCAAATTATCTAACCAGAATCTTGCTGTTCATTTAAGAACTACAGTTATTTCTGCCTTCTTTTCTCATCCCCGGAAGCAACCAACTTTAACAGTCTCTTGTATATCCTCTTTGAAAGGTTTATGACTATACAACCATCATTTTTATTATACAAAGTGTATCACACATACTATCTTGCTACTTTTTATCCACTTAATATATATTTGAAGATACTTCCCTTCATGTTTATAAAGAGCAGGTGTCTTCTTTTTGAATTGTTGCAAGCTACTCTAATGCATGGATGTACCAGGATTTATTTAGTCCTCTACTGATAGGCATTTAACTTGTTTCTAATCTTTGGTCAGTACAAAAAAGTACACAAACAGCATCCTTGTACATATTTCTTTGCTTATACATGACAGTATTTTTTTTACTACGTTCTGTCTACCTCTTTATAACTCTTTTATTTTTATTATTTTTTATTTTTTTGACACAGTTACAGGAGTCTGCCTCTTTTTAAACATTTAATACTTACTATGTAGAAGGCAAAGGTGCTCCGCTAGGTGTTGGGAATGCAAAATAGTCTAAGACAGCGGCTCTACACTCATGACATTTTTAATGGAATTGGATAAACAAGATGCTGATAAAGATAAAGAAGCAAAGTAATGTATGATTTCTAATTTATGGATGATACTGCAAGTTTAGAGTCAGAGGAACTTAGAGAACAAAAAGATCATTTGAGTCTGCAATAGTATGAGGCAATGGATGGGAGTTGAGCTATTCTCTAAAGCAAGGGCAGGCATTAGATAAAGGAATAATAGAAGGGAACATATCCAGGCAGGAAAAACAGTGTGAAAAAATCATGGAAATGGAAAGGTACATTGCATGTTTTGCAGGATACCATTTTGGTCAATTTAGGGTAATGACATATCGACAACAGTAAAATTCAAGCAAAAGCGATTCATACTTCCAAAGAGTATTTTTGCTATAAAATTGTTCTAAACTAAGCCCAGTTCAGCAGACAACAAAAAAACCAAAACATGAACATTGAATCATAGCAACCCCTAGCTTTCTTCACTAAAATTATTTTAGGGTCATTTTTCTATGTCCAAAGAAAATGTCTGGAATTACCTGGTTTTGGCACTTTGATTTTGTAAATCCTCTTGAGGAATTGCTCAGTCAACAACCCTATTGAATATCTATCATGTACTAGATGCTAAACCTACCGTATTGAGTAAGACATAAAACCTGTCCTTGAAGAAACAAGTATTCATGTCTTTTATTTTATTTTGTTATTATTATTATTATTGAGATGGAGTCTCTTGCTCTGTCGCCCAGGCTGGAGTGCTATGGTGTGATCTCGACTCACTACAACCGCCGCCTCCCAGGTTCAAGTGATTCTCCTGCCTCAGCCTCCCAAGTAGCTGGGATTACAGGTGTGCACCACCATGCCGGGCTAATTTTTGTATTTTTAGTGGAGACCAGGTTTCGCCATGTTTCCCAGGCTGGTCTCCAACTCCTGGGCTCAAGCGATCCACCTGCCTCCCAAAGTGCTGGGATTACAGGTGTGAGCTACCGCACCCAGCTTCTTGTATTCATGTCTTATCTCTTCACACTCCTCTTTCCCTTCTCAACATATGACAACCTGGAAATAGCTAACACAGGCCTCAGAATTTGATTATAACGTCAATAGTTCTATTGATCTCACTCCATAATTTGTAGAGAGATTAGTGTTTATTAAAAGCAAAGAAAAACAAATCAAAAAAAGAAAAAGGCCTTAGTAAATTCGGGAGGTAGTTTTTAAGGCAAACTGTTCAAAGTAAATCCAGTACTTTTTTATTATTATTGTTATGATTATTATTTTGCCAAACAAGATATGGTAACTTGAACAATAAAAAATAAGACACATTTGTGTCTGCATTAGCAAAGGTAAATGCTAGTTTGTTGACAAAGGTTAAAGTAAAAAAATTCTCAGTGGATTACAATGGAAGTTTATTTCTCACTGATATTAAGTCCGCTCGGTAGTTGTGGAAAGGTAATGCCCATGTAGCTAATCTGGGACTCAGTCTGTCAGAAGCTCTCTCATCTTCAACGTGAATCTTCAAATGTCACACAGGAATTCAACAACCAGCTGGTAGATAGGGGAAGAGAGAGTGTATTATTACATCAGAAGTTTTTATGGGTCATGGACCATGTCTGGAAATAACAAAAATAGTGTTACTTCTGTTTCCATTAGCTAGAACTCAACCACATCACCCCCATCTAATTCCAAGACAGCCAGAAATGCAGACTTTAACTAGGCAGCCACTATTCAATTATAAGTTTACAATATGGATCAGGAGCAAGAATCTTTGGTGGATAGCTAGTCATCTCTTCACAGTGTCCAGTCTCTTCTAAAACAATCTGATTTAGGGCATTCTTATTTGTTTGCATTATTTTTTTCACTAGAACTATTTGCTTAAGAGTGATTGATAAGAAAATATAGTGAAAGTTTGCATAAACTTCCATGCCAAGGGTATGATTTCTAGTCAGAACCTTCCTGCAAAGTTTTCTGAGTATACAATATGGCATAGGCAACAAAATGTGAGTCCATGTTTCTCTAAAAAAATGGTATTTTCAATGGGTAGATAATTTATTAGTAGCCTGTAAAAGGATTCTTTTCAATGTATTTCTCTGTTGCTGTAAAAGTCAACCTCCAATTTAAAACCAGGCCAATCATAAAAAATAATTCCTAGGGCTGACAAAAGAGATGTTTGCTGTATAATTCACTATCAAGTTTAAAGAATGCATAGAAAAAGGTAATAGGATACCCGAGATTTTTTAAAGACCTATTGAAATTTGTATGCTTTCAATTAATATAGCAATATGGTATCTCTATATGGATATAAAACTTCTCAAGTTATTTTTGTTAAGATTCAGTTTTTGAAAGCAGACTACTAAAAACATGTATAATTCTCCATTTGTGACATCTACTGGGGAATATACACACAAATGTATCCATATAAAAATATTTGTATTTCAAAAATCCAAAGAGCTAATAATTTTTTTCATTATACTTTAAGTTCCAGGGTACATGTGCACAATGTGCAGGTTACATATGTATACATGTGCCATGTTGGTTTGCTGCACCCATTAACTCATCATTTACATTAGATATTTCTGCTAATGCTATCCCTCCCCCATCCCCCCACCCCACGACAGGCCCTGGTGTGTGATGTTCCCTGCCCTGTGTCCAAGTGTTCTCGTCATTCAATTCACACCTACGAGTGACAGCATGCAGTGTTTGGTTTTCTGTCCTTTCAATAGTTTGCTCAGAATGATGGTTTCCAGCTTCATCCATGTCGCTACAAAGGACATGAACTCATCCTTTTTTATGGCTGCATAGTATTCCATGGCATATATATGCCACATTTTCTTAATCCAGTCTATCACTGACGGACATTTGGGTTGGTTCCAAGCCTTTGCTATTGTGTATAGTGCCACAATAAACATATGTGTGCATGTGTCTTTATAGTAGCATGATTTTTAATCCTTTGGTATATACCCAGTAATGGGATGGCTGGGTCAAATGGTATTTCTAGTTCTAGATCCTTGAGGAATCGCCACACTGTCTTCCACAATGGCTGAACTAGTTTACAGTCCCAACAACAGTGTAAAAGCGTTCCTAATTCTCCACATCCTCTCCATCACCTGTTGTTTCCTGACTTTTTAATGATCGCCATTCTAACTGGTGTGAGATGGTATCTCATTGTGGTTTTGATTGGCATTTCTCTGATGGCCAGTGACAATGAGCATTTTTTCATGTGTCTGTTGGCTGCATAAATGTCTTCTTTTGAGAAGTGTCTTTGCATGTCCTTCGCCCACTTTTTGATGGGGTTGTTTGATTTTTTTCTTGTAAATTTGTTTAAGTTCTTTGTAGATTCTGGCTATTAGCCCTTTGTCAGATGGGTAGATTGCACAAATTTTCTCCCAATCTGTAGGTTGCCTGTTCACTCTGATGGTAGTTTCTTTTGCTGTGCAGAAGAAGATCTAATGATTTTTATCTGCTTTAACTGTTTCACACCCAGAATTTATCTTAAAAATTGAGTGGTGGTTAAAATTATCTTTAAAAAATTTTTCTTTAACTTTTTGTTTTGAAACAATTTCAGACTTACAGAAATACTACCAAAATTGCACAAATGATTTATATATACCCATTCACTGAGATTCCCCCAAATGTTCAAAGTTTACCTTACCCCATTTGCTGTCACTATCTCTGTCTCTGTATTTGTTTCTTTCCCTTTCACTCTCTCCCTCTCTCTCCACGCACACACATGACTTTTCTGGAATCATTTGATAGAAGGTTGAAAATAAAATTTCCATCTCTAAATACCCCAGTTGGTATTCCCTTAAAACATGGGTATTCCATTTCCTAAACACAGTATATTAACCAAAATCGGGAACTTAAAAATGATAAAATAATATTAGCTAATTTTCAGTTCTATTCAATCTCCCTGTTATCACACTAACATCGTTCATATGAACAGAAACGAAAAATCTCGTCCAGGATCCATTCCTGGGATCACACGTTGCTTTTCATATCCACAGCACTTTGGTCTCCTTTGAGACATTTTTTCAGTCTCTCTTTTTTTTTCATAACCATGACATTTTTGAACAGTACGGGCCAGTTCTTTTGTCAAAAGTCCCTCAGTTTAGGTCTGCCTGATGTTTCCTTTTGATTAGATTCAACTTACACATTTTTGACAGGAATATCACAAAATCAATATTGGTTCTTCTCATCATATCGTATAATGAGGTCCATGACAGCAATTTGTCCCATTACCTGGTGATGTTAACTTTCATTATCGGTTAAAGGGGTGTCTGCTTGGTGTCTCTACTATAAAGTTACTAGTTTTCCCTTTGTAATTAATAAGTACCTTGCGGAGAGATACTTTGAGACTAATTAAATATCTTATTTCCCATCATTCGCTAACTTTGGTGTCCATTGATGATCTTTCCCTGAAGCTATTATTGCTATAGTAGTTGCCAAATGGCAATGTTCTAATTTGACCATCCCTTCTTTATTTTGGATTCTACTGTAAGGGTGAGTTTTCCCTTCTTCCTTATTAATTTATTTTTATTCATTTATATATATTAATAAAAGCTCATGGTTTCTTATTTTATTCTATGGGTTATTATCTGTTACTGCATCATTTATTCTGATTCTCAAATTGTCCCAGATTTGGCCAGTGTTAGCCCCTTCAAACTGACTCTGTGTCATTTTTTACATGTCTTCATCATTGTTTGAACATTTCCTTATTTTCTGGCATAAATTCTTTCAGGCTCATCTTGTACTTTCCTTACTCCAAAACTTCCCATGGAACCTGGTTCCTAGTAGGGGAAAATTGTATTTAGAAACTAAGATCTGTGTGCTAGATATGCTCATTGACTGCTGCTGATGTACTATTGTTTCTACGTATGCTTGTGTAAAGAGGCATGGACAGATATAGATATTACCTGAATTTAAGACTGATGCTGTCCAGTTTACTACGCAATAACAACACAGGGTCAATTCTTGCTTTCTCCTTTCCATATTTTTAATTTCCTTCTCCAGAAGTAAAAAACTTGCTTATAATTTTCCACAATATATTTACTTGTTTGATCAGTCCTACAATATATATAGTTTCAAAATTGCTAGCAACGCACAGAGAAAATGAATTTACCAACTAGAATGTGCACTGGTTATAGTTCTAATTATCTTTATTCTGAGGGCATATGACCAAATACTGTGTTCCAAACTACCTTGAGTTAGCATCACTACAATGTGATGCTAATATTTATTTGAAATACAGTTAGGCTCATTTACTTCTATTTGTATGTCACTTTGATTCATCTTCTTATCCATTGCCCTTTTGTTGTACTAAAATAATCAAATACTATTTAGAATTTCTTATCTTATTCACAGTTATTTCATTTATCACGTGTTATAATTTTAATTATTTGGTTTTGGATTTCGTCCCTTAAAATTTTTTTTCAATTCTTAAAATTTTTAATAGCATTTGGTGTCATCGTATTCTGCATAAATATTTAGCATTTGTAATGTTATCAAATGTCGGGATTGTTTCTGCCAAGTGAGTAAAATTGCCATTATCATGCTCATAAAGTTTCCTAGATATCTTCATCTGAGTGCTAGATATTGTTTTACCAAAAGTAGAAACATATATTATTAATTTAACAACAACACGACAATTTTTTTTCACTTTCATTTTTCTTAATGTTCTATTACACTACAGCTATTTTTCAAACTGGATTTAAATTTTGAGTACCTAGGACTATTGGTAATATACTTTTCAGTTTCTTCAAGTTTCATAAACATTCGGCTCATGTTGCTAATCTTTGTGCTCCTACTTTTAATTGATAGTTTTCTATCTCCAAAAACTTTGGAACATTGAAAAAAATATAGAATTATTTGAGGTAAAGTAAAGCAACCAGGATCTAGCGATTTTTGCCATTAGAAAAAATTCATGTATAATAACTTATATAAAAGTTCAAACCATACCATTTTCTTTTTTTAATATTAATCCTATTTTTAATTATTTATTAATTTATTTATCTATTATACTTTAAGTTCTAGGGTACACGTGCAGGTTTGTTACATATGTATACATGTGCCATGTTGGTGTGCTGCATGTATACATATCATTTAATGATGTTAACTCATCATTTACATTAGGTATATCTCCTAATGCTATGCCTCCCCCCTCCCCCACCCCATGATAGGCCCCAGTGTGTGATGTTCCCCACCCTGTGTCCAAGTGTTCTCATTGTTCAGTTCCCACCTATGACTGAGAACATGTGGTGTTTGATTTTCTGTCCTTGCAATAATTTGCTCAGAATGATGGTTTCCAGCTTCATCCATGTCCCTACAAAGGACATGAACTCATCATTTTTTATGGCTGCATAGTATTCCATGGTGTATAAGTGCCACATTTTCTTAATCCAGTCTATCATTGATGGGCATTTGGGTTGGTTCTAAGTCTTTGCTATTGTGAATAGTGCTGCAATAAAAATATGTGTGCATGTGTCTTTATAGCAGCATGATTTATAATCCTTTGGGTATATACCCAGTAATGGGATGGCTGGGTCAAATGGTATTTCTAGTTCTAGGTCCTTGAGGAATCGCCACACTGTCTTCCACAATGGTTGAACTAGTTTACAGTCCCACCAACGGTGTAAAAGTGTTCCTAATTCTCCACATCCTCTCTATCACCTGTTGTTTCCTGGCTTTTTAATGACTGCCATTCTAACTGGTATGAGATGATATCTCATTGTGGTTTTAATTTGCATTTCTCTGATGGTCAGATATGATGAGCATTTTTTCATGTGTCTGTTGGCTGCATAAATGTCTTCTTTTGAAAAGTGTCTGTTCATATCCTTTGCCCACTTTTTGATGGGGTTGTTTGATTTTTTCTTGCGAATTTGTTTGAGTTCTTTGTAGATTCTGGCTATTAGCCCTTTGTCAGATGGGTAGATTGCACAAATTTTCTCCCATTCTGTAGGTTGCCTGTTCACTCTGATGGTAGTTTCTTTTGCTGTGCAGAAGCTCTTTAGTTTAATTAGATCCCATTTGTCAATTTTGGCTTTTGTTGCCATTACTTTTGGGACCATTTTCAATAAGACTGTTGTTTAATATTAAAATTTATGCCTAGCTACCTGAATTGGTGTAAAGTACATTTGGTTTAATAACTCTTCAGAATTTTTAAAAAATTTATACTTAAAAAAATTATTCTGTTATCACTGACATGGAAGATGAAGTACATCCCCAACCATCTTCATTTGTTATTTATCTGGGCTGTATTCTGAGGCTAGAAGTTTCTAAAAGCTTTTTTTTTTTAGTTTCTTCATCTATTATTTTCAAAAATTTTTTTCATTTTCTTCTTTAATGGTTTTATATTTTGTATTTTCTGATGTTGATAATATCATTGTTTTTAAACATCTGAGATAAATTATATATTAGTTTATAATTATATGTCATATTTTATAATATTTTAAAAAATAGGCCAGGCATGGTGGCTCATTCATGTAATCCCAGTGCTTAGGGAGGCCGAAGTGTGTAGATTGTTTGAACCCAGGAGTTTGAGACCATCCTGGGCAACATAGTGAGACTCTGTCTCTACAAAAAGTTAAAAAATTAGCAGAGTGTGGTGGCACATGCCTGTGGTCCCAGCTACTAGGTAGGCTGAGGCAAGAGGATCACCTGAGCCCAGGGAGTTCAAGGCTGCAGTGAGCCATGATCACACGACTGCACTGAGGCTGAAGCCTCAGTGACAGAGTGAGACTCTTTCTCTCTCTCTTTCTTTCTGTCTCTCTCTGTCTTTAATTCTGCTAAATTTGAACACTAGCTTTTGTGCTGAGAAAATTCCCATAACAATAAATACACATTTGCTATAATATAATTATGGATCATTAAGTAGTAATCTCTATTTTATGACCATGTGATATTTACTTTGTGGATTATTAAAGATAAATGCATATGACTTATTAGTTAATGATTCATATCATAATGGAATAATTTATAGAGTTTAACTGAGAACTCAGCAATGCCATTGCAGAAGAGCAAAAACAAAACAAAACAAAACAACCACACAAAAATAGCAGAGTATATGAGCTATATAATATAAAATGCCTAGCCAGGTCCAGTTTTCTAATGTACTGTGCAGTGAGTATTTAAAATATATATGTATATATATTTAATATCATATTAAATATTGAGTTGCTTCTTATTAAAAATCAATCTTTTTATTAAATAATAAAATCCATATATTTGAACAGAGAGCATTTGATAGAATTTTGTCTCACTCTTGTCACCCAGACTGGAGAACAATGGCGCAATCTCGGCTCACTGCAACCTCCATCTCCTGGGTTCAAGCAATTCTCCCGCCTCAGCCTCCCAAGTAGCTGGGATTACAAGTGCCTGCCACCATGCCCGCTAATTTTTGTATTTTTAATAGAGATGGGGTTTCACCATGTTGGCCAGTCTGGTCTCGAACTCCTGACCTCAGGTGATCTGCCCGCCTCGGTCTCCCAAAGTGCTGGGATTACAGGCGTGAGCCACTGTGCCTGGCCTAGGATTGTTAATTAGCTAGGTATCAAGTTAAGTAGGTAAGTGGAAAGGTAAAACTGTTGGTAATTGTTGAATTTCCCTTTTACAGCAAAAGCTCATTGAAGAGGCTATATGCCTCCCCTGCAATTTTAGCATGATGCCCGCACAAAACAGTCAATAACTAATGCTAGCGGGGTTCACACTGAATGCCGTTGCCTTGCCCAGGAGCATACAATGAATCCTTATTTGTAATTACAACACATCGAAACACATGAAACTGGTCTGATCTTGGAACACAGGCTGAAGGCATTTAAAATGATCTCAGAGGTCTAAATATCCTAATTTTATGGTAGGATATGTAAAATCATCCCATTTCCAGTCTCTTATGTTATTTTAGTTCTCCAAGTAGGTTTTCCTATCAGAAAGAAAAAGTATTGGTTAGTTAACACAGTTCTCTGTTCCCTTTGACAGGTAAGTCTGGATATTACAATGCAGTTCCAAAGTCAATGCCCCTTGGGTAATTAATCAATTCAAGTTTCTGACTTGCAAACGTTGGCATCATCTCTGCCTCTTATTTCTCATGCTCTTTTGCTGACAACTTCCAAATCCCTATCTCTATTCAGACAACTCCAGATTTATATGAATTTCTGTCTTCTGGATATTTCCATCTGAGCATTCCACAGGTACCACAAATTCACATTTTTCTCTCTGACAAAGGAAGACACGACAGGAGCCTTTCCCACACCCCATTCTTCCTGCTTTAGGTCATATGTATTCTTTTCAAGTATACATAGACAATTTAAAAATTACTGACCACATATTAATCCATAAAATCAATCTTTGCCAAATTTCAAGGAATTTTTTGTTACAACCATGTTTTCTGATCCCAGTTTAATTAATGTAGAAATCAATACCAAAAAGAAAGCTAAAAAGAGATGATTCTACTGTGAGCTTTTATGTGTGATATTAAAAGGAACTAGCAGTTCTCGATTTCATTTTTGCCTATTTTGACTACTATTTGCACTAAGTATATTTTTCCATCCTTTTATTTTCAGCCTATTTGTGTCTTTGAATCTTGAGTATGTCTCCTGTGGACTACATATAGTTAGATCATGTGTGTTTGTTTTTTACGTTTATTATGCTAATTTCTACCCTTAGGTCAGAGTGTTTAATCCATCGGTGTTTAATAGTTAATGATAAAATGTAGCTCTGACATTTTTGCTTTCTACATGCCTTTCACCTTTTTTGTTCCACCAGTACTTCATTATGGTGTTTTTTCGTGTGTGTGTTAGATAGTTACATAGTTATTTTTTAGGAGCAGATCAAGATGGTCAGGTAGAAGCCTGCACTGATTGTCCTCCCCACTGGGACACTGAATTTGACAACTATCTACACAAAAAGCAACTTCATAAGAACAAAAAATCAGGTGAGCAATCACAGTCCCTGGTTTTAACTTAACATTGCTAAAAGAAGCATTGAAAAGGGTAGAAAAGACAGGTTTTTTTGTTTTTTTTTTTTTGACAATGTCTCACTCTGTCACCCAGGCTGGAGTGCAGTGGCACAATCGTGGCTCACTGTAGCCTTAAACTCCTAGGGTCAAGCGATCCTCCCACTTCAGCCACCCGAGTAGCTGGGCCACAGGCGTGTGACACCATGCCTCTGCTTAATTATTTTATTTTTTTGTAGAGACAGGGTCTATCTATGTTGCCCAGCCTGGTCTCGAACTTCTGGGCTCAAGCAAATTTCCTGCCTCAGCCTCCAAAATTGCTAGGATTACAGGTGTGAGCCACCACTCCCAGCCATCAGCCTCCCAAATTGCTAGGATTACAGCCATGAGACAGTCTTGAATCTCTAATGCCACCTGGCCACCATCCCGCTGGTGGATGGGATGGGGAAGGAAGAGTAAAGAGGACTTTGTCTTGCATCTTGGATACCAGCTCAGCCATGGTAAGATAGGGCACCAGCCAGAGTCATGAGGCCCCCATTATAGGCCCTAGCTTCAGGGCGACATTTATAGACTTACCCTGGGCCAGAAGGGAACTTGCTTCTTTGAAGGGAAGGACCCAGTCCTGGCAAGATCTATCACCTACTTACTAAAGAGCCACTGGGCCCTGAATAACCAGCAGCAATACCCAGATAATATGCCATAAGCCTGGGGTAAGCCTCTGAGACTTGCTGGCTTCAGGTGAGACCCAGCATGTTTCCAGCTGTGGTGGATACGGTGAAAGGCTCCTTTGCTTGAGAAAAGCAGAGAAAAGTAAAGAGGACTTATTCTTGCACCTTATGTACCAGCACATCCACAGTTGGGTAGAGTATGAAGTGGGTCCTTGGGGTCCCTGATTCTAGGCCTTGGCTCTTGGATTGTATTTCAGGACCTTTTCTGGGCCAGAGGGAAGCCCACTGCCCTAAAAAGTGAGTCCCAGGCCTGGCAGCATTTACCAGAAGCTGACTGAAGAGCTCTTGGGCCTCAAGTGAACATCGATGGTAGCCTGAAAGTAGTCCCTGTGGACCACCCTGAGGGTGGTGACCATGGAGAGGCTCCTCTGCATGTGGAAGGTGGAGGGAAGAGTGGATTAAGTGCCAGCTTAGCCACAATAGTATATAGAGTACCAGGTGGATATCTAAGGTTTTTGACTTCAATTCCTGGATCCAAGATGGCATCTCTGGACTGCCTGAGACCTAAAGAAACTCACAGCCCTGAAAGGGAAGACATAAGCCTGGCTGGTGGCACCAACTGCTGACTGTAGAGCCCTAGGGCCTTGAGCAAACATAGGCAGTATCCAAGTAGTGATTACTTGAGTGAGACCCAGTGTTGTGCTGGCTTCAGGTCTGACCTAACACAGTCCCTCTAGTGGTGACCACAGTGGGGCTTGTGTCACCTCACCCCTAGCTCCAGGTGATTAAGCACAGAAAGAGAGACTCCATTTGTTTGGGAGAAAGTAAGAGAAGGGAACAAAAATGTCTCCTTGGTAACGCAGAGAAAGCTTCCAAATCTTATCAGAGACCACCAAGGTGGTACTTTTATAAGTCTATAAGCAGGAACCACAGGGATACTGGGCTTGGGGTGCCCCCTAAACCAGATGAAGCTTAAATCACAACACACAAGTCACTTTGAATACCTGAAAAGCCTTCCCAAGAAAGACAGGAACAAACAAGCCCAGACTGCAAAGACTACAATAAATACCTAACTCTTCAATGCCCAGACACCGATGAGCATCCATAAGCATCACCACCACCCAGGAAAACATGACCTCACCAAATGAACTAAATAGGCCACCAGGGACCAATCCTGGAGAAACAAATATATGTGACCTTTCAGACAGACAACTTAATATAGCTGTGTTGAGGAAACTCAAAGAAATTCAAGAGAACACAGAGAAGGGATTCAGAATTCTCCCATAAATTTAACAAAGAGATTGAAATAATAAAAAAGAATCAAGCAGAAGTTCTGGAGTTGGAAAATGTAACTGACATACTGAAGAATGAATCAGAGTTTCTTAATAGCAGAAAAAGGAATTAGTGAGCTTGAAGACAGGCTATTTGAAAATACACAGTCAGAGGAAACAAAAGAAAAAATAAAAAAGAAAGAAGCATGCCTAAGAGACCTAGAAAATAGCCTCAAAAGGGCAAATCTAAGATATATTAGCCCTAAACAAGAGGAAGAGAAAGAAATACAGATAAAAAGTTTATTTAAAGGGATAATAACAGAGAACTTCCCAAACCTAAAGAAATATATCAGTATTCAAGTACAAGAAGGTTATAGAACATCAAGCAGATTTAACCCAAAGAAGACTAATTCAAGGCATATAATAATTAAAATATCAAAGGTCAAGGATAAAGAAAAGTTCCTAAAAGCAGAAAGAGAAAAGAAACAAATAACTTAAAATGGAGGTCCAACGTGTCTGGCAGCAGACTTTTTAGTCGAAATCTTAAAGGCCAGGAGAGAGTGGCATGACATATTTAAAGTGCTGAAGAGAAAAAAATTTCCCCTAGAATAGTATATCTGCTAAAATTATCCTTAAATCATGAAGGAGAAATACCAACTGTTCCAGACAAACAAAAGCTGATGAATTTCATCAACACTAGGCATATCTTATAAGAAATGCTAAAGAGAGTTTTTCAATCTGAAAGAAAAGGCAAATGAGCAATAAAAAATCATCTGAGGGTACAAAACTCACAGGTAATAGTAAGTACACCAAGACTCACGTAATGTTAATACAGTGTAATTGTGGTATGTAAACTACTCATATCTTAAGTAGAAAGACAAAAAGAACTGGTCAAAAATAATAGCTAGAACAACTTTTCAAGACATAGACAGTACAATAAAATATAATCCCATTTAGAAACAACAAAAAGTTAAAACAGCGGGAGATAAAGTGTAGAAATTTTTTTAGCATTCTTTCTGCTCATTTGTTAGTCAATTTGCTTGTTTATGCAATCAGCATTAACTTGTTATCAGGTTAAAATAATGGGTTATAAGATAGTATTTGGAAAGTTCATGGTAACCTCAAACCAAAAAAGCATACAATGGACACACAAAAAATCAAAAGCAAGAAACTAAATCATGTCACCAGAGAAAATCACCTTCACTAAAAGGAAGACAGAAATAAGGAAGAAGGAAGAGAAGATCATAACACAACCAGAAAACAGACAACAAAATGGCAGGAGTAAGTCCTTACTTATCAATAATAACATTGAATATAAACGGGCTAAACTTTCCAATCAAAAGATATCAAGTGGCTGAATGGATTAAAAAAAAAAAGACCCAGTGATATGTTGTCTACAAGAAACATGCTTCACCTGTGAAGATACACATAGACTGAAAATAAAGGGATGAAAAAAGATATTATATGCCAATGGAAACTAAAAAAGAGCAGGAGTAGTTATACTTTTATCAGGCAAAATAGATTTCATGACAAAAAACTATAAGAAGAGACAAAGAAGGTCACTATATAATGATAAAGGGGTCAATTCAGCAAGAGAATATAACAATTTTAAATACATATAATATATGTGCCCAACACTGGAGCACCCAGATATATGAAGCAAATATTATTAGAGTTAAAGAGGGAGATAGGCCCCAATATCATAATAGCTGGAGACTGCAACACTCCACTTTGAGCATTGGATCATCCAGATGAAAAATCATCAAAGAAGCATTGAACTTAATCTGCACTACAGAACAAATGGATCTAATAATTACAGAACATTTCATCCAATTGCTGGAGAATACATATTCTTTTCCTCAGAAGATGGATCATTTTCAAGGATAGACCATACGTTAGCTCACAAAATAGGTTTTAAAACATTCAAATAAATTGAAATAATTTTAGGCATCTTTTCTAACCACAATGAAATAAAACTAGAAATTGATAACAAGAGGAACTTTGGAAACTACACAAACACATGGAAATTTTAAAATATGCTTCTGAATGACCAGTGGGTCAATTTAAAAAATTAAGAAAAAAATTGAAACATTTCTTGAAATAAATGATAATGGAACCACAACATACCAAAACCTATGGGATACAGCAAAAGCGAGACTAAGAGGGGAGTTTGTAGCTCTAAGTGCCTATATCAAAAAGGAAGAAAAACTTCAAATAAATAACCTAATAATACATCTTAAAGAACTAGAAAAGGAAGGGAAAACCAAATCCAACATTAGTAGAATAAAAGAAATAATAAAGATCAGAGCACGAATATATAAAGTTGAAATGAAGTCCAGGTGTGGTGGCTCACACCTGTAATCTGAGCAATTTGGGAGGCTGAGGCAGGTGGATCACTTGAGTCCAGGAGTTCGAAGCTAGCCTGGACAACATGGTGAAACACCATCTCTGCAAAAAAAAAAAATTAGCCAAGCGTGGTGGCAAGTGCCTGTAGTCCCAGCTACTTAAGAGACTGAGGTGGGAGGATTGCTTGAGCCCAAGAGGCAGAGGTTGTAGTGAGCCAAGATCATGCCACTGCATTCCAGCCTGAGCAATAAAGTGAGAAATTGATATGAAGCAACAATACAAAAGATCAATGAAATAAAAAATTGTTTTTGGAAAATATAAAGAAAATTTACAAACCTTTAGCCAGAGTAACTTAAAAAAAAAGAAAAAAAAGAAGAACAAAATGAATAAATTCAGAGATAAAAAAGAAGACATTACAACTGATACCATTGAAATTTAAAGGATCATTATTGGCTACTATAAGCAACTGTATGCCAATAAGTTGGAGATGGACAAATTCCCAGACACATACAACCTACCAAGATTGAACCATGAAGAAATCCAAAACGTGAACAGACCAATAACATATAAGGAGATCGAAGCTGTAATAAAAAGTCTCTCAGTAAAGAAAAGCCCAGGACCTGATGGCTTCACTGCTGAATTCTACCAAACATTTAAAGAAGAGCTAATACTAATTATACACAAACTATTCCAAAAAATAGTGGAAGGAATATTGTCAAGCTCATTCTATAAGACTAGTGTTACGCTGATACCAAAACCAGACAAACGCACATCACAAAAAGAAAACTATAGGCTGCATTCCTTATGAATATTGATGCAAAAATCCTCAAAAATACTAGCAAACAAAATTGAAAAACACATTTAAAAAGTCATTCATCGTGATAAAGTGGGACTTATCCAGAGATGCAATGATGGTTCAACATGCAAATCAATCAGTGTGATACAGCACATTAACAGAATGGAGAAAAAAAACATATGATCATTTCAATTGATGCTGAAAAAGCATTTGATAAGATTCAACATCCCTGCATAATAAAATCCCTCAAAAAAGTGAGTATAGAAGGAACACATCTCAACATAATAGAAGCCCTATATGACAGACCCACAGTTGGTATCATACTGAATGGGGAAAAACTGAAAACCTTTCCTCTAAGATCTGGAACAATACAAGGGCACCCACTTATACCACTATTATTCAACATAGTACTGGAAGCCTTAGCTAGAGTTGTCAGACAAGAAAAAGAAATAAAAGGCATCCAAATTGGAAAGAAAGAAATTATAAATATTCTCATTTACAGATGACATGATGTTATATTTGGCAAAAACCTAAAGATTTCACCAAAAGAACTATTAGAACTCATAAACAAATTCAGTAAAGTTGCAGGATACAAAATCAACATTTGAAAACCAGTAGCACTTCTATATGCCAACACTGAACAATCTGAAAAAGAAATTAAGAAAGTAATCCCATTTATAATAACTATAAATAAAATTAAATGCCTAGGAATTAATCAAAAACTAAAATATCTCTATGATCAGAACTATAAAACATTAACGTAAGAATTTGAAGAGCATACCAAAAATGGAAAGATATTTCATGTTCGTGGATATGAAGAATCAATATGGCTAAAAATGTTCTTACTACCCAAAGCAATCTGCAGATGCAATGCAATCCTTATCAAAATACCAATGACATTCTTCATAGAAATAGGAAAAAAAAACCTAAAATTTATATACAACCACAAAAGACCCTGAATAGCCAAAGCTATCCTGAGCAAAGAGAACAAAGCTGGAGGAATCTTGTTACCTAACTTTAAATTATACTACAGAGCTATAGTAACCAAAACAGCATGGTACTGGCATAAAAAAAGAAAAGCCACATGGACCAATAGAACAGAATAGAGAACCCAGAAACAAATCCACACACCTACAGTAAACTCATTTTTGACAATGTTGCCAAGAACATACACTGGGAAAAAGACAGTCTCTTCTATAAATTGTGCTGGAAAAACTGGATATCCATATGCCGAAGAATGAAACCACAACTCTTATCTGTCGCTGTATATGAAAATCAAATCAAAATGGATAGAAGACTTAAATCTAAGACCTCAAACTATAAAACTACTACAAGAAAACTTTGGGGAGACTCTTCAGGACATTCAATTGGGCAAAGATTTCTTGAGTAATATCCCATAAGCACAGGCAACCAAAGCAAAAATGGACAAATGGGATCACATCAAATTAAAAAGCTTCTGCACAGCAAAGGATAGAATCAGCAAAGTAAAGAGACAACCCACAGAATGGGAGAAAATATTTGCAAACTACCATCTGACAAGAGACTAATAACCAGAATATATAAGGAGCTCAAACAACTCTATAGTAAAAAATCTAATAATATGATTTTAAAATGGACAAAAGATTTGAATAGACATTTCCCAAAAGGCGATACACAAATGGCAAACAGCTATATGAAAAAATGCTCAATATCATTGATGGTCGGAGAAATGCAAATGAAAACTATGATGAGATAACATCTCACCCAAGTTACAATGGCTTTTATCCAAAAGACAGGCAATAACAAATGCTGATGAGTACGTGGAGTAAAGGGAACCCTCATACATTGTTTTTGTGAATGTAAATTAGTACAATCACTATTTAGTTTTTGGAGCTTCCTCAAAAAACTAAAAATAGAGCTACCACATGATCCAGCAATCCCATTGCTAGGTATATACCCAAAATAATGCAAATCAGTATATCAAAGAGATACCCACATTTCCCTGTTTATTGCAGCACTATTCACAGTAGCCAAGATTTGGAAGCAACCTAAGTGTCCATCAACAGACGAATGGATGAAGAAAATGTGATACATATACATAATGAAGTATGATTCAGCCATAAAAAAGAATGAAATCCTGTCATTTGCAACAACATGGATGAAACTGGAGATCCTTATGTTAAGTGAAATAAGTTCAGCTCAGAAAGATTAACTTTGCATGTTCTCACTTATTTGTGGGATTTAAAAATCAAAACAATTGAACTCATGAAGGGAATGGTTTATGGGTACAAAAAAAATAGTTGGAAATAAGAAAAAAGACTTAGTATTTGACAGCAGGACAGGGTGACTATAGTCAATAACAATTTAATTGTACACTTTCAAACAACTAAAAGAGTATAATTGGATATTTTATAACCCAAAGGATAAATACTTAAGATGATGGATACACCATTTACCTTGGTGTGATTATTATGTATTGCATGCCTGTATCAAATTTTCTCATTTATCCCATAAATATATATAACTACCAAGTACCCACAAAAATTTAAAATATTTTTTTAAAAATCGATTTTTAAGTGTACCATTCAAATTTTCTCTATTTTTCTCTATTTTTGAATGATTTGGTGATTAAGTGGTTGTGCTGAATTACAATTAGTGTCTTAATACACTATAGTTCTGATTAACATCAGCTTAATTTCAATCAAATATAGAAATTTTGCTCCAACATAGTTCCATCTCCTCCCTTATTATTGTCATACAAATTACATCTGTATACATTATAAGTCTATTGAAAAGTCTTTTATAATTATTGTTTTTTTGTGGTTGCATTTTAAATTGGATAGCAGAAGAGTTACAAACAAAAATGCATTTATACTGGCTTTTATTTTCTTATGTAAGTACCTTGAGCAGTACTCTTTACTTCTTCAGGTGGATTCAGTTTATTGCATAGTGTCTTTTGATCATAGCCTGAATGATTCCCTTTAGTATTTCTTGTAGAACAAGTCTACTAGCAATGCATCTCCTCAGTTCTGTTTATCTGGGAATATCTTAATTCTCTTTTGTTTTTGAAGAATAGCTTCTTTGGACATAGACTCTTTTTTCTCTCAGCACTTTAAATATATTCTCCCACTGCTTTCTGGCTTCATAGATTCTGATAAGTCAGCTCTTTATTCTATTGAAGATCCCTTATAAATGATGATGAATTGCTATTCACTAAAGTTTTCATTTTTTCTTTGGCTTTCTACAGTCTGACTATGATGTGTCTATGTGTGGCTCTCTTTGAGTTCATCCTACTTGGAGTTTGTGGAGCTTCTTGGATATGTAGATTGTTTTCTATCAAATTTGGGGAAATTTCAGCCATTATTTCTTTAAACATTATTTCTGCTCCCTTTTGCTTCTTTTCTCTCTCTGGGACTTTTATAATGCATAGGTGAATATGCTCAATGGCATCCCACAGGTCCCTGAGGCTCTGGTTCATTATTTTCTTTTTCTTTTTTTGAGACAGAGTTTTGCTCTTATTGCCCAGGCTGGAGTGCAGTGGCGTGATCTCAGCTCACTGCAACCTCCACCTCCCAGGTTCAAATGATTCTTCAGCCTCAGTCTCCTGAGCAGCTGGGATTATAGGCATGCACCACCAGGTCTGGCCAATTTTTGTATTTTTAGTAGAGATAGGGTTTCACCATTTTGGCCAGACTGGTCTTAAACTCCTGACCTCAGGTGATTCGCCGGCCTCGGCCTCCCAAAGTGTGGGATTATAGGCATGAGCCACCGCACCCGGCCTGGTTCATTATTCTTTAGTCATTTTTCCTTTTGTTCCTTGGATTGGATAATTTTAATGACCCTGTCCTCAGATGGGCTGATTCTTTCTCCTGCCTGCTCAAGTCTGATGTTAAGCCCCTCCACTGGATTTTTCATTTTGGTCTTTGCAATTCCAACTCCAAAATTTCTATTTGGCTCTTTGTTATAATTTATCCAATCTTTATTTATAGTTAGTGAGGCATTGTGGTCATACTTTAGTTCTTTACACGATTTTCTTTAGCTCTTTCAAGATAAGAGCTGACTTAAAATCTTTTTTTCTGGTAAATCAAATGTCTCGACTGCTTCTGGAACAGTTTCTATTGACTGTTTCCCTCCTCCCTCCCATTCCCCATGTAAGGACCACACTTTTATGTTTCATTGTATCACTTGCAATTGCTTTTGTTGTTGAAACTGGGCATTTTAAATAATATAATGCAATAACTCTGAAAATCAGATATCCCCTCCCCCAGGGTTTATTGTTTTTTGTTTGTTCATCTGTTTGTGTGTGTGTTTGGAGACAGGGTCTCGCTCTGTTGCCCAGGCTGGAGTGCAATGGTGCAATCATGTCTCACTGCAGCCTTGACCTCCCAGGTTCAAGCAATGCTCCTGCCTCAGCTTCCCGAGTTGCTGGGACTAAAGGTATGAGCCACGGCACCTGGCCTGGTTTATTGATGTTGCTATTTGTTGTAGTTCTTGCTGCTGTTTGTTTGTTTATTGAATTTTCTGGACTAATTTGGTAATGTCTGTATTCCATGTGTTTTCTAGCTACAAAATTGTGCTTGATCAGCTTAAATGATCAGCTAATGATTTAACAGATATCTTTAAATGCTTTGACCCAATAATTATTTTCCTCTTTTCTGAGGGTCTCTGTGTTTGTATATTGGGGCACACCTTCGATGTTCACACAGTTTTGGCTTAACCTTCACTTCCTGCTTGAATAGGGCCTCAAGTTCAGCCCAAGTCAAAGAATTGAGACCCCTTCAAGTCTTTCATTGGCATGCCCACAGCCCTGCACATGCACACAGACTTCTAAATCTCCAGTAATGTGTCAGAGCATTTTATTTTTATTTTTTTAATTTTAATGTTAATTTTTTTTGAGACAGGGTTCTGTTCTGTCACCCAGGCTGTAGTGCAGTAGCGTGAACATGACTCACTATAGACTCAACCTTCTGGGATCAAGTGAAGCTCCTGTCTCAGCCTCCCAAGTAGCTGGGACTACAGGTGTATTTTTTTATTTTTTGTAGAGGTGGGGTCTCACTTTGTTGCCCAGGCTGGTCTTGAACTTCTGGCCTCAAGCGACCGTCCCATCTAAGCCTCCCAAAGTGCTGAGATTACAGACATAAGCCACCATACCTGGCCTTGGAGCATTTTAAAGCCTCCTATGGACATCTCACTCTCTAGAGTCTTACATGGTTAGCCTCTTGTTTGCCCCAATTTATGTTGAAGATTTATGCAACAGAAAAGTTAAACAATTGCTTTGCGATAAAGCTTGTCTTGTGGAGTCAGCTGAAGCTAGGATGTCAGGTCAAATAATACCCTGTGACTGGGCTTTCTCCAGAGAGCTGCCTTTCAGGTCAAATAGTGAAAATGGCCTCGAGATGAGACGTTTTGAGGAGCTCCAAATCCAGTCTGGCTCCTCTGGTGAAGGCAAGCCTGCTGGTTCTCACAGCTCTCATGTTTGCGAGGCTACTAGTTTTGAAGGCTATCATAGAACTGAAAAAGGGAGATGGGGGTAGATTAAATTACAATATCGCAAACCCTACTGTTCTTACCAAGATTCAGCAGTTTTTCTTAAATAAATGCTCCTTGAATTGTTGCAAGCATTTCGTTAACTTCCTCAGGTTTGAAAAGGTTGATTTTGACCAATTTCTAGTATTTTTGTTGCTTTTATAAAGGAATATATGTATTAAGGTCTTCTCTGCCTTTCCCTACAGCATTCACTTTTAACTACTGCCTGAAACTTACATTTCTTGGCTAATTCAGAGTCATCAAGTTTTCTCTTAAAAATCTCTTCCTCCAGGATACCTAGAAGAAGCTTGACTTACACAGGGAACTTTAGGTGGCCTTCCTATCTTGTTACCCTTTAACACTAAGTAAACAGGCAGTTACAATATGATGAGATATTCCTCCTGGGGAAATTTAACCTTCTTGAGAATAGGAATAATGTCTCTCCTTAACACGTATAGCACAGGGATAAGGTCAATTGAATGTAAGAGGGCAATCTGTTTTATTCTGAATTTTAAAAAGCCAACAGGTAAAAGTAACAAAAGGAAACCAGAAACTGGGAATTAATTGAATACACTTTCTAAAAGCAATTCCCTCAAGAAAAACTCCCATTTCACTTACCCTTGTTACTAAATTAATTGCTGCTCCTAATCCTTTTCTAATCTATGCATAAGTTCTCAACTGGCCCTAAGGCATTGGCTATATTAGCATATGAGTCATTTCGAAGTATAATAAATATTTGGGAAGTCCTTTCTCTCTCCTCTGTTGATAACTGTCACTACTTTAAAAGAGTGTTTTTCCATAGGCAAACACAACAAATTCATCTCTTATTCAACTTGTTGAAACAAGAGTGGTGAAGCAGAAAAAGAGGAAAAATCTTAAAGATGGAGCAGGACAGCTTCATTCTACTACCTTCTCTATGAAAAAAAAAAAAGAAAAGAAAAGAAAAAGAAAGATCAAAGAGAAATTTGGGGAAAATACTCCTACAATAGAAAATACTTAAGAACCTAAACTTTGGTATGACAGGCAATCTCCAAACTAATCTCTGTACTAATCAGCTAAGTGGAATGTAACAATTGCTCTGTCACACATCAGCGTATAAAGCAAGGTCTCAGTTTTGTGTTCTCTGCCTTATCATGATGACACTGTCGATTGTTGTTGAGAATGGGCTGAGGAATTTGGAAGAGCTACTTTACAGAAGGACATTGGGCAATTCTGAAGAGGAAAACAAGTGAGATGGCAGCTGGGGAGGATGAAAAATGATGGTTCAAGAAGGAAAGTTGGAAGTGATAATTGGTATATAAAGGTTATGAGGGAAGGCAGAAACACCAGCTACATGCTGAATTAGAACAACAATTTCCTGTCTGTGTTTGACAGAGCCTACAAGGTGCTTTGGGCTTAGATATGTAATATTAATAGATTTATAAATCAAAATAAATAGAGTTACTTTGGGTTGTTCAGATTTTTATTCTAGACTTTGCTCTCCTTTTCTACTTTTATTTTACTTTGACAAAACTTTACAAAAATATTTGGGATTGAGAAGATAGTTTCACAGAACATCTAGTTAAGAGCGAGGCCTAATGTTAAACGACGAGTTGATGGGTGCAGCACACCAACATGGCACATGTATACATATGTAACTAACCTGCAACTTATGCACATGTACCCTAAAACTTACAGTATAATTAAAAAGAAAAAAGAAAAAAAAAGAGTGAGGCCAATGGAGGCTCCAACTGAATAGAAAATAATTTTGATAATTTAATAAGTCTATAAACAATATATTGGCTGAAAGCAGCATTTTCTTAGGAACCATCAAAGCTAGGTTCCAAGTCAGGATGCCGTACTAATAGCCAGGTTGTACCAACTTCCTTGGAGAATAGGCTGTGCTTCTGCAACATGCTTTCTGTCTGTCTAGAATCTCATCTAGAGTATGTTCTGTGCTTCTGCAACATACTTTCTGTCTGTCTAGAATGCCTTTGTCCAAGCTTGAATACCTGAAAAATTTCCAACACATTCCTCCATATCGGAGCATCAAGCCAAACACCTCATGCTCGAAATTTTGACACTTTAAAGTGTGCTGTGTGTGTAATGCATTCTGGGACCAGACTGTCTACCAGCTCTGCCACTTCAAAGCTGTGAGTTATTGGGCAAGTCACCTAATTGCTCTATGCCTCAGTCTCCTCATCTGTAAAATAAGCAGGATATTAGTATCTGCTTCATAATGTACTTGTGTATATTTAATAAATAATTATGTAAGGTCTTTAAACATTACTAAGCATGCATCAAGTGCTCTACAAGTGTGTGATTTTATTCTCCTCTCCTCACGGTTCACTGATTCCTTCTGTGTATCCACTCTGTACTTCTGATAAATGTCTGTTACAATCTTTATTGCAAGTAGTTGCCAGAATGTCTGTTTCCCTGGACTGTACTATGAGCTTGAGAGCAGAAACCATATTTTAGTAATCTTTGTATTCCCAGCATTTAGCACAGTACCAGGCACCAATTGTATTCAAAATATCATCTCATTGCTCTCATGCTTGCATGCTCTCTCTCTCTCTTTGATGGTTCCACTTGCTACTCCAGGCCCATAATTCTCAGCATTTCCTCAGAATATATCTTTTGTCTACACGAATTCCCTGGATTTTGACTGTCTAGTCTCTGCTGATGACTCCAATTTACTTGCCATATTCCCACCAGCACTCCAATGTCTGGCTTGCTATGATCTAGCTTCAGAAAGGCTGCCACCTCCTCAAATGAACTCTGTCCCCAAATTCAACTTTTAGTCGACCCTTTCGAACTACCTTCTTTCTTGCCAAAATTGTGATTGAATTGCCTAGCAAAACTGCTTCCATCATAGTACATTATGTTGTGTTGGGTTTTATATTGTTGGAGTTCAAAATGCTGGAGATCAGAGCTCTATTGCTATATTTCTGAGTATCATGGCAAATATGCACAGTAAATTACAGGTAATTATTGCACATAATCCAAGTAATAAAGAAAATAGTATTGATTGAAAATGTAATCACTATGCCTACTTCCTCTTGCTGGAGCCCTCCTCTAATTATTCGATTTCCTGATGCTCCACTCCTTTGCTCTCTTTCATTTTTTCCTCCTTTGCATGCCTTTTTCATCTTATATCTCTCACAGCTCTAGCCTTATCTCCTCAGTCTATATTCTTTCCTCTTCTTCATTTTCTTTCCTATACAAAGCTTGTTTTAAAAGGTTCTACTCCTTCACCTAGCATAACCCTCCTAACCCTCTGGCTCCTTACCTCACCTTTCAAAATAAAAACAAACAGGCAATTTGAAGTCAATTGAACATTTCAGGAATGCTTCCCATGCTTTGTAGCTGTAGATATGAGTAAAAAAGATTGTTTGATTCAGCAAATATAGTTGGAGTAGGGGTTAGGAGTGGCAGTTTCAAAGATTGCAGATTAGGTAAAGGCCATATCATAGTGGCTTAATTAAGGTACAATATGTTCTGGTTAGGGACCAGAAGACCGCTACTGATGGTCATTGGTCATGTATTGAAAGTACTCTGATGCATTTGCTCAGTCACAACTGCTTCCTTGAACATCACTTCTCAAGTTATTTGGAATGAGTAAAGCTGATTTGCCAGATTCATTTTCTGCAATTAATAAACATAATTCAGTAAGCTAGATAAGATGGATGTAGTCATTAGAAAGAATGGCATGAAGGGCATTTATTGCATCTGATTCTTAAACTCGGCAATAAAACAGCTTTATTTAGAATAAATAGAACCCCAGAGGCTGATCCGTTTCCTATTTTTCATATTTATATGGTTCTCTGGGAGGCCACAAGGAGCTCTAGGATTGCAATTTTAGCCCTCAAAAATAGCATGAGAGATAGTAAGAAAACTTCTGGGGATAACACAGAGGGTGGTGGTATTCAAATGAGCACGTCAGACTTACTCCTTTCCTTAAAACTCCAAGATAGAAAGAGCCAGTATAAAGTACATCAACCTTTCAGGAGACAGATAAATATGAGGGAGAAGAGTTCAGAAAAAGTAGAATTTAGGATTGAAAACCAACCAAAACCAAACTTGAATGAGAGAAAAAACGTGAATTAACCAAACAAGTGGAATACAATACATTTGTATGGAAGAAGTTGGTTTTTAAGGCCATGCAAGCATAAAATTCCAGTATTGATGAAGAACATACTTCTGGCTCCAGAAATGCATCTTGAGCATGTTAATGAATGTAGTTAAATACGTCCAGTATCCAAACATCAAGGAAGGCCTAATATACCTGGAGAAAGTGTTGCTGTTACTGGTGTGACTAAGAACCACGGGATCTGACTGCCTCCAAATAGCATTTCCTTCCCCACTCAACCTCCACATTCTTTTTGACTTCCCCATTACCCACATCTTTTCCTGTTCTCTTTTACACATTAAACTAGTCCCAGTAAGGGACTAGCAGAGGGCTTCTGAGAGAGGTTTTCCTCTGGACTGAAAGAACCTACTACAGAAAAGCACAGACAGTGAGGAGGAGGGAAGTCAGAAAACAATACTTGCCCCGTTCTGCAGTCTTCGCACTATCACCGAGCCTCATGTGTGTGTGTGTTTACCTGTACACACGTAAGGCCCACAACGTTTGTGGGGTACCCTCATTCTCTAATCATCATACATTTTTCCTTTCTCAAAGCAATAAGAAAATACAATTTATAAGAGAAAATCTGTCTCTCTGTGGGTATTATTCAGCTCATGCAAGCATTGCAGTATTACGTGCTTTGTACTGCTATAGTTTTCATATCTGTTGTGATGCCCTTAAGCATCTCAGATGCTTTCTTCTCCTGTTTGCTGTTATTGGTGGTAAATCAGAAATGTGCTCAACTATTCCCATTTGGTGCACATATACACATATCCTGTGGTATGTATAGTATACATTTTACATGTGTACACCTAAATATGATGTTTACCTGGGAATTAGTATGTCTTTTAGAGGAAAGAAATATCTTTCATTTATTCACATTCCTTGTAATTAGATAAAAGTAATTATTTCAGTGCATGTTTATTATTTGAAAGACTACTTTGGTATACATAAATAATATTGAGATCTTAGGTTTTTTTCAATCAAATTTTATCAATTAGTTTAACAGGATGAGAGACAAAAGCTGAATGACTTTCAGCAGACATTTGCAACTGCAATCAAAACCATTTGTGCTCCTTTTCCAATCACCAAAGAGATTAAAATCATAGTCATCTCACTGGACTGTATTTTTGACAGATCCTCTCATAAAAGGGATAGAGCTGATAATGCAGGAGGTAAGAAATTATTGCCCTGAATGCTGGTAAGGTTATGAAAGCTACATTTTTAAAAGAGCTGGTTTTGGTGAATAGATTTCAATTGTGTTTGCAATTCAGAGTTGTTTTATATTAGAGATTAAAGATTTCTTTATCAGCAATGACTTAGAGTTCTGAAATGAAATGTAGAGCCAGTTAATTTCATTTTCCTGTGTCAGTGATGCTCTTTTCCCCTTTCATAAAGAAACGGGCCATTTAAAGTTTACAGAGTTTATGGGAAGCTTCCATGGTGACACCCTTTTCTTGGTAAAACAATGACCTTGCCTGGGTTTTTGGCTGGATCAGATGTGACTAAGGATTTGAGGATTTGATGCATCCTGTGTCAAGCTGAAAATAACACTCTTTTCTGCCTGTGAAGTGATACCTGGACTAGCAGAATTTTTCAGCCTTATCTAATTCCATTGTCCCATACTGATTGTTCTATTTTCACATACTGAGAGGAATCTATTAAGTGCTTGGACTTTTCAGAGAAAACTTTCTTTTGTTTTCCTTTCTCATCCCTTAATGAGTACCACGAGTTCTGTTTTAAAGTGCAGCACAATCTTTTAAAAAGAGGAACTATAGGTTCAATTTCTATCTTTGTAACTAAGTTATGTGACTTTGAGTAAGTCAATTAACCAACCAGATTAAAACTGTGTTGTTACTTCAGGTTAATATTTTGCCATTGCTATTGAAAATGATGATGATAATGATAATTGATGATGATGTTTTGTTTTTTTGAGGGTGAAATATAAATGATAATTTTCAGAACATCATTACCCTGAGCACATACGGATTAGCTCCTCTATGAGAACCAGAGGAAGTATAAATAGCTTGTATCCTGAGCCAGAAATAAATCAATCATTCCTTGGGCTTGTGTTAATCATTTCTGCTTTATAATTGCACCAAAAACAAGGAGATCCTCTTAAAAACTAAAATGTAGTATTCAAGTAATGGGCCAAAATAAAAACCCCACTAAAATGCAATGGGAGGTCTAATGGGTGATACTTTGGGTGTGGATGAGGTGGAGATCTTCAGTGTGGCTATGAAGCACTGATGGTCTCCAGTGAGGTCATATCAGATACCTGGGACATAGAGTGTTGCAATCAGTTATGTTTTATGTTCACATATGTTATTAGCTATGCTTACTCTAGTTTCCAAAGGATTTATATTTAGACATAAGGTAAAACAGACAGAGGATTATCCCAATGGTAATGTCACTCAAACTTGCACTCTGATGTGTTTTGTGAATTAGAAAATAGTGTGGAATTAGTTAACTCACTGGAAACTACATATATCTAAGGGTATTCCCATTCCATCCACTTTCAATATTCTACCCTATGTTATCTTTCCAACATTACATACATTTTCTGTTTATTATATTCTTCTCTCTAATCAAAAATGTAAGCTCTATGAACTCTAGTGCCTGCAGAAATATCTGGCATATAGCTAGCATTAAAAAAAGACTGTCCATTGGGAAAGGGATTAAAAAATGTCACCCTAAAATATGCCACTTTGGCATCATAAGGATTATTTTGAACTGAAGACAATTTAGAAAAAGCAGGTTATGAGAAGAGTTCTCTGCCCTCCCCCATCTGCCTAAATGCAGGGTATACATTTCCCTTATGAAAGTGTCTCCCCTTCTTTGTACCAGAAAGAGAACAATCCTTATCACCAGAGACAAAGAAGGTACTACGATGAGTCTACAGAAACAAATCTTACTAAATAACATTTATCTACCATTTAGTTTCCTTATATATTTACCTTCCCATAATTTACTGCCCCTAGAAGCCCAAACCTCTTTTCCTTTGTCTAGTCATCTCTCCACAGTTTGTCACCCTTTGTTAAAATGGTATATAAACCCTGGTGTCTAACCACTTCTTTGGTTTTTGTTTTTTTAACTTCTTTTCTGTGAAGCCCCCCAAGCACATATAATACAATGTGTATGTCTTTTCTTCAGTTACTCTTGTCTTTTGTCAGTTTAAATCACAGGTGGCAGCTACAGAACCTGAGAATAGAGGAAAAGTTTTTCTCCCCTGTAGTTCAATAGACAATTATCCCGAACCCAAAGGCTATCTTTCTCTTTGCCACAGTCTCTATGAACTACCATTACTAATGTTAATCACTTAAGAATAGGCCAGGCGCGGTGGCTCAGGCCTGTAATCCCAACACTTTGGGAGGCCGAGGTGTGTGGGTCACCTGAGGTCAGGAGTTCAAGACCAGCCTGGCCACAATGGTGAAACCCCGTCTCTACTAAAAACACAAAAATTAGCCATGTCTGGTGGCATGTGCCTGTAATCTTAGCTACTCGGGAGGTTGAGGCAGGAGAATCACTTGAACCCAGGAGGCGGAGGTTGCAGTGAGCCAAGATCATGCCATTGCACTCTAGCCTGGGCAACAAGAGTGAAACTCTGTCTCAATAAAAAAAAAAAAAAAAAAAAAAAAAAAATCACTGAAGAATTACAAATGTTAGGAGTGCTTGACTTCATTGCCATTTGGAAAAGGAAAGACATTATAAAAATCTGATTACCTCTTGGGGGTGTATCACACACATGAAGGTTTTTAGTCTAATATGAGAAAAGTTGGCACAAAAGAATATATATAGAAAATTATGGCATTTGCTATCATTTGAGCACTTTACAGGTGTCAGATTCTTCAAGCGCTTTTTGTGTTTTATCGTAATAATCCTTTATAAAGTAGATAGTTCTACTAGCCCTGTTTCATAGATGAGGAAACTGAGGCACAAAAGGCCAAGTAATTTGCCTAACACCCAAGATTAGAATCTGGGTTTGAACCTCGGAAGCCTCCCTACAGTACATACACACTTGCCCACTACACTCAACTACATATATATGAAAACACTTAGCTATAATAACATGATTGAGGCAAAAATTACATTTAAAAAGGGAGTTGGGGAGTCAAGGAAGATATCACCTTCTGGGATCATAAGCAAGTGAGAGTTTATAAGATGACTAAAAGAACAGATCTTATCCCTCTGCACTTCAGTAAACATTGTGGGCTAGGTGATAGGAAGAAGACACGGGGCAAACCTGGTAAGAACTTATCTCACTCTCTAAATCTAGTAACAACAATTCTTTTGCATCATATCAGTTTTGAGTAAATGGTTGAATAAGGGGGAAAGATGGCAATACATTCATAATGTTTTATAAGCATCCTGGGGGAAAAGGATCTGGACGGCACAATAAATGGCAACCAAGGTAGAGAAAGAAGATAGATCAAAACCTCATGAGTGAAGAAAAATAGGTGAACAGACCCAGGATGACTAAGTGGGCTACAGAAGTTTTTATTGGAAATTAAATGATGGTACAGATAACAATGAAGAGGAAGGCCAGAGAAGTGCCCAGATAGGCCCCTACATAGGGGCTTTCAGCTTTTACAGACATGAAAATCAGAATTCTCAGCAGAACAGATTCACATTAATTAAGCTCAACTTACTATTTTACAATAATTTGACATTAAGAAATAAAACTGCCAAGTGGAATTGGATTCTGCTTCTCTCCCCAGTGTATTCTCTCCCCATAGGCATGCTACATGAGATAACTAAATATTAACAAAATTTTAATTGGAGGAACAAAATATTTTATCTTTCATTTAGGGCATTCCAAATACTGCTTGTTTGGGATAATCTTTGCTTGTGTCAGTGACATTTTGTTTCTATTTTCCTAGCTGGCCAAATCTGCTAATTCCTTTCTCTGGATGTGCTAATGATTTCATTGAACCTTCTATCAAGTCTGGGAGTCCTTTTCTTTCTTTCCGTTGCCTGAACAGCTTTCTCCTCTCACTGACTAGGTGTTAATTTTAAAGCCTCAAGCTCAGAGGGCATTCAAGTTTCCCTTATTCTCATATGTTCCTTGATTGGGAGACACCTCACTATAACTCTAGCCGTGTATGAAATGCTCATGTCACTTGCTTTCTAGTTCAATTTGTTCTTGCAATCCTCTCCTTTTAGTTCCTTGAAGATCACAAGCTCTCACCTCAGAGATTTCACACATGGTGTTGCCTTCTCCTGCAAAGCTCTTCGTATCCAGCAAGAAACTAATTAATGCCCATTGCTTAGGCACGTAGAAAACTTCTTTGTGGACCAATTCCTAGACCAGAAAACTCCTTTTGTTATTTTCTCTCAGAGCACACTGGTTTCATAAAATTTATCAAGATGTATAATTACATATTTATGCAAGTATTTGCTTATTGTTTAGCTTTCTCCACTTAGTGATGTAAGGGCAAATAGACCAGTCAAAAGAAGAGGTTTAAAGTCTCTGCATTGAAAATAAGGGAAGAGGCCCCCCTTCTTTTTCTTTCAGAATTTCTTTCTCTGCCCTTTTTAAGTGTACATAAATGTTTCTTATCACTAAATAACCTTCTTGCCAGTCTCACAACACAGGAATATTTCCCCAGTGACATGACAGCCATGTCTTTGAAATGTAATAATCAAAAAAGATAACATCCTATTTCCCAGTTTCCTGGGAGGATACAGGCCTAACTTCAGCTGGCACCTGACTCCAAAAGGCAAAACCTACCTTTAATCATAAAGATAAAAGAAAATTAGCCATTTTATCTGAGAATATGAATGTAATATGTTGTATCCACTTACTTGTATAAAAGAGTGCGATTTCTTTCCACCTTTTAATTTCTTTAGTGAATTGCCTGTGCTCTGCATCACATTGTGATTTGTTACTTATTCTTTTTTTCTTTTTCTTTTTTTCTCAGCATATCATCCCTCTAATGTTGCTTATCCAATAATAAACTTGTTTTCGACCTCTATTACCTTTGTGGAGACACTTTCTGGGCCTGGAGGAGATTTTGCTTCAATGATATTCCCTCAATAATGCTAAGCTCCATGAGAATACTAACCAGGTCTGTTTTGTTTACCACCATATTCTCTGTGCATACACCGTGACCAGTTCAGTGTATAAGTCAAATAATTGTTCAATGAGGGAATAAATAAAAAATCTGGCAGGAGTCTCTATTTTCCCCCTCACTTTTCTCACAGGGCCATTATGAAGACCAAATGGAGTCAGACCAATTTACTGGGGAGCTTTAGTTCTATTGCTATTTTGTAATAGGATTAAGGATATGTTGCTTAAACCCTCTAAGCTTCAGTTTCCTCATCTATTGAATAGGGGTAATAATAGAACCTACCTCAAGATTCTTGTGAGGATAAATTGAAAGATTGCATTTAAAATAAGCAATATGGTGCCTGGCACATAGGGAGTAATAAATTCAGCTGCTAATAGTTTAATTGTTTGCCTCAAATAAATAAACATATTCATTGTAACTCAAGGACCACAATGATAAGAACAGCTGTAGATTGGAAGAGGTATGAAGAATTGCCTGTGGCATCTCGGCAGGAAATTTTGTGATTCTACCACCCTATTCCCAGGTTTATCTGGACTCTTCCATTACGCTGACACCATGGGACCGAAGTTCTTATTCCAATCATTTTTCCTACCTTTCTTCAGTGATCTATAAGCAGTACCTCACTCAGCCAGGAATCCTTAAGTGTGAGACATGTCAGGGTACCTGTCAGCCACAAGTAAGCAAACTGCAAACTTACATTTATAGAATCTGGCCTTTTTTATTTTCTCTCCTGACTAGTGGGTAGCTACTCTCTGAGAATAACTTTCTATCCTTTTGTCTTAACTCAGGTAGGAGATATCTCTTCTCTTTATGCTTTCAAGTAGGTAAGCCCAGTAGGGTTATTTGTGGATTTACAGTCTTTTAAAACTTCCTTCACCAGACCTAGAATAAATTATGCTATGATTTTTACGATCCCTCTTAGAAGAGAAAACAAGTCTTTTCCCCTCTACCCTCCTAGGTGCAATGGCTGGGGCCCCTGGATCAAACTGATAAAAGACAGATGAACAAGAGAGTTAAACTACAGAGGTTCACACACAAAATTGTGACTCATGGAAGCAGCAGATGATTGAAGCTTTTGTACCATTTTAGGCTGATATGGTTAAGCTTTGTGCCCCCACCCAAATCTCAACTTGAATTATAATCCCCATAATCCCCATGTGTCAAGGGAGAGACCAGGTGGAGGTAACTGAATCATGGGGGGTGGATTCCCCCATGCCGTTCTCATGATAGTGAATGAGTTCTCACAAGATCTGATGGTTTTATAAGGGGCTCTTTCCCCTTCACTCCCAATCCTCCTTCCTGCCTCCTTGTGAAGAAGGTGCCTTGCTTCCCCTTTGCCTTCCGCCATGATTGTAAAGTGTCCTGAGGCCTCCCCAGCCATGCTGAACTGTGAGTAAATTAAATCTCTTTCCTTTATAAATTACCCAGTCTCAGTTATGTCTTTATAGCAGTATGAAAATGGACTAATACATAGGCTAAATGAAAGAAAAGGGGTTTTGAGGACAGGCATGGTGGCTCATGCCTGTAATCCTAGCACTTTGGGAGGCAGAGGCGGGTGGATCACTTGAGGCCAGGAGTTTGAGACCAGCCTCATCAACATGGAAAAACCTCATCTCTACTAAAAATACAGAAATTAGCTGGGCATGGTTGTGCATGCCTGTAATCCCAGCTACTTGAGAGGCAGAGACACGAGAATCTCTTGAACCTGGGAGGCAGAGGTTGCAGTGAGCTGAGATCGCACCACTGCACTCCAGCCTGGGTGACAGAGCAAGACTCTGTCTAAAACAAAACAAAACAAAACAAAAACAAAGAAAAAGGGTTTGGGGCTTTTGGGCAAGAGAGACAAGTTATGGGAAGATGAGAGGAGGCAATGGATGATAAATAAGGGTTGTCTTGTTATGCAGATAAGAGGCTTTCAGGTGACAAGAGTTGTCTCCTGAAGAGTAGCTCCCTTCCTGGTAAGATACATCTTTACAAATGGAAATTTCCATTACAAATATACATTTCTTTTATAAAAATGTAAATCTATATTTTATTTTTAGGTAGTTAGGAGAAGGTAAAGAGCTTTTCTTGCCTGTATTGATTCTCAATTGCCTTTAGCTCAAAATTATCCTTATGCCAAAGCGGCATAATTTTGGGTGGCATATTCTGGTACCTTTCACTCCCCACATCCCACATCCCCATACACTGCTCTGAACATCCTTAAGTAGATACATCATGGTCAGAACAAAAACCATCAACTGTCATGATATTAAGTATTTTAGAAAAGTTAGGTGTGTGTGTGTGTGTGTGTGTGTGTGTGTAGGGTGAGTGAATAGGAGAGAGTTATTCATGAAAGATCACTGAGCCAGGATTAAGAAAGCATGCTTTCCCTACAGAGACTACCAGTGTGTTATTATGTGAACTCAGGCTAATGATTTAATTTCTTAGTTCATTTATTTCTCTTATTAAAATCGGAACTGACTATGCCTTTCTGCAAACTAGTTAACTGTACTTGCTACAGCACTAAGCACAAATAAATCACTCATTAATACCTGTAGGTTAATGGAGTGATCCATGGGGAAGTTACATGTGGAAATGATGAGGGCATTTTAAATCCCTAGGATAAAAGCTTCCACTGCATTTAATGTAAGGTACTATACCTCACCATAGTACTGTCTTCAGAATCTTATATTTTTAGCATTTTAGTAATGAAACCTCTAAGAATGAGAGTCATGTTCTTTTCAACATTTTAGCATTTCAGTCTAATATGGAAGCACTATACTCAGGAGTCAGCTTAGGAGACCTGTGCAAAGAAAGTCGGACACTGAGATGCTTTTATGCTCTGCTTTAGAAACATATCTCATAGCGAGATAAAGTAATAACAGTAATTTCCTTGTGTGACTCATAAACTGATCCTGGAGGCAGTTGCAAGAAAGAGTTCTACATATTGCTAGAATAACTGCATAGCTTCTGTAACCATATTTACTGGACCCCAAATCACAACACATAGTTTGACCAAGGATTTTTCCTGATTTATAAATATCTGTGAAAAGTCTTACAAAATTATTAAGATTAAGTAATATCTCACTCTACCTTTAACTAATCACCTTTATTGAGAATAATAAAATTATAGAACATCTGGATTGTCTGTCCTGGACAATTTGGAACTGATAATTACCATGTGTACAGCCAAAATGATTATCTTGAAGAGGACAAAATTCCTTTAAATGCAATTAGGCTTGCATATTTATTTAAACACTAGTCTTACTCTCTTACAGTCATACCTTGTATTAAAGTATATAAGATGCCCTAAAAAGAGAATAATCACCAAATGAATCTATTGCTTTCTTCCCCTGAGTTAACAGATTGCTACAATAGGTAATAATTCCATGTTCCTCTGTATTAGAAAAAGGTAGTTACTAATAGACAATGGTACAGTTGTTATTTAACCACACCTATATAATCAGACAAAATGGCTCAGTGTACATCTCTCATTTGGCATAATAGTGATCTTTGTCACTGAACTTTAGATATATCAAATGATATATCTAATTTATTTTTAGGAAATAGATATCTTGATTTTCCCTTGATATTTACATAGCTATGGGAGACCATTATCCCTGGGATAATACTTCTTTTTTAACTGCCAATTTCTTAAAAATAACAAATGCATCTCCCGGCCCTTTTAAGTTTCTTATTTTGGAGGTCAGAATTCAGCTTTTCTTTTTGTTATAGTCAGCATGTTAGATATTTTTGCCTCTAAGGAGTTTCAGCTTCTCCATATCCCCTTGTGGTCTCCATGTGTACTATACTAGGTTTCTTATTTTCAGTGAGTTGAAATCACTGCTGCTGGACATGCCAATTCTTTTCTCTCACTGTGAACGAGCCTCAAGCTTGAGGAAGGTAGAGCATGGATGAGTGGCAATTCACAAGCCAGAAGAACCTATCTGGGCCTGCTTCCACCACCTTGGTGCTTGCCAAATTCTCAGGCCCCTCAGAGGTAGGCCCCATAACTACCGAATTGGCCAATGTTTGGGAGTTTTCCCAGATTTAATTTGAATGACGGGCCACTTTCCACAAATACACAGTACCAGCAGGCTGATCAAAGACATTATCCTCTCTAGTCCTTTTAAGATTAAAGAGATTCAGTTTGTATCCAAATGATGAGTGCCTTCCAAAATAGATGGCTATGAGTAGAAGAGTGGGAAAAAATCTCATTATTATTTAGTTCTTTGTGATTACTTTTAGCCAAAATAGAACTGACAGCCTTGGAAATACTACTAGAAGCATAAATTAGGCAACATATCTTATTATCATACAAACTTAGTATTATGCTGATATTACAACACTGCCAATCAGATTGGAAACTCAGTTCTCACCTAGTGTGTAGAAAGGAACATTATTTTTTTTGTTGTGAATCTCTCTTCTGTAATGTTCGGAAAAATCCAGGAGGTACTCTTTTCAGTTCTTTTGGCTACATCTCTCTATCCTATTCTAAAGCCACCTCTCAAAGAGCATTGCAAGGGGCCTCCTCAGAAAAAAGGAGAGGGTGTACTCTGAGACTGTGTTGCCATATCAACTCAAGATAATTTGAAAATGAAAACCAAACAAACAAAGCAGGATAGGGTTTGCGTGTTGGTGGTCATGTTGAGGCTTTGTAGGGGCCAAAGAGGGAAGTTCTCCTTTGCCCTATGAGGGTTTCCTGAAAATCACTGACAAGAGGCAGGTGAATATGAGAAAAGGCATACAAATTTATTTAATATACATGTATGAGAGCCTTCAGAATGAAGACCCAAAGATACAGGGCAAATTGTCCATTTTTATGCTTAGGTTCAACAAACTATGGATAGCCATGTAGATGTATGATTGGATAAAAAGGGCATGATCTAATGCTAATAGACTGAGTGGGGAAACCAAGGAAGGCCTGTCTGTCTAGCTTCTTCTTGGCTTCTCTGAGCAAGCATTCCTTCCTTCTGGGTGTCGGGCAGGGCCCTCTCTGGAATGGGGATCTTAGGACCTATGGTCAAACAAGGTAAGTCAGATGATTTCTTTATGGCCAGCTTTTACACAGAAAGGCGGAGGGAAAATTAGAGTAGCATTTTTAGGTTTTATGACTGGCTTTCAGGAAAAGAGGTTATGGTTTTTCTGACCCTCCTTGGGGAAGAGGGATTCTAGTTTCTATGGCTAGCCTTGAGGGAGAAGGGGACAGAGAGACAGGAGAGCAGGACAAAGTCAGAGAAAAACTTCTGCTTCTGAGGATGCTGCTGAGGCCTTCATTTTGGGGTATTGTTTTCTGAGCCCAAATCACTTCAAATGCTCCACTTCAACCTTCATCAAATCCACCAGCTTCATTCATTTTTTTTTCAACATATGTTTTTCCAGTATATTTAAACAATCAAACTTGATGGATAGTTTGCATTCTTTTCTGGACCCTAATTTCCTTGCTTCCAAATTTGCAAGAAGCTAGAACTGACTGATAGGGGTAAGACTGAATAGAAAAACACTATTTGTCAATAAAATTGCTGTATATATACCATACTTCTACTAAATACTGCACTCAAACACTGAATCCTTGATATAAAATGTTCTCAGGCTGCATAGTGTTTTGAACCCTGAGGTTGTGTGCATGAGTATCCAAAAATGCTTGCAATGTCAAATAATTTTGTAATCCTCCCTAGGTAGATCCAGAGAGTAACCGGTTAATAGGTGGGTGGCACAATGTGTCAGTTGAAGGAGACAGCTGAGCTGTAGAAGCTGTGTGGTGTCATTAATAAGAGAACATGGACTTTTGACTCAGACAGCTGGCCTGTGGCAAGTTATTTAACGTGTCTGTGAGGCAGTTTCTTTAGATGGAAAACACATATCATTGCTGCTTCGAAGGGCCACATAGAAGATTAATATAGGAAGTGTTTACAAAATATCTAGCACTGTGCTTGGAACATACTGGGTGTTCAAGAAAAGGTGCTTGTTATCTGAAAACCAAGGCTCTAGAAAACTTTAATATGCGCTTATTTAAAACAAATACAATTTTTATTTTCTAAGGGTGCTCAGGTTATACGACTATATTTGATATGAAAAATAACCCTGTTATATAGGAAATGTACTTATTATATTCTCATTTACAAGTGACAAAACTGAGAGCCCAAAATGTATGCAACTTTCCCAAAGTAATCCAGTTAGCAAGTGGGAGACAGGACTAAAATGTGGGTGTTTTTGCTCCCAGTCAAGTGCTGTCTCAATGGTACAGAAGACTCATGAGTTCAGAGGAATGAAAATACAAGGGAGAAAGGAAAAAAAAACAATTATAATGGAAGATAAATCAGTTATTTATAATCATTTTGTATTTTTCAAAGAAGCGTTGATCCTAAGGAGGGTCCTTTGGAAATATTTACAGTATTATTCGTGAAGCTAAAAGAATAAGAAAAAACTAAATTGCTCTGCATAAGAAAAGGGCAAACTCTTAGAAGTAGAATGTGCTTGATTTAGGAGGCCAAAGCCAGTAGGGCAGGCCAGATGTGGGTGCTGGTAGTTGAAGGAAAACTTTGGAGGAAAAGGAGAGATGCCTCATTGATATGTTTTTCTTCTTTTTTTAAAAAACAAATTATTTATTTAGGTTTTATTTTTTTAATTGATGCATTGTAATTGTACATGTATATGCGGTAAAATTTGATGTTTCCATACCTATCTATGTTTTATAATGATCAATTCAGGGTATTTAGTGTATTCATCACCTCATGCATTTATCATTTTGAATTTTTTAAATAATTTTGTTTTTTGGGTGTGATATAACCCTAAATTCACTCTCCTAACAAATCATTAGCAAAATATTAATTTCTTAATAATGGTAGGAGAGTAGATTTTCTTTGTCAGGCTGAAGAAAATGCCAAGATATATTGCAGAGTTAGTTGGAATAATTTCTATCTTCTTTCCATACCAGTCACATCTAACTTGCAAATCAGTAGATTGCCATCTTTTAACCTTTCAAGAAAATTAAGAGTATTTTAAATGCCTTTGTATGTTCTCTAGCAGAAAGCCTCCATAAATTCTAATATGCACAATGGCTAAACCAGTGATATGAAGGAGTGAGGCAGGCTGAGTGGAGGGTGTATGCTTCATCCAAAGGGGACTGCCTCAACTCAGACCAGGCAGATGGCTTCTGTACGGAACTGAGTGTTGCCAGATCTTCTGATTTTCTTCAAAAGCAAAGAAACAAACCGATGATCTGAATTTTTACGTGAAATTTTCTGATTTTAAAATATCTACCATGTTTTAAAAACAAAATGAAATAAATGAGCAAACAGAAAACATTGTACTGGCCAAAGGAAATAATCTACAAGCTGGATCTGCCTCTGGACCACCTGTTTGCAACTTCTGCCAGCAGTCCCAATACTTCCACATGCTACAAATTAAATGTGAAAAGCACTGGTATACGTACATCCTAAACACCCCAGGCTAAGGATTTAATAAGTAATTGTATAACCTATCCTCTCTGTACCTAAATTCCCTCATCTGGAAAATTGGAAAAATCATTGTGCTTTCCTTATACGATTGTTGTAAGGATTAAATATATTAGTGCATTACTCTCTTCATTCACCTCTCGTCCGTCTTCTACAATCACTCAAAGTCTGAATTTACCTCTAGTTAATCTCTAAGCAATAGTTACATGGCTAACCAACAGTAACTAGATGCAAATGGGAACAGTCTTTATGCCTTTTTCTTTTTAATGCTTTCCTTTACTCCCCAGTGCTGGTCAAGACCTAAGTTATGGTTTTGACTAGTACCATGTCTCTCCAAATCTTCCTAAGGCCACAGGTAAATTTCTAACTGAGCTGCAGCAGAGGGTTTCTTGCTAGTGTTCCTATTACATAATGCTATGAAAAAGAGCTTTTTGCAGGCACTGCTTTAATCTCACTGCTTTAGAACTAAAAATTCAATATTTGTTCTTCAGCCACTACTTAAAACCAAGCCACTTTTGTGGTTTTCAGATTTTTGAAAAACACAAGTGGCTTGGTCTTAATTAGCAGCTTACAAAAATAAATGCTCACATGAATTCAAATAACACCAGTCAAATCCACCCAACCACATATAACTACTGCATTTTACTTGCTGTATAAACAATCTGCTTCTATCACACATTATTGTGTTGTAGACATTTTTCTAGTCAGTGAATTTCACTCAATAAATAAAAACAGCATAATATGTAAATAGGTTTCTAACCTTCTCTTATGTCATGATTTATTTAACCAAACATCTATAAATAAGCATTTAGGTAGTCCCATTTCTTTGCATTTTTAAGCAATGTAAGGGCTACTATTTTTATATATAATTTTTTTTCCTGATAATTATTTTCTGGAGCTATATTTCTAGAAAAGGAATTGCTTCATGAGTATTTATACATAGGTTAAATTTTTATACTTGCTGAAACATTGCTTCCTGGAAAATATATTTTGTAACTCCAAGAGGGCAAGAATGACTGTATACTTTTCTATATTCTCACCAATACTGGATATTGTAATTTTCCCTGTTAGGAGTTTATCTTTGCAAGGCTTATAAAAGACAAATGATATCTCATTGCTGGTTTTTTGTTCGGATTTTTTTGTTTGTTTTGGTTTGTTTTTTGCATTTCTTCAATTATTTGGTCAAATATCTTTTCCCATTATTTCAGCAAAATTTTTTTTGGTTTTAATTATGAATTGTCTGTCCCTGCTCTCTGCAAACATTTCTATTAGAACATTCATCTTTTCCTTGTTTATTTATAAGGATGCCTTTTATTAAATCCACTGTTTGACATATATATATTACAACTATTTATGCAAATATATTTCCTTTTGTCAATTTTCCATCAATTTATGGGAAGCATGTTGCTTGAAGAATAGTGACTATCATAATAAGTAAAAATCAACATTATAGCCTTTATATAGCCATTATAGGCACTGTTCTAAGTTAATTACATGGATTCACTCATAATCCTGTCTACAAACCTACTATGATTATTTTTATTTTCAGATGAGGAAATTGAAGTGCAAGGAAGGTAGGTGACTTGACCAAGGTTTTATAGCGACTCTGCTGGACTTGAAACAAAATGATCTGGAAACACTCCATGCTCTTAAGCACTTTCAAAGATAAAGCCAGACATCACTAAAATGGTAAGGGCAGATTTTTTTCAGTAGTACTATTGCAGTGGGGAAAAGAGTGAGCTGAACTTTACCCATCTTTTGATTGTATTATTAGATTTTTTTTCCTATAGACTTGTGTGAGCTCCTTATATATTTGGGTTATTAGATCCTGACAGATAGGTAGTTTGAAAATATTCTCTCCTGTTCTGTGGGGTTTTTTCTCATTGTTGATTGTATCCTTTGCTGTGCAGATGCTAACTTGAAGTGATCTCATTTATATTTACTTATACATATCAAATATATGGAAAATTGTATATCTCAAATCTCAGTATTTAAGGTGTTGAGTTTTTGTTTGTTTGTTTGTCTGTTTGTTTTCAGAGACAGGGTCTGACTCTTGTTGCCCAGGCTGGAGTGCAGTGGTGCTATTCTAGCTCACTGCAACCTCAAACTCCTGGGTTCAAGTGATCCTCCTGCCTCAGCCTCCTGAGTTGCTGAGACTACAGGTGCATGCCACAACACATGGCTGATTTTTAAAAGTTTTTGTAGAGATGGGGTTTCACTTTGTTGTCCAAGCTAGTCTCAGGCTTCTGGCATCAAGCAATCCTCCCATCTTGGTCCCCCAAATTACTGGGATTACAGGCACGTGCTACTGTGCCTAAGATTCTTTTCATTTTTTGTTGGCTTGATTGATTAATAACAGTGAAATATATGTGTTAAAGCCACTAAACACTATTATATATTTTTTCTCTTTTCTATTTTCTTTTAAACACCAGTACATATTTTTTATCTCTTTATTCTTAGAATTTTAAAATTTGTGTTTGGAACCAATATGAACTCCACAAATGTAGTGTGTAGATGAAGTTAAATATCTTTCATTTAGTTACTGGAATCCCACACATTTGATCAGCAGCAGACCTACTATTAACTGATGGTACCTCCATTCCTTAAGTGTATAAAAGCTCCAAGGACCTTACTTAGTTCAGCCCCAAAAATCAAATTAGGAAAATGAAAGGATTACTGATTGGGCCACTATTTCCATTGCCTTTTATTGCCACAAAATTATAATGCATAGGGTTGTTCCTCTAATTATAAGTAGACGTTTGTACAGTGGCTTAAGAAAAGTAATTATTACTGAAATATTTAACATTAATTGAGTGCTTACTATAACTGATGAAAACTGTAATACACACTTTACATCAAATGAATCCAATATCTGAACAGCCACTGTATAAAAACACCATATTACTATTTGAATTCTAAGCTCAACCAAAAAGGCCAGGCATATAGGGTTTTAAGTTTACAGATCTTAATGCCCAGCTCTTAGATTTCATAAGCCCAGACACCATTCAGAGCATCAGCATGTTCTGGGAAAAATATGTCTGGACTGTTTCCAGTCCCTGTTCTTTCATGGACCTAGAACTGCTTTCCCCTTTGAAGATCCACCCTAAGGAATCATGTAGGTTCGTTTTTAGGCCTTCAAAGGTATCAAAGATAGTGGAGTACAGGTATTTCTACCTTATTCTCCTCCTTGAAATTAATTACATACACAAAAAAGAAAGACAAAAAACATATTTATAGCAGAGAATGTGTCACATCTAGAACATATAAAACAAAAACCTTCTATTATATGAATTTTAAAAGAAGCAGTTTATTTGAAATACTATTTCAAAGAAAATATTTAAGGGTTCCAAAAGGACAAGATAAGAAAACAGGAGGACTTAAGTTACAAGCTGGTAGAGAACAGGAAAAAAAGAAAGAAACAAATAAAAATGATTGTTTTTTTTTTTTTTTGCTGCTTCTTATCTAGCTTTTATTTTAAGCCTCTTATCTAACTTAAAATAAAAGCTAGATAAGGAGCAGCAAAAAAGAAAAAAAAACTATAGCTGAAAACATAGTTAAGGATGTGGAAGACTAGAACAAGGAGAATGAACAAATCAAATGAAAAAGATTTTTAAAAATGTAAAGTTTCTGTGGACATGATAGCTAATTACGACAATTGAATTACACCATACACATAATTTTTGTACCTGAGAGTACAAAAATATATTTATAAAATATAAAAAATAATATAATCAAAACTTCCAGAGACACAGGAATGACCAGGTCTTGAATTAAATGCATATTTCCATCATATAGTATTAAATGATAAGAGTCTATTAGGAGCACAAAAAGGGTGTGTGTGTGTGTGTGTGTGTGTGTGTGTGTATGTATTAAGGGGGGTTACTTCTGGTACTGGAAAACAGGAGTAGGAGGTAAACTCATTCTTATTGTATACGCTGTCAAACTGTTTGAAAATGTAACTACTTTGTGTGTTATTTTTATAATATTAATACCAAAATATCCCTAAATGTTAATTATGTCCCTCTTCCCTGCACATGAAAGTGACTAGTTTTTTGGGTTTGGGAGTTTTTTAATTAAAAAAAATTATAGCAAAGCTACCCTTAAGGGTTTGAATCTGATTTATCCTCATAAAGAGAATCTCATATTGGGATAAATTGAAATTCACTTCAATTTCCGGGTGCAGGCCTGAGGAAGTGGACTAGCACCTATTGAGGGAAGACATGAAGCCTTTCTGGATCTTTATCCTCTCTCTTCCTTATGGAACAATAGCCTTAAGCTACCAAAGCAACAGGACCAAATTCTGTTATACGCAGGCCACAGTTGAAGACCGATTGGGTCTCAGGGAATGGAATGGAAAAAAGCGAAAACAAAAAACCAAAATAAAGCAACAACAACAAGAGTATCTTTGAAGTAGGAATAAGAACGTATCCTGGGCCCAAATTATGACAGATAACCTGTTGCCAGCAGAAGGAACAGGATCACTGAAATAACCCGTCTCCCAAACGCAGGAGCACAGTACCAAACTAAGACTGAGGATGGACCAGAAGATCAGAGAATATCTCCCTGCCCCACACCAACAGGTTTCCCATTGTTAAACACCAAGCTAATGCCACCAATCAATCATCTGGTGTTGCTAGGTGTTACCAATCTAGTAATACCAATCTAATGTTAGTACAGAGGCAAGAGCAAGACAGACTCTCTGAGGCAAAGGTGCAAACAGAAGATATAAACCTGAGGATGGAACAAACATTGAAAGAAAAAAAATCAGTACACCAACCCCAACCTAAGCAGAAGATAACACCAGAAGATTTGGAGATTGGAGCACTGAGGGTGCATGATGACAAAACCCAAATCTAGCTCAACTAAAAGCCTGGAAAAAGAATAGGCATGCTCACTTCAAGTCATAAACTATTTATTCTAATTTCTATCGCCTGACATAAAATGTCTGGTTTTCAACCGAAATACACACAATATACAAACAGGTTAAGGAAAACATAATGTCAAACATAAAACAACCAATAGAACTAGATGGAAATGTGACTTAGGTGTTGGAACAAACAGACAAAGAATTTAAAATACTTATGAATAACATATTAAATGCTCTATTTCAGGGGTGAGCATACTTTTTCTGTAAATGGCCATGTAGGCCTTTTGGCCCCTATGGTCTCTGTCACAACTACTCAATTCAGCCATTGTAGCACAGAAGCAGCCACAGGCAATACATAAATAAAAAGACATGGCTACGTCCCAATACAATTTTATTTGCAAAAACAGGTGGTGGTCTTCAGTTTGCCAATTCCTATTCTAGTAGACAAGGTGGATGAATAAATAGAGGGTTTTAGTAGAGAGATGAAAACTACAAAAAAGGATCAAGTGAAAATGCTAGAAATGAAAAATACAATCAAAGATATAAAAATATTTTCAATAAACTCATCACTAGACTAGTCACAGTTAAAGAACAAATTCAGTGAACTTGAAGATCGGTCAATAAAAATTCACCAAACAGAAAAAAAGACTTACAATGATCAGTTAACTAACCAACCAAACAAAAAACCTGCAGAGCATCTAAGAGCTTTGGGATAGTGGGACAATATCAAATGGTCTAACATTTTTGCAATTGGAATCTTTTTTTGTGCTTTGTAGTTTTTTTTTTTTTGGCAGCTTATAAAATTATATCTTTTTTTAATTTTTAATTTTTGTGGTTACATAGTAGCTATATATATTTATGGGTGCAACCAGAATCTTGGAAAGAAACTGGAGAGAGAATGTGGCAGAAAAATATTTGAAGAGATAATGGCCAAATGTTTTCCAAACATAAAATCACCAATCCGCACATCCAAGAAACTCAGAGAACATGAAGCAAAATAAATACCAACAAAGAACACACCACAATCAAACCTGAAAACCAAAGATGAAGAGAAAATCATGGCAGCCAGAGAAAAATGATACATACAGGAAGAGAATAACATATCAGATTTCTAGTCACAAACAATCCAAGGCTGAAGCCATTGTAAAGACATTTGTAAAGTGATAAAAAAGAAAATGACAATCAAGGATTCTATGCCAAATAAAATAACTTTCACAAAGACAGGAAAAATAAAGATTTTTTTTTCAGACAGACAAAAACTAAAAAAATCCATTGCCAGCACAATTATACTATAAAAAATTTTAAAGAAAATTCTTTAGGTAGAGCAATATGACACTAGATAGAGCAAACAGATAAAATATTAGAATTAACAAATGATCCACAAAGGTCCCTGGATCAAAAACCAATATAAAAAACTCTCTCTCACACACACACCAACATTAAAACTAAAAGTTTTTAAAAATCATTAATATAGTCCAAAAATCAAATGCTAGGAATAGATTTAACAAAAATTGTGCACAGCATCAACAGAGAACTATGAAACATTATACAAATTAAACAAGGCATGACCAGATTAAATGATAAATCTTGTTCTTGGATTGAAAAATTTAATATTCTAAAAATATAATTTTTAAAAAAAATCCATAGTTTCAATGCAATCCCAATTAAAGTGTCAAAAGTTATTTTCGTGTGTGGATATAGAGAAACTAACGAAAAAATTACATGGAAATAAGAAAGAATAATAACAGCTAAAACAATCTTAAACACAGGTCTGAGATTATACTCTGTGGAACATTAAGGTTTATTACAAAACTACATTAATTAAACCATTGAGGCATTAGTGCAAAACTATACAATGGCATAAAATGTAACAATCTAGAAACAGACCTGTGCATATTTATATATTTAAAGGTAGCACTAAACCCCAGTCTGCAAAGGGCTGTCTTTTAAATAAGATGGTGCTAGGAAATTTAGATTTCTACCTTGGAAATGAAATGAATGTTGATCTCTACTACACAACACAAAATACATTCCAAATGTATCGCAGCCTTAAATATGGAAGGTAAAACAATGAGGTTTCTAGTAGATGACATAATAGAATTACTTCATGATGTTAGGAGAGGAAAAGAATTATTAAAAAGGACACAAAACTTATTAACACTAAAGAAAATAAGTGATAGAGGCCAGGCACGGTGGCTCATGCCTGTAATCCCAGGACTTTGGGAGGCCGAGGCAGGTGGATCACTGGACGCCAGGAGTTCGAGACCAGCCTGCCCAACATGGTGAAACCCCGTCTCTACCAAAAAATACAAAAATTAGCCAGACGTGATGGCACATGCCTGTAATCCCAGCTACTTGGGAGGCAGAGGCAGGAGAATCGCTAGAACCTGGGAGGCGGAGGTTGCAGTGAGCCGAGATTGCACCACTGCAGTCCAGCCTGGTGACAAAGTGAGACTCTGTCTCAAAAAAAAAAAATTGATAAACTGGAATTCATTAAAATTAAGACTATCTCTTCCTCTAAGTGCCACCTACATTAGGTATTTCTCCTAATGTTATCCCTCCCCTAGACCCCCACCCCCACACAGACCCCGCTGTGTGATGTTCCCCTCCCTATGTCCATGTGTTTTCATTGTTCAACTCCCACTGATGAGTGGGAACATGCAGTGTTTGGTTTTCTGTTCTTGTGATAGTTTGCTGAGAATGATGGTTTCCAGCTTCATCCACCTCCCAGTAAAGGACGTGAACTCATCCTTTTTTATGGTTGCATAGCATTCCATGGTGTATATGTGCCACATTTTCTTTATTCAGTCTATCATTGGTGGACATTTGGGTTGGTTTCAAGTCTTTGCTATTGTGAATAGTGCCGCAATAAACATACGTGTGCATGTATCTTTATAGTAAAATGATTTATAATCCTTTGGGTATATGCCCAGTAATGGGATGGCTGGGTCAAATGTCATTTCTAGTTCTAGATTCTTGAGGAATCGCCACACTGTCTTCCGCAATGGTTGAACTAATTTATACTCCCATCAACCAGTGTAAAAATGTTCCTATTTCTCCACATTCTCTCCAGCATCTGTTGCTTCCTGACTTTTTAATGATCGCCATTCTAACTGGCATGAGATGGTATCTCATTGTGGTTTTGATTTGCATTTCTCTAATGACCAGTAATGATGAACTTTTTTCATGTCTGTTGGCTGCATAAATGTCTTCTTTTGAGAAGTGTCTGTTCATATCCTTGGCCCAGTTTTTGATGAGGTTGTTTGTTTTTTTCTTGTAAATTTGTTTAAGTTCTTTACAGATTGTGGATATTAGCCCTTTGTCAGATGGATAGATTGCAAAAATTTTCTCCCATTCTGTAGGTTGCCTGTTCACTCTGATGATAGTTTCTTTTGCTGTGCAGAAGCTCTTTAGTTTAACTAGATCCCATTTGTCAATTTTGGCTTTTGTTGCCATTGCTTTTAGTGTTTTAGACATGAAGTCTTCGCTCATGCCTATGTCCTGAATCGTATTGCCCAGGTTTTCTTCTAGGATTTTTATGGTCCTAGGTCTTACGTTTAAGTCTTTGATCCATCGTGAGTTGATTTTTGTATAAGGTGTAAGGAAGGGCTCCAGTTTCAGTTTTCTGCATATGGCTAGCCAGTTTTCCCAACACCGTTTATTAAATAGGGAATCTTTTCCCCATTGCTTGCTTGTGTCAGGTTTGTCAAAGATCAGATGGTTGTAGATGTGTGGTGTTATTTCTGAGGTCTCTGCTCTGTTCCATTGGTCTATATATCTGTTTCAGTACCAGTACTATGTTGTTTTGGTTACTGTAGCCTTGTAGTATAGTTTGAAGTCAGGCAGCATGATGCCTTCAGCTTCATTCTTCTTGCCCAGGATTGTCTTGGCTATGTGGGCTCTTTTTTGGTTCCATATGAAGTTTAAAGTAGTTTTTTCCAATTCTGTGAAGAAAGTCATTGGTAGCTTGATGCGGATAGCATTGAATCTATACACTACTTTGGGCAGTATGGCCATTTTCATGATATCAATTCTTTTTATCCATGAGCATGGACTGTTTTTCCATTTGTTTGTGTCCTTGAGTAGTGGTTTGTAGTTCTCCTAAAAGAGGTCCTTCACATCTCTTGTAAGTTGTATTCTTAGTTATTTTATTCTCTTTGTAGCAATTGTGAATGGGGGTTCACTCAGGATTTGGCTCTCTGTCTGTTATTGGTGTATAGGAATTCTTGTGGTTTTTGCACATTGATTTTGTATCCTGAGACTTTGCTGAAGTTGCTTATCAGCTTAAGGAGATTTTGGGCTGAGACGATGGGGTTTTCTAAATATACGATCATGTCATCTGCAAAGAGAGACAATTTGACTTCCTGTCTTCCTATTTGAATACCCTTTATTTCTTTCTCTTGCCTGATTGCCCTGACCAAAACTTCCAATACTATGTTGAATAGGAGTGGTGAGAGAGGGCATCCCTGTCTTGTGCCAGTTTTCAAAGGGAATGTTTCCAGTTTTTGCCCATTCAGTATGATATTGGCTGTGGGTTTGTCATACATAGCTCTTATTATTTTGAGATACGTTCCATGAATACCTATTTTATTGAGAGTTTTTAACATGAAGGGGTGTTGAATTTTGTCAAAGGCCTTTTCTGCATCTATTGAGATAATCATGTGGTTTTCATCATTGGTTCTGTTTATGTGATGGATTACGTTTATTGATTTGTGTATGTTGAACCAGTCTTGCATCCCAGAGATGAAGCTGACTTGATCGTGGTGGATAAGCTTTTTGATGTGGTGCTGGATTTGGTTTGCCAATATTTTATTGACGATTTTTGCGTTGATGTTCATCAGGGATATTGAGCTGAAATTTTCTTTTTTTTGTTGTATCTCTGCCAGGTTTTGGTATCAGGATGATGCTGGCCTCATAAAATGAGTTAGGGAGGATTCCCTCTTTTTCTATTGTTTGGAATCGTTTCAGAAGGAATGGTACCAGCTCCTCTTTGTACCTCTAGTAGAATTTGGCTGTGAATCCGTCTGGTCCTGGACTTTTTGTTCGGTTGGTAGGCTGTTAATTACTGCCTCAATTTCAGAACTTGTTATTGGTCAATTTAGGGATTTGACTTCTTCCTGGTTTAGACTTGGGAGGGTGTATATGTCCAGGAATGTATCAATTTCTTCTAGTTTTTCTAGTTTATTTGCATAGAGGTGTTTATGGTATTCTCTGATGGTAGTTTGTATTTCTGTGGGATCAGTAGTGATATCCCCTATATCATTTTTTATTGCATCTATTTGATTCTTCTCTCTTTTCTTTTTATTAGTCTGGCTAGCGGTCTATTTTGTTGATCTTTTCCAAACACCAGCTCCTAGATTCATTGCTTTTTTTGAAGGGTTTTTCATGTCTCTACCTCCTTCAGTTCTGCTCTGACCTTAGTTCTTACTTGTCTTCTGCTAGATTTTGAGTTTGTTTGCTGTTACTTCTCTGGTTCTTTTAATTTTGATGTTAGGGTGTCAATTTTAGATCTTTCTTGCTTTCTCTTGTGGGCATTTAGTGCTATAAATTTCCCTCTACACACTCTTTTAAATGTGTCCTAGAGATTCTGGTATGTTGTGTCTTTGTTCTCATTGGTTTCAAAGAACATCTTTATTTCTGCCTTCATTTCGTTATGTACCCAGTAGTCATTCAGGAGCAGGTTGTTCAGTTTCCATGTAGTTGTGTGGTTTTGAGTGAGTTTCTTAATCCTGAGTTCTAATTTGATTGCACTGTGGTCTGAGAGACTCTTTGTTATGATTTCCATTCTTTTGCATTTGCTGAGGAGTGTTTTACTTCCAATTATGTGGTCAATTTTAGAATAAGTGCTATGAGGTGCTGAGAAGAATGTATATTTTGTTGATTTGGGGTGGAGAGTTCTGTAGATGTCTATTAGGTCTGCTTGGTCCAGAGATGAGTTCAAGTCCCAAATATCCTTGTTAATTTTCTGTCGCATTGATCTGTCTAATATTGAGAGTGGAGTGTTAAAGTCTCCTACTCTTATTGTGTGGGGGTCTAAGTCTTTAGGTCTCTAAGAACTTGCTTTATGAATCTGGGTGCTCCTGTATTGGGTGCATATATATTTAGGATAGTTAGCTCTTCTTCCTGCATTGATCCCTTTACCATTATGTAGTGCCCTTCTTTGTCTCTTTTGATCTTTGTTGGTTTAAAGTCTGTTTTATCAGAGACTACGATTGCAACTCCTGCTTTTTTTTTTTTTTTTTTTTGCTTTCCATTTGCTTAGTAAATATTCCTCCATCCCTTTATTTTGAGCCTATGTGTGTCTTTGAACATGAGATGGGTCTCCTGAATACAGCACACTGATGGGTCTTGACTCTTTACCCAATTTGCTAACCTATGTCTTTTGATTGAGACATTTAGCCCGTTTACACTGAAGGATAATATTGTTATATGTGAATTTGATCCTGTCATTATGATGCTAGCTGGTTGTTTTGCCCATTAGTTGATGCAGTTTCTTCATAGTGTCAACGGTCTTTACAATTTGGTATGTTTTGCAGTGGCTGGTACCGGTTGTTTCTTTCCATGTTTAGTGCTTCCTTCAGGAGCTCTTGTAAGGCAGGCCTGGTGGTAACAAAATCTCTCAGCATTTGCTTGTCTGTAAAGGATTTTATGTCTCCTTTGCTTATGAAGCTTAGTTTGGCTGGATATGAAATTCTGGGTTGAAAATTCTTTTCTTTACGAATTTGAATTTTGGCCCCAACTCTCTTCTGGCTTGTAGTGTTTCTGCAGAGAGATCCACTGTTAGTCTGATGGGCTTCTCTTTTTGGATAACTCGACCTTTCTCTCTGGCTGCCCTTAACATTTTTTCCTCATTTCAACGTTGATGAATCTGATTATTATGTGTCTTGGGGTTGCTCTTCTCAAGGAGTATCTTTGTGGTGTTCTCTGTATTTCCTGAATTTGAATGTTGGCCTCTCTTGCTAGGTTGGGGAAGTTCTCCTGGATAATATTCTGAAGAGTGTTTTCCAACTTGGTTCCATTTTCCTTGTCACTTTCAGGTACACCAATTAACTGTAGATTTGGTCTTTTCACATAGTCCCATATTTCTTGGAGGCTTTGTTTATTCCTTTTTATTCTTTTTTCTCTAATCTTGTCTTCTCTGTTTATTTTATTAAATTGATCTTCAATCACTGATATCCTTTCTTCTGCTTGATCAATTGGGCTATTGAAACTTGTGTATGCTTCACGAAGTTCTCGTGCTGTGTTTTTCAGCTCCATGAGGTCATTTATGTTCTTCTCTACACTGGGTATTCTAGTTAGCAATTCCTCTAAGCTTCTTTCAAGGTTCTTAGCATCCTTGCATTGGGTTAGAACATGCTTCTTTAGCTCAGAGGAGTTTGTTATTACCCACCTTCTGAAGCCTACTTCTGTCAATTTGTCAAACTCATTCTCCGTCCAGTTTTGTTCCCTTGCTGGCGAGAAGTTGTGATCCTTTGGAGGAGAAGAGGTGTTCTGGTTTTTGGAATTTTCAGACTTTTAGCGCTGGTTTCTCCCCATCTTTGTGGATTTATCTACCTTTGGTCTTTGATGTTGGTGACCTCGGATGGGGTCTTTGAGTGAACATGCTATTCCCTTCTGTTTGTTAGTTTTCCTTCTGACAGTCAGGCCCCTCTGCTGCCAGTCTGCTGAAGTTTGCTGGAGGTCCACTCCTGACCCTGTTTGCCTGGGTATCACCTGCAGAGGCTGCACAACAGCAAAGATTGCTGCCTGATCTTTCTTCTGAAAGCTTCGTCCCAGAGGGGGCACCTGCCAGATGCCAGCCAGAGCTCTCCTGTATGAGGTGTCTGTCGGCCCCTTTTGGGAGGTGTCTGCCAGTCAGGTACACGGGGGTCAAGGGCACACTTGAGGAGGCAGTCTCACCCTTAGCAGAGCTTGAATGCTGTGCTGGGAGGTCCGCTGCTCTCTTCAGTGCTGTCAGGCAGGGATGTTTAAATCTGCTGAAGCTGCGCCCACAGCCACCCCTTTCCCTAGGTGCTTTTTTCCAGGGAGATGGGGTTTTATCTATAAGTCCCTGACTGGGGCTACTGCCTTTTTTTCGGAGATACCCTCCCCAGAGCTGAGAAATTTGGCAGTCTGGCCACAGCAGCCTTGCTGAGCTGAAGTGGGCTCTGTCCCGTTTGAACTTCCCAGAGGGTTTGTTTACACTGTGAGCATAAAGCCACCTACTTAAGCATTAGCAATGGCGGACGCCCCTCCCCCGACCAAGCTCGAGCATCCCAAGTCCATCTCAGACTGCTGCTGTGCTGGCAGCGAGAATTTCAAGCCAGTGGATCTTAGTTTGCTGGGCTCCATGGGGGTGGGACCCTCCGAGCCACATTACTTGGCTCCCTGGCTTCAGCACCCCTTTCCAGGGGAGTGAACGGTTCTGTCTCACTGGCATTCCAAGTGCCACTGGGGTATGGAAAAAAAGAACTCCTGCAGCTAGTTCAGTGTCTGGCCAAATGGCCGCCTAGTTTTGTGCTTGAAACCCAGGGCCCTGGTGGGGTAGGCACCGGATGGAATCTCCTGGTTTGCGGGTTGTGAAGACCATGGGACAAGCGCAGTATCTGTGCTGAAGTTCCTCAGGCTCAGTCCCTCGCAGCTTCCCTTGGGTAGGGGAGAAAATTCCCCAAGCCCTTGAGCTTCCTGGGTGAGGCGATGGCCCACCCTGCTTTGGCTTGCCTTCCGTGGGCTGCACCCACTGTCCAACCAGTTCCAATGAGATTAACCGGGTACCTCAGTTGGAAACGCAGAAATCACCTGCCTTCTGCTTCAATCTCACTGGGAGATGCAGACCGGAGCTGTTCCTATTCAGTCATCTTGCCAGCAATCGGCTTTTCATATTTTCTTCTGCTTATATTCCACCAAATTACATTGGTCTCTCTATTGCCGATTCTTAGTGTATTGTTTTAATTTCATTCAATGGATTTTATATTTGAATGATATACCTCAGAGTGTGTTATGAGGTTGGGCTACTTTTTAAATCTCAGTCATACTTTAGCTCTCCCCACTTTTTTTTAACCCTTTTAATGTTTTCTTATGGAAGGAAGTGTTATTATGAACCTGAATTTATAACACTTTCTTTTTTGGACTGTACCTTACTCTCAAGTTTGGTAATTTTATGGTAATAATTGGTGTTTCTTTTGTCTGTAGATAAAGTAAAATTTTCTTGGCTACTGCTTTTGAATAGTCCCTCCAATATTTAGATGTTCCTTTGGCATATAATCCTTACTTTAGCTTATACCAAGTAGCTCTAAGTAGTAGAGTAATGAAAGTTGTAAAATATAAAAGAATTTGAGTTGGTCTTTTGATATATTTCTTGTGAAACTTCTCTTTTTTCACATGACTTTGAATTGATACTTTCACAATTTCACATGAGAGTAAACGCTTGTATTCTTGCCCATGTGTCCTTTCTCTGTCTTTATTTACACCATTTAATGGTTTTTGGGGTGATTTTTAGCAAACCAATATAATTGGAACTCATAACCGAACAAATATATTGCTCATTTCATATAGTCACCTTGCAAGACCATACACATACTCTAGCAATGTTGACATTGCTGCAAATCTGAGTGGATTTCAATTTTCGGAGCTGTCATCAGAGCCAGCTGATATATCATGCAAAAAAATAACTTTCATCATCTTGTAATTACACCTCAATTTGGACCTTATTTGGACAAGTAATACAAAATTTGTTTTCTAAACTTTTTTTTTTTTTTTGGACTTGACTTCCGAAGGTAATTTACACCTTCATGCTTTGGGTTCTTACTTCCATTAGCCTTTCCTCCTCTGCCATATAAAGCAGTGATTTTAAGATAAGTGCTTTAATAATAAGTGCACAAAATGGTATGTAACATGCTGTGGAATTTAATGTAAATCACAATATAAATTTTTAATGTTAACAATTATGTTATTTCTACATTAATGGTGTCTTATATAGAGTAATAAATGTGTTCATTGAACCGTTAGAGAGCAGTGTGTTTTTTGTTTCAACTGACAAATACCAAAGAGAGTTTGCATCAAGGGAGAAATTTTCAGATTAGTGTCACAAATTATAGATCTCTGTGTTTCACTTGAAACATATTTGGAGATCCAAGCCAACAAGCCAAAATACCGTGTTTTTCACTGTGCTTAATTCATCTTTCTTTCTTGCCTTTGGGGCTTTTCCACCTTTCTTTTCTGAGATGTCCTCTCTGTATCTGGATGCTTGGGGCTTCTCAAGACAGCACCCCACTTAGAGAATGGAGGCAAATCAAGATTTTTTTCCAAGTCAATTGATTACTTAATTCTGTTTTCAAAGTCTATCTCAGGCAAAATGGTGAAGTATATGGAGTGGATCCTCTGTTCACCTTCACCTCCCCATCGCTTCTGTTGGTCCTCTCAAACAGTCCCCTGTTGTCCCTCCTCTCTTTCTCTATGTCTCTTGCATCTTACTGGATCAAGACAGCACATCAGTTTTAGAGCTTTTTCTACATTTTTCCACCAATCCTATTGCCAATATTTCAGGACAGTTGTTACCTGACAGTGACATTAAATTTACAAGAAAATAAATTCCTACTGCTATGGTTGCTAATATATTTCTCCTCTCATGTAAGAAAAAAACCTAATCCAATAAAAACATTGTTTTAGTTCATTTTATTTTAAAAGACGTTTTATTTTTAATTTATCTGGGTACATAGTAGGTATACATTTTTATGGAGTACAAAGGCTTTATTTTTAATTTATCTGGGTACATAGTAGGTATACATTTTTATGGAGTACATAAGATGTTTTGATATAGGCATGCAATGTGAAATAAGCACATCATGGAGAATGGGGGTATCCATCCCCTCAAGCATTTATCCTTTGAGTTACAAACAATCTTATTATGCTCTTTAAAATGTAGAATTAAGTTATTATTGACTATAGTCTAAATACTAGATCTCATTCATTCTTTCTATTTATTTTGTACCCATTACCCATCCCCACCTTGCCCCCTCAATCCTCCCACTACCTTTCTCAGCCTCTGGTAACCATCCTTCTACTCTGTATGTCCATGAGTTCCATTGTTTTGATTTTTAGACCCCACAAGTAAGTGAGAACATATCATGTTTGTCTTTCTGTGCCTGGCTTATTTCACTTCACATAATGATCTCCAGTTCCATCCATGTTGTTGCAAATGACAGGATCTCATTCTTTTTTATGGCTGAATAGAACTTCATTGTGTATATATACCACATTTTCTTTACCTGCTCATCTATTAATGGACACTTAGTTTGCTTCTAAATCTTAACCGCTGTGAACAGTGCTGCAACAAACAGGAGTGCAGATATCTCTTTGATCTACTGATTTCCTTACTTTTACATATATACTTAGGAGTGGGATTACTGGATTGTATGGTAGCTATATTTATAGTTTTTTGATGAAACTCCAAACTGTTCTCCATAGTAGTTGTACTACCTGACATTCCCACAGACAGTGTACAAGGGTTCCCCTTTCTCCACATCCTTACCAACATTTGTTATTGCTTGCCTTTTGGGTCTAAGCCATTTTAGCTGGGGCGAGATGATATCTAAATGTAGTTTTGATTTGTATTTCTCTCATGATCAGTGATGTTGAGCACCTTTTCATATACCTGTTTGCTATTTGTATGTCTTCTTTTACAGTCAAAACTTCCTTAGGTAAACTCATTCAGGTTGATGAAAATGGTCTTGGACTTTCCAGGATCATGGAAGTAAGACTGGAGAAAAAGGAACCTTTTGAGCTTTTCAAAGCACAGCTTGTGCTTTGAAATAATGCTATGTAATAGCATTATTCCTGATGGATGTACTTGAATAAAACTCCAAAACATCAAGACAATGTATCTGATAGACTTGTAGTTTGGATATAACTATAAGCAGTTGGAGATGAAAAACTTGTGAATATCTTATTACGGTTCTATAAATAATAGCATCATCTTCTCAATGGAAGAAAACAGAACTTTCTTCCTCTTTGGCATTTATGTAAAATGAATGACTTCTACATATGCCAATATATTTTTGTAGTTTATCTTCTGCCATCCACTGAGTCTAATTGAGCTACTTTCACTAACGGTATTATTATAGGCCAATGTGGTATTATGTTCTCTGATTGGGAATTATACCAAAAGAAAAATAGTAATAGCATTCTATGTTAGTGTAGAGCTTTTACAATTTTCAATACCTATCCTCATCTATAACTTCATTCTCTCTTCCAAACACTTCTGCCAGTTAGGGAGCATGAGTATAATCCATACTTTATTGATGAGAAAATTGAAGCACAGAAGCTGTGACTTGTGCGTGAGTGCATAGCTAATTAGCGGCAGAACTGGAATGAGTGTTTTTAAATATTACTGTTGTATACCACACTGCATCTACTGCAAACAAGTAAAACCAGAGGGAAAATGAGAGCAAACTGTTGATTTTTATTTTCTTTTTCCATTTAAAGTCAGAGCACTCATCATAATAATATCAATAATCAGTACTTTTGGGCTGTTCTCATCTATCCAAAAGTAGGAATATATTAAACACCTACTGTTTGTCCAGCATGGCTTAGAGATTCATGAAGGCTAATGCTGTCACCAACTGGTGACCAGAGAAAGTTCAGAAGCTCTTCCTATAATCCTTATTTACTTTCACAAAGTGACTAGGGATGGGAAGAATAGGATAATTACTCAATACTAAGACAATTGCATTTTCCTATAAACTGGTTCTAATTGTCACAGCCAAGGTTCCACCTTTATCTATTTTATAATAAATAACACTAATATTATTAAGTTGTTATATAGTGGAGTATTTTACTTTAAAAATACTTCAGTATATACAGTGTAGTATAAACGTGCACAATTAAGACAATTTCACTGTAGGGATAGTTAATTAGCATTTAAAGTACTTTAAATTGGCTGAAACTACAACAATTCTAGAAGATAACATTGGAAAAACCCTTCTAGATATTGGCTTAGGCAAGGATTTAATGACCAAGAACCCAAAAGCAAATGCAATAAAAACAAAGACAAATAGCTGGTACCTAATCAAACTAAAGAGCTTTTGCACGGCAAAAGGAACAGTCAACAGAGTATACACAAAACCCACAGAGTGGGAGAAAATCTTCACTATCTATACATCTGACAAAGGACTAATATCCAGAATCTACAACGAACGCAAACAAATCAGTAAGAAAAAAAACAAACAATCCCATCAAAAAGTGGGCTAAGGACATGAATAGACAATTCTCAAAAAAGATATACAGATGGCCAACAAACATATGAAAAAATGCTCAACATCACTAATGGTCAGGGAAATGCAAATCAAAACCACAATGCGATATCACCTTACTCCTGCAAGAATGGCCATAATCAAAAAATGAAAAAACAGTAGATGTTGGCATGGATGCAGTGAACAGGGAACACTTCTACACTGCCAGTGGGAATGTAAACTAGTACAGCCAATATGGAAAACAGTGTAGCGGTTCCTTAAATAACTGAAAATAGAACTACCATTTGATCCAGCAATCCCACTAAGGGGTATCTATCCAGAGGAAAAGAAGTCATTTGAAAAAGATAATTGCACACACATGTTTATAGCACCACAATTCACAATTGCAAAATTGTGGAACCAACCCAAATGCCCATCAATCAACTAGTGGAAAAAGAAACTGATATATATATATATATATATATATATGTATATATATATGTAAAGGAATACTATGCAGCCATAAAATGGAATTAATTAACAGCATTTGCAGTGACCTGGATGAGATTGGAGACTATTATTCTAAGTGAAGTAACTCAGGAATGGAAAACCAAACATCGTATGCGCTCACTGATATGTGGGAGCTAAGCTATGAGGACACAAAGGCATAAGAGTGATACAATGGACTTTGGAGACTTGTGGGGAAGAGTAGGAGGGGGGTGAGGGACAAAAGGCTACAAATAGGTGCAGTGTATACTGCTTGGGTGATGGGTGTACCAAACTCTCACAAATCACCGCTAAAGAACTTACTCATGTACTCATGTAACAAAATACCACCTGCAACCCAATAACCCAATAACTTAAGGAAAAAATAAATTAAAAAATAAATAAATATATAAACATAAAAATAAATAAATAAGCAAAGTACTTTAAATTGGAATCCACAAATTAGAAATGGCTACTTAGCATTTCAAATATTATGATCAAAATCCATACTGGAGAATTTGTATTTAGAATAAGAGACATTAGAAATATATTTCATTGATATTCAGGAGAGATGGTTGGTTAGAAAGGCAGTAAGGTCCTATGACCTTACCAGAACCAGGTATAAGAATATTGTGAGCCTGGCAACTATGATTCTCTGTGCAAAACTCAATATCCAAAAGTCCATTGATTCCATATTCCTCCACTTCACAGAGGACTCTGCCTCTTGTTGTGAGTACCACACTGGCTGCCCCTGCTCTAGGAATATCATTGCGCCTGTCCAAAAGTAAATCTTTTCTGCAAAGTGTTAGTCTGTGTGTCTCAGGGCAGAGAGTGGGAATTAACCTGGGCTGCATGCAGTTATGTTTTTGTAATTATAAATATTTTGTGCACGTGACAAAATTTGCAAAGCTTGTTTTCAATGTAGCATACCACATGATGGTGAGGTCTTGCCATAGGAAATCTACAGCCCCCACCAAATGGCGACTACCAAAAGCTTCCTTTAATACCAAAAAGACCTGATAATTGCTAAATAACAAAATTACTTTAGGACTTTTTAAAAAGACTGCTTATGATGTGCCAGACACTCTCTTAAGTATATTGCCTATTTCCTCTTATTTAGTCTTTAAATCAAATCTATAATTTGTAGAGTTTTTACAAATTTTATTTTTATCATCTTCATTTTTCTGAAATCAGACAAGATCAGGTGTGTTCAGGGTGGTATGGCTGTAGACTCTTCCTCATTTTTCTGATGAGGAAACTGAGGCTTAGAGAGATTAGGTAACTTGTCCAAGATTTCCAAGCTGGTATTAGAGCTGAAATTCTTATTCAGATCTATTTGCTCCAAAATGTAAACATGGGCTTGTGTTTGCCAAAATGTAAGATGTGTAGCTTGGTGGTATACAATAATTATTTCAGGTGATACACAGACATAACCTTTAAAAATAATAATTCAGTAAAAAAGCAATTTCTTTTTATAATCTTTTACTTTTCTGATTGCCCAATTAAAAATGACTCACATTAGGCCAAGTGTGGTGACTCATGCCTGCAATCCCAGCACTTTAGGAGGCCGAGGTGGGCAGATTGTTTGAGCCCAGGAGTTCAAAACCAGCCTGGGCAACATAGTGAGCCTCTGTCTCAAAAAAGAAAAAAAAAAATGACTCACATTCAAGTGACTCTCTTTCATATTACTCTATTTTATCTTCTTTAAGGAATTTGTTCTAGCTCAAATTAACCTGCATATTTATTTGAATTAATTGCTTTTTAAAAATCTTCACTCACTAGGATCCCAAGGAGACTAGTATCTTGAGTATCCATGTACATAGTAAGAGCTCAACAAATATCAATTTTATGAATAGATGAATGTATTGTGTCAAAAAGAAAGTTCCAATTTGGTGCTAATGAATCATTAACATCTTTTTATTATTTGCTAATTTTTCCTTTTAATAGAGAGCAAGCAGGCTTGGGGTGAGAACATTTGACAGAAGTATGTAGATAGAGGCTGGTCACAGTGGCTCACACCTGTAATCCTAGCGCTTTGGGAGGTCAAGGCAGGTGGATTGCACGAGCTCAGGAGTTCTAGACCAGCCTGGGCAGCATTGTAAAACCCCATCTCTACAAAAAATACAAAAAAAAGTAGCCGAGTGTGATGGCCTGTGCCTCTAGTCCCAGCTACTTGATGGGGGGGGTGAGGTGGGAGGATCTCTTGAGCCCAGGAGGTCAAGGCTGCAGTGAGCTGAGATCACACCACTGCACTCCAGCCTGGGGGACAAAGTGGGACCCTTTCTCAAAAAAAAGAGAAGTACCTAGTTAGAAATTATACCTGTTCTTTATCACTAGCAATGCTGAATTTCTATTCAAGCTGCTTCCTTTTAAAATAAAGTTATGTAATTACAAAATATGAGTGTGTTAAAAGAAAAAAATTAAGTAAATAAGTGTACAGGCATTGGGAATGTATGGCAATGATTGTGAATGTTACATGTCATCATCAATGAAAATAGAATATTTTGTAGTAGAGAAATAAATAAAATGTGCTTTAAAGTGCACTTCAGTAATTCAGTTGAATATTAAATCTCTAGAGGAGCTCCAAAAGAGTTCTATATCATGATTTCTACTCTCAGTTCAAAAGGGAAGGCAACATGTATTGAATGATGCTATTCTAAATGATCAAGAATCCTATATAATGCAGAAGAAAATTTTTAAAAAGAGCGAAATCAATTTGGGCTTGAGTAGACAGGAAAAAATAGCTTTGTAGTTGTGGAATTCAGTTGTGTTCTAAAAACAGAATTTTACTACACACCCACCTACTGATTTAACCAATATCAATTGAAAATCCACAGTAAGGAAAATAATGTACCAGGCATTCTTGCGCAAAGTAACCTAAAAGAGCTTCCTCTTGCTCTGAAGACAATCACAATACAGTGGAGAATTGACTTACAGTGCTTATCTCCTATGTAAGTTCATATAAAGTAAACTGATTCAGAAAAAAAATGACCAATTGCACCTATGGAGGGATGATCAAATCAAGAATAACTTCCTACAGGTGATAGCTTTTGAGGTAAGTCTTTAAGGTTGAATAACAATATTTGCATAGTTGGGTGAAGGAAGGATAGATGACAAACTAAGCTGAATAAAAGTGGAGACAGGAGTCAACATGGTGTGTTAGAGAGATGAAAGGGAAGCTGGCTTGATAGGCTCAGATGGAAACTGACTTTATTTATGTGGACAAATCAGGGGCCCATCTACATTTGATGGGGCCCTCTTTAAGAGAAATATTATAAAATTATGAATGCAATATTAGGTATGAACAAGTTACTTAAAATGGGCAAACAAATCTCAGCAAATTTCAAATTTTATTTTATTATTATTTTTTGAGATGGAGTCTCGCTCTGTTGCCCAGGCTGGAGTGCAATGGCGTGATCTCGGCTGACTGCAACCTCCGCCTTCCAGATTCAAGTGATTCTCCTGTCTCAGCCTGCCGAGTAGCTGGGATTACAGGCGCCCACCACCACGCTTGGCTAATTTTTGTGTTTTTAGTAGAGACGGGGTTTTTCCATGTTGGTCAGGCTGGTCTCGAACTCCTGACCTCAAGCGACCCACCCACCTCGGCCTCCCAAAGTGCTGGGATTACAGGCATGAGCCACCAGCCGAATTTCAAATTTTAGAAGGCCAACAAACATTTTAAAATAACAAATATTTTAGAATTCTAGTAAAATAACAAATATTTTATTGCATCATGGCTTGAATACCTCTATATACTTTTCTTCATATAAGTTTTGCCTGATATTTATTGATTGCCTCTTTATAGGACAATAGTTTTGTAATTTAAATGTCTATGGAAAGAATTAAGAGATGATTCCTTTCCCCTGGAGTATGACAAAAAATCGTTTTTATCATTGTTGGTTTAAAAAAGGTTATTTTAGTTTCACAACTAATTATCAATAATGTATGACAGATTTGTCATTCAGAGAAAAAAAAGTCATGTAAATTTGTAGAATTGTCAAATTTGGTAAAACTTTCAAATTTCCTTTATATGTGAGCTGAAAGTTTTCTTGGCATTTCAAATTTTCTTGTACAATGACTAATCTTAGACACTCTTTTAACTGGTGACACTCATAACAAATTGTCATCAACATCCTCATTGTCATGGCAAATTGTGAGTTTATCTTTGCCAGTGTCAGATAGTTCATCAACTTCCTTTTAGCCAGATTGCAAAAAGTCCCATGACTCTATTTCCAACTCCAATGCCATCTGACATGAGACAAAATCAGAGTAGATTAAGATAGTGGTCTTAACTGAATGTAGTTAAAGTATGCTACTTGTGCAAATTTTTCAGAAATATATGACCATATGAACATGTTGCTGAGGCCTTGCCAGGCCTTGAAAGGGGCCTGTGCAAGTGAGGGGCACAGAGATTAAGTTTTATTAGCTTCTCAGAAATTCTACCTCTGAATAAGATTTTTGAGTACTTTGCATGCCAGGATGAGGAGAGTGAATCTAAGAGATGTATTGAATGAAGAAGTAAGATACATTGGATAAAGGATGTAAAGTAAAGAATATAGAGTGCTGGCCGGGCGCGGTGGCTCTTGCCTGTAATCCCAGCACTTTGGGAGGCCAAGGTGGGCGGATCACAAGGTCAGGAGATCGAGACCATCCTGGCTAACACGGTGAAACCCTGTCTCTACTAAAAATACAAAAAAATTAGCCGGGCGTGGTGGCGGGCACCTGTAGTCCCAGCTACTCGGGAGGCTGAGGCAGGAGAATGGTGTGAACCCGGGAGGCGGAGCTTGCAGTGAGGAGAGATTGCGCCATTGCACTCCAGCCTGGGCGACAGAGCAAGACTCCCTCTCAAAAAAAAAAAAAAAAAAAAAAAAAAGAATATAGAGTGCTAATGTGAATTTATAGGATGTAAATTCCAGGATAAATTTCTGTGCTAAGTGATATGCTAGTGGCTCGAGAGCAATTGTTCTTCTAGGGATGAACTTTGTGTTTCTCTACAATCTGCTCCTATAAATGAGAAGTATAGAGAAACCATAAAATGGTTCATAAAATCTTTGTTAAAGGCATATTTACATTTACTTAATCCTTCATGATAATTAGATGCCCATTATCATATTCAGATACTGTGTTCCAATATTTAGGTACCTGTGAATAGAATGATTACTACCTTATTTTGCAGCAAACTGACTGATACAGATTAATAGTATCATGTGGGACACTGCCAAGCCTATAGAAGCTAAGGAGTAATAAAGAATGGTTAAGGAAAATGTTCTAATATGCTAAATGGTAAAAAAAATACAGTTCATTTTAGAGTTTATCAGCTAAATTCACCTTGAAACTAAAATTTTATGGAAGAGTGAACTCTGGATAATGCTGCAGAATAAAAGCTTGGAGCCAGGTTTAACCGACGAGTAATTCTGGGGAAAAGAAATACACCAAAAAAAAATTTTTATCCCTAGTACATTAACCATTTCTATGGTACACCCTGGATGACTCTAGAGAATATCATTTACCTTCTGAAAGGTGAAGCAACAGGTAATACCGAGGAATTAGATAAAGCAACAAAAATAAGATGGCTTTTAGTTTGTTTTTCTGTTCTTTTGTTTTGCTTTAGACAGTAACTTATATTGAAGTTCAGCCAGTACAACCAAATTATTTTTTAGTGTTTATTAGTGTTCACTGAATAGAGGTAACTAATAATGGTCACTGTATCTGAGCATCTACAATTAGCCATTCTAACTTGTTCTCTGCCTTTCCAGTTTCTAGCAAAGCCTCCAAATTAGAGTTGCAAATTTACTCACATTATAGCTCACATGGAAAAAGAAAATGAAATGACTCTCAGAATGCAAGAGTCTTTAGAGAAATAGCAACAAAATGGAATGTATAGACAGTGTTGGACTCTTAGTTGGAACTAAATTAAATGTAAAATGTTTCGAGAAAATAAGATAAATTTAAATATGGACTGGGAATAATATGGAATTAGTGTTAATTTTGGGGGGGTGTGGAAATGGCATGGTATATATGTTAGTATAAAGTCTTTATCAATTAGATAATGCATACCAGAGTTTTTGTGAGTGAGATGACATGATATCTGGTATTATTTTAAAAATAATCCTGCATCCATACATACAGAGTTCAGACTTAAGAGATGAAACAAAATTAGTAAAATGTTGATAATCATTGAAACCGGGTAATGTGGACAGAAGAGTTTATCACACTATTCTCTGCTTTTGTGCAAGTTTGGAAAGACAGAGACTTAGTTTTTTCATCCTCATTGTTTCCCTTTACTCTTCGTTGTGGCCCCAGCACCTCATCCCTCCTTCTTCCTCAGTAGTATATTTAGAGGAGGACATGCTAATACAGGCTGGGAAAAAATCTGAAAGTTATCCATAGATACATTACATACAAGGGTTTACACATACTGCCACGGAGAAATCAGAAATATATTTAGGCAATATTACCTCTTAGATATAATTTTAGGTGATGAATTTTTAAAAATTGAGTTCATACTAATGAAGAACTTTGGTTGAATAAAATATTCTAGCAATAAATATCACATGTTGAGCATCTATTCTGAAGTAGGCACTGTAGTAATTCCTTTATTTAGATTATTCTCATTTAATACTCCCATTAGCTTTGTGAGGATTATATTATCTTTTTCATTTTATAAATAATAAATTGAAGTAATGTGTCCTGTTGCATGTAATTGCATGGCCCAAATTTTTCCTGTGGTAGGGTCTTTCCAGGTCATTTGTATAATAATTTGATTCTAATTTAAAAGCACGAAAGGGAAAAAAGTAAGTGCATATTTATTGCTTACGTCCATTGCATTAAGTAGGCAATGTGCTAAGCATTTCACAAATGTTACCTCATTTCACAATAAGCTTGTGAGGTAATTACCATCATTGTTATTTTTCTCAGTATTGTAGGTGAGAAACTGTCAGCCTCATCAAGTAACTTCTGCAAGATCACACAGCTGATGAATTTGTATTCTCCTACTCAAGATTGCCTGCCTCTGAAGCCTATGTTCTTAAAAAAAAAAAAACTATATGCATTATCTTGTAGATAAGTAGTAAATCTGTTAATTCTAGAAATATATATGGAACACTGACCACATGGCAAGCTCTGTGTTGGGTGCAGGAAAAGAAAGGTTTCATGAAGCGATTCCTACACTTAGAGAAGTTTATGATCTAGCTGAGGAGAGGGGAAGCATACACAATGACAAATAATATGAGAACATATGCTTTAGCCTAACAAATGTTAGAAGACTGAATTTGGGTCTTATTAAAATGCAAATAGCACTTAAAAAGATCTGCCACTTAAACCCTCATAGTATATTTTGAGTACTCAAAAATCAATATTTTTCTGGGATAAAAGTTTGACAAATTATGCATTTTATGTATTTTTATTTTTAGAATTTAATATTGTTGTTCCTGGGAGTTTGTGGTCAAAGCGCTTTGACATAAAAATGAATTATACCATTAGGAAACCTTACTTCAATAGATGAATACTGGGAAACACTTTCATACTAAATATCAAGGTTTATTCAATCCAATATCTTTAAAATATGAAAATACTGTGGTCAGAGAAAACCAATAGGGAAAAGTGTGGTTCTCTTCAGTCTTGAAATATGCACGCTTTCATCTTCAAGAGATAGATTACATATTCCATAAGCAAAAGTTCATATTGCAGATCATGTTTGGTGAATCGCCCACAACATTGGAAGGGAAACCGGAAAACTGTCTGATTAAGTGACATATCTTACCAGATTAGCAATCAGGAGAGAGGAGATTCAGTCCTGGTTCTACGACTATCAGAGTAATCTTGTACAATCTCTCTTGATGCCTACCCATCAATTTCCCCTTCTTAAACTAGCTGACCCCCAAGGTTTCTTACAGTTTTGGCATCCCAAGATTCTGTAGTTCTGTCTGTAGAATAAGATGCTTTATTCTTGTCTTTTGTATGTGCAGAGAAGGTATTAGTACCTATACTTGGGGTAGAACTTTCCTCATATACATTATCAGAGCTACCACATTTCTAGCCAAAATAAGAATGAAACTAGTCAGTGTGTGAAGAGTTGGTTGTGTTGAGAGATGGAGTCAGTAATATGATTTTGTAACTTTATGGGTGCTGGGAAATCTCTTGTCCAAAGATATACTCTGACCCCAAAATTAACACTGATGCCAAGGTTACAGTTTAATTCTTTTTTTTTTTTTTTTTTTTTTTTTTTTTGCTTATATTTGATCCCAAGTTAAAGGATGGATAGCTTTGAGAGAAGCAACATTTTAGGCTACATAAGACATAATATCTTAAAACTATTTATTTGGTAGCATGAGGATAGTAAAAAGTGGTAAGAGAAAGAGTAACAGAAGGCATCACCCTCAGTCTCACTCCAATACTATTTTTATTTCTCAGTTATAACTAGACGTGAAAGAATGTGATTTTTCTTCTTAGTTCAGTGGATGTATTTTTTTTCCCCTACAATGATATTTTCTTTGGCAACCAGTAGAACATCAGCATCTCTTGAGAAGGAGTGTGGGGACAATTCTGGAAGCACATTGTATTATCTTCTTCTACAACATGAAAAAGATTCAACCTCTTAGCTTATTATTAATATAGGAATATAGTACACCTCCATTGTAAAGAACCTCAATATTTCATACCTCACTACCCTGCAGATCAAATGCAGTCACAACTGCACACCTAGTTATGAGTTCTCTCCCTCTCTCTCTCTCCTTGTCTCTCTGTCTCCCCTCTACCCCCATATGGAATAGCTTTCACCTAAGTGCCATCTTTTTCTCTAGACACAGGCATTGTAACAGGCTTCATTCCATATCTCATTTATTTGACTGAGAACTATTTTATCAGTTCATTTTGTATTTTTATCTTATGTTTGTAACATGATTAAGCTGCTTTAAAAACAATTCATTTAAAATAGACTTTTTTGTAATTTTTTGAAATATATTTTAAAGTCTATGGCCGCTCACCTGAAGTTAATGAGTGTTATCATGGTGGCTCTGTGGCAGTTAGGCATATCACCTTAAATATTATTTCTTTTTCTCATCTCTAAAACAATGATAGCAGGTCTAACACAGCTTTCTTACTAATCATTTCATCATGTAAAACTGAAAATTATTCATGGAGGGGCCATGTATTCCCTCGTTATATGTACAGAACATTAAAATTCTAGCTGTCTTAAAACATGGGAGCTGTCATGGAGTTAGGGTAAAATTATGAGTGCTCTGGTTAAAAAGTGATACTTGAAAGGCAAATACAACATTTTAATAAGCTTAGGAAAGATGCCAAGGATTTAGTGCCTTTTGCAAAACATTGGCTACACCGATTCTGAAACATGCCAGGCGTATTTTCTCCTCAACAACCCTGGAAGTGCAATACAAGTACAGTACTTTGAAATGTGTTTGCAGGACTATGGGAAGCACACATATTAAATAGAATTCAATTGCTAAAATCTGTTTCTGCCCAGATTAATGAGTAGAAACAAAACATCTGCCAGTAACCTCTGTTTGGCTATATTACTTTAAACTTAACTGAAAAAAGGTATAGATGCCTTTCTTTTTATTTCACTACACATTTATAAGCCTTCTGGATGAAAGGGGACTTGAAAATTATTTCCAATTTTCTTTACAGTTATCCGTGGGGCTCTTTTAGTCTAGAATATTCTTTTAATTTAGCATATTGCTTTGAAACAGTTTTAACTGTCTTTATGATATTGCTGCCATGGAAATTAGATCAGCTCTAGGATTGGAACATTTTGACAAAAATCAGCCTCCTGTCATCCTTAAAACTAATATATGGCAAACGTTTTGTTCTTTAGAATGTTTTTAAAGGAAGAAATCAGATATTATTTTATATCTTAGGCTTTTCAACTAAAGAAATATGGGCTACTCTATTTATTCCTACAGGGTAGGTTATAGGTTTACCCAAACCAATATTTGGTTTCTTATTCTCCTTTTACCAAGGCTTGCCTCTTTTTCATGTCTTTTGATTATTCATATGTTACTAGTCTGCAAGTTGGCACAAATATTAACTAATAACCTTTCTAAGACGGAGGGTCTTCTCAGGTCACAGCAGAAGAAACACTAAGAAACAGAAGGCATATTTAGCTATCAGAGAAAGAAGGGAACATCAGAACTGTGACTTCTAAAATGGAGTCCTAAATTTGGGAAACAGGAGGGTTTCCTGTACCTATTGATGAGGTAACCAAAAGTACTCAGAATGCTTTTCCTTTACTGGTAGAGCAACGTAAGTGCACAAAAGAGTGTTTTAGAAGCTATTCCTCCTATGAGTGTCAGCTGAATGAAACTCAATATTTAACTGTTAATGAGTATCTATTACTGTCAGCCAAACATATTTATCACTGCCAAATGCTGTACAGCTTCATCAGCCTTCAGGAAAATTCTCCATCAGCCTCAGTTGATGTAGGGCTCATACCTAGGACACAGAGGGCTGATAATTTGTCATTTTGACTTGAAATGAATAAAGAAAAGCCATATTTAACTGGCACACAATTATGGGGTTTTGATTCTGGTTATTTGAAATTTCTAGATAGCTGAAGATTAGCAGAAAATGTCATTTTACTTATTTTTTAAATAAACTTTACTTTATAAACCAGTTTTAGGTACACAGCAAAATTTAACAGAAGGTATAGAGATTTCTCATATATATCCTGCCTGCACATATGCATAGCTTCCCCACCCATTTTATTTTTATACTTGAATAACACACTCTTCCCCTCTTTCCCATATCCCATAGAATGTGCCAGGCAAATTGCTTGCCTTTGTAGTTAAGCAAGGCTTTAAGGCTATCATCTTGATTGAAGATCCATTCTCATTATTCAGAACATTATGTGTAGAAGTGGTAGATTTAGGAAATTGAGGTGAATGTAGGCTGACCCCAGGTTGACTACTCTGGATTAATTTTTCTTTTTTGGCCTTTTAAAATTTAAACTCTGATTTCTTCTTTTCTGATAGAGTGCAGATAAAATACTCAGTAACTTGAAGATGCTGGTTAGTTGAGTTCTGGTTAACAAATGTATATTTTGATTTATAGACAAAGCTGAAACGAAGGCAGGATGATTGGGACTTAAGTCTCAGGACATTAAAATTGAAAAGAGGCAAAAGTTAATAATGCTCATTCTCAAAAGCTTAGCGACTAGTGTAAATAGAAATCTGTCAGAAAGTGGACTAGTAACATACCTCTGTGAACTATATTACGAATTTTAATTTAAATTCAATTAACTCAATTTTGCTGCATTTTCTTTAGTGAGGTTTACCTTCTGAATAAAATATTTGCCTTCCCCCACCAAAAAAAAAATCCTACTTTGACATCATACAAATGTATGTCAATTCTTACTTGTCTACAGGCCAATTTTTCTTTCAGTATCTTGTTATTAACATCAATTCTATCCACTTCAGTTTGTTATTGACATTGACTGTATGAGAGGTAACCGAGTTAATGGAACTAACTGCATTTAAACAATAAGATTTTTGTCTGTAAAAGTCTCTTAAAATTATACAATTTAGTTATTTTTAAATTAATAAACATGGTTGTGAAGTACTTTTCAGTTCATCTGAGACTTAGGCAGGTCTCACAGATGGAGAAAGAGTGCCAACTTTCTTTCTGTACAGGGATTGCCCTTTAATACCAATGCTTATCCCATCTTGGCACCAGAAAGTTCATGAGCATAGTTCAACAAAGGCTCAGAAAAGACAATGAATAGCAGATGTCCATTGTGAAATTTTTTAATATGGCATTAATCCATCTGGGAAAGTAAGGCCTTCCATAACCATGTTTATTAGGTTAAAAATACTCTTGCTAACTTCAAACACATAAGATGTTGTCTGGTAACTCTTAGGTGGAGAATGGTGATGATCAATGGGCAGCTTTTTGGATCAACATACCCACATTTACATTCTAGGTTTCTGATGCCCTTCAAAGGGAGACTATTTCTCAATAAAGAGCTCAAAAATAAACAAATGCAATACATTTGAACCACATTTCCCACCAGTAATACATACTTGTCCAGCAAATACAAGCTGGGCTGTGGTAAGGAGGTTTGGGTGGGTGAATGGTGGCAATTTTAGATGGATGGAGGAGATAACTATTAGCATAATTTTTTCTGCAGAGAAGACATCTAATGAGAACATCCAAGAGGAAATATTTCTGCTTCTGGATATAGGAAATCTTGGAGAAGGGCAAACCTGAAGGAAGTCATACATTCATGGTTATAATAGTACCTAATGGTTAAATAAAGAGAAACTTGTAGTCATTTGTTATATTTTTTACAGGAGAAGAAGATTTGCCTCCATGACTATTTTTGGATGAGGTTCTCATCTCCAAACTTTAATGTTTCAAAAATCCTTTTCTGCAAAGATGTGCAGATGGCATCAGGATAACCTTTGATATCTAAATCAGGTCAAAATGAAGGAGGAGAAAGAGAAAGAATTTCCAATTTTGGAATAGAGTGTTAGAGATGCAAAGCCTTATATAATGGTATTACTTGATTTGAGGCCTTAGAATTAAAGAAGGAAAAAATAATTTAAAAACTTTGAACAGTCTGTATGACAGAGAAAAACATTATGACAAGTCCCTTGTTCACAAAGTTTTGGTGAAAACCTAATATCAAAAATAAAGTCATTCTACATGATTATCTGTGTACAAAATCTCAAGGAACCTACCTAAAAAATCTCTTAGATACTGTGTTAGTTGTGAAATAAATTTACAAAAATTAAAAAAAATAACTCCTAGAATTAACAAGTGAATTTAGCATTGTCACAAAGTTATAACATAAAAATAAATCATATTTTTATATACCAGTAATGAACAAATCAAATTTTGCAATGGAAATAAAAATTAAAATTATAATATTATTTATAATAACTCAAACCGAAATATTTAGGTATACATCTAACAAATCATCTACATGATCTGAAAACGACAAAATAATGAAGAAAGTAATAAATGAAGACTTAAATAAATGGAGAGGCCTACTATGTTTTATGGAAAATTCAAAGTAGCAAAGATGTTAATTTTCCCCAAATTTATTATTTAATACGATCCCTATCAAAACCCCAGCAGGATTTTGTGTAGATATCTTTAAAATGCTGATTTTAAAACGTATATGGAAAAACAAAGAAGGTGGAATACCTAAAACAATTTTTAAAAAGAAGAATAAAGTGGGAAGAATCAATTACCTTATTTTAAGACTCAGTAATTAAGAAAGTGTGGCAAATGAATAGATCTGTATCAATGGAACAGAATACAGAGTCCAGTATACACCCAAATAAGTATGGTGAATTAATTTTTGACAAAGGTGCAAAAGCAATTCAAAGGAAGAAGGATAGATAGTCTTTTAACAATTAGATATTGACAGGTTAAAAAAGGAAAGGAAAAAAGAAAGTTTCAACTTAACTATCACAAGTTACATGAAAATTAACTCAACTGGATTACAGCTCTAAACGTTAAGTGTAAAACCATAAAAGTTTTAGAATAAAGAACAGGAGAAAACACTCATGATTTAGAATTAGGCATTAAGTTCCTAGACTTGACACCAAAGATATGATCTATAAAAGGAAAAATTGAAAATTGGATTTTGTCAAAATTAGAAACCTTTGCACTTGAAAAACCATGTTAAGAGAATTAAAACGTAAGCCACAGACTGGGAGGAAATATTTGTACATCACATTTCCAACAAAGGACTTACATACCAAACATTTAAAGAATACTTTAAAATCAACAGAAAATAAAATCCAGTTCAAAAATTGGCAAAAGACAGGACAAGACACCTACCAAAGAGGATATACAGATGGTAAATATGCACATGTAGGGGTGTTCAACTTGATTAGCCATTAGAGAAATTCAAATTAAAACCATGAAGTGAATCATACCATATACCTAAAAGATGGCTAAAATAAAAATTAATAGCAACATCAAAATCTGGCGAGGATTTGGAAAAAGCAGATCACTCACAGATTGCTGGTGGGAATTTAAAGTGGCATAGTCACTCTGGAAAACATTTTGGCAGTTCTGATAAAGGACCACATATATTTACCGTGTGACCCAGCAATCTCACTCCTAGCTATTTACCCAAGAGAATGGAGACATATGTTTGCATGACATCCTGTGTAGAAATGTTTGTAGTAGCATCATTTGTAATAGTCAAAAACTGTACATAATCCAAATGTCTTACAACTGATGAATGGATTACAATGGAATACTACTCAACAATAACATGGAACAAATTATTGATACAGATAACATGTATGGCTCTCAAGAGCATTATGCTGAATTTTAAAAAGCTATTTCCAAAGATTACCTTGTTATGATTCTATTTCCATAACATTCTTAAAATAATAAAATTACAGTGATAGATAACAGACGTGTTTACCAGGTGTTAGGGCTGCCTAAAGTGTGTGACTATAAAGGGATAGTATGAGGGAGTTTCTTTAGGGTGTTAAAACAGTTGTGCATCTTGATTGTGGTGCTGATTACCCAGATTTATGCATGTGATAATATTTTACATAATTATACACCAAAAATGAATGCATGTAAATATCGTTACAATCTGAATAAAATGTGTAGATTAATTGTTCTGCTACTATGTCAATTTCTTGGTTTGTTAATTGTACTGTGGTTTTGTTAGATGTCATTGGAGAAAGTCAAGTGAAACATACATGGGAAGTCTCTGCTATTCTTACAATTGCTAAGTTAATTTATAATTACTTCAATATAAAAAAAAAGAAGGAGTGAATGAGTAAAAGAATGTATGAGTAAAAGAAGGAATAAACAGCGGCCTGCAACACTACTGAATTGACTGGTGACAATGTGTTTAAAGAAAAGAAAAAAGAATAACAATAGAAAACATGCTTTTTTCTTTCCCTTTTCATACAAGGTATTTTATAGTCAATGCTTACTATTCTGGAATCATTAGGAATCCTGAAGCACTGAAGATATTAAATATTTTACAGATCATTTCTAATGTTGGCACAGGAATGCCACAGATGGGCTCAGAGATTAACAAAACACACAGGTCTTTGCAAGACACCCAGCAGCGGCATGGTCTATGAGCTATTTGTTTAATACAAGCTGCAACATTTGGAAAGCAGGAGTGGTCTCTTGAGACATGAAGAGAAAGGAACACTGTGAAATTTTACCTGATGCCTCAGAATTTGATATTTGTCTTCTGTTGCTATTTATTATAAAATAAATGTAATAAAACTAAAATTTTATTTTTTCTACTCCTTTTAAATAATGATCAAAGTAATATGTGATTAAGGGAAATATTTATTTAATGCTAAAAATTCCTTAAAAAATAGCATCGTGTATAGTTATTACAGTTAACATATCTTTCCCATCAGTGGTGACTCTGTTTTCTTGCCCAGCAGATTTACATTTGTCAGGAGGTTCTGTATTCTTTCAAAGTTTGTATGAAACCAGAGAAATAGGTATTGACAGTAAAGGCAAAAGGAGATGGTGGCTGGCAGTGGGCTGTGAGGGATGAAGGAATACCAATATGCTTCAGATGGGAATCACAGGTTAAAAACATAGCAATATAATTAAAAATATTCAGTACTATTAATGATTATTCTTTCAAACTAAAGGCTTAGTCACACACTGTTTACATTCATAAAGCAGTATTCTTTCTTTTCTCAAACACAGCAATGATGCTTTTGATAAAAAGTAGTGTGCAGCCAAGTTAATTAATTAAACAAACATTTATTGAATGGCTACTATGTTTCAGTTATTGTGATAATCATTGTATACAACCTAATTAAAAAAACCTACAGTGTCTCTGCTTTCATGAAGTTTATAGTACATCAGGAAAAGGAAACACTTAAAAATAATAACACAAAAAATTTCATTTGTTTTTTCATTTTTTTAATTTATTTAATTTTATTTTTTATTTTGAGATGGAGTCTCGCTCTCTCACCCAGGCTGGAGTACAACAGTGCAGTCTTGGCTCACTGCAACCTCCGCCTCCCAGGTTAAAGTGATTCTCCTGCCTCAGCCTCCTGAGTAGCTGGGATTACAGGCGCATGCCACCACACCTGGCTAATTTTTGTATTTTTAGTAGAGTCTGGGTTTCATCATCTTGGCCAGGCTGGTCTCGAACTGCTGACCTCGTGATCCGCCCACCTTGGCCTCCCAAAGTGCTGGGATTACAGGTGTGAGCCACCGCGCCCAGCCTGTTTTTGTTTTTGTTTTTAATAAAGATTACAAAAACTATAAAGACTTTGCCATAAAGAAAGGCAGGGTGCTATGAGGGTAAGTACCATGAGATATATAATACATGTGATGCCCTCTCTAAAGAAATAACATTTAATCTGAGATCCAAAATATGAAGATGAAGGCAGAGGGATCATTTCAAGCAAAGGAACTAGCACCTAAAGAAGCTTTAATATAGGAAAGAAGAACTTGGAGAATTCAAGGAAGTAAAAGGAATGTGTCTGGAGGGTAGTAAATAACGAAAACATTAAATAGAGACTGGTAAGATAGGCATCAGCCAGATCAGGCCTGGTCTTGTAGATCACAAAAAGGAGTGCAGATCCTATTTTTATTGCAATGGAAAGCCATCAAACAGCTTTAGGCAAAGGAATGACATGATCAAAGTTTTTAATGTTTTAAAAAGCTTGCTCAGGCTACTGCAGGTCAAGTGTGGAATTATGAAAAGGGTTTAGGAAGATATTCAATAATCTGTATTTGTTTTATTTTCCCACATCTTAATATTTTTGAAAAGCACTAGATTCATTCAAGAGCGTTGGTTTCTCATACTAACTTTATCTCTGATGAAGTATATAGCTGTGAGCAAGTCAATAAGAATACTCATATTTGCCTACTGCTTATATTTTTGCGAAGTATTTTATCTAAGTTTTATTTTGCCTCCCAACAACTCTAACAGGTACATAGAAAAGGGGTATCATTATTTGAAAAGGGGTATAAACAACTGTAAAAAGTCATGTATCTAGTTAGTGGCTGCTAGGGAACCAGGGTGTGTGTCTTTGGCGTCTTCTTCAGTTCTTTTCTCCCACTCCATCCTGCTGACTTCCATGCTAACTCTCTCTCAATTTCTCCATAGGTCTAATGAAAATAATCTCTCTTTTGTCTAATAATCACAGAAACTGAGTGGTTCTAATGAGATAAAGGACATGCAAAATGTTAAAAAAATATGAAGTATAGTCATGCATCTCTTAACGACAGGAATATATCCTGGGAAATGCATCCTTAGGCAATTGTATCATTGTGTAAACAACATAGAGGGCTGATATGGTTTGTCTCTGTGTCTCCACCCAAATCTCATGTCGAATTGTCATCCCCACGTGTTGGAGAAGGGGCCTGGTGGGAGGTGATTGGATCATGGGGGCAGATTTCCCCTTTGCTGTTCTCATGATAGCGAGTGAGTTCCCACAAGATCTGATGGTTTAAAAGCATATGGCACTTCCCCCTTTGTGCCCTGTCTCTCTTGCTGCCATGAGAAGAAGTTGCTTGCTTCTCCTTCGCCTTCCACTATGATTGTAAGTTGCCTGAAGCTTCCCAGTCATGCTTCCTGTTAAGCCTGTGGAACTTTGAGTCTATTAAACCTCTTTTCTTCATAAATTGCCCACTGTCAGGTAGTTCTTTATAGCAGTGTGACAATGAACTAATACAAGGGTACTTACACAAACCTAAATTATGTAACATAAGTAGGCTATATAGTAAAACCTATTGCTCCTAGGCTACAAACCTGTATAGCATGTTACTGCACTCAACATTGTAGGCAACTGTAACACAACGATAAGTATTTGTGTATCTAAATCTATATAAACATAGAAAATGTACAGTAAAAATATGGCATTATAAAACTATGGGATGACCATGGTATTTGCAGTTTGTTTTGACCAAATGTCATGATGTGGCTTATGACTGTACTATCCAAATACAGTATCTTGTAATTCTGAAAGCCAGGACTACTACAAATGCTAGTCAGAATTGTGGGAGATATATACTTTTATTCATAAAGAAACAGGAAAAACAAGGCAACCCCCAAAAGACAATACTCCTGTATATACTGTTAGGTAAGAAAGTTGCTCCAGAGCACTATTCACAATAGCCAAGATATAGAAGCAACCTAAATGTCCATCAACGGGTGAATGGATTCAGAAAATGTGTTATATAGACACAATAGAGTACTATTCAGCCATAAAAAGAAGGAAATCCTGTAATTTGAGACATGGATGAACGTGGAGGACATTATCCTAAATGAAATAAGCCAGGCACAGAAAGACAAATACTTCATGCTTTGACTTAGGTGTGGAATCTAAAAATTCAAACTCATAGAAGTAGATAATAGAATGGTGGTTACAGAGTTAGGGGGCATGGGAGTTATTTAAGAAGATATTGGTCAAAAGATGCAAAATTTCACTTAGGAGAAAAATGTTCAGGAGGTCTCTTGTACAACATGGTGACTGTAGTTAATAACAATGTACTTGATATGGTTTGGTTCTGTGTCCCCACCCAAATCTCATCTTGAATTGTAATCACCACATGTTGAAGGAGGGGCCTGTAACCCCCATGTGTTGAGGGAAGGAGGTGATTGGATCATGGGGGTGGTTTCCCCCATGCTGTTCTTGTGATAGTGAGTTCTCATGACATCTGATGGTTTTATAAGGGTTCTTCCTCTCCTGCCCCCAAGTAAGACATGCCTGCTTCCCCTTCTGCCGTGATTTTAAGTTTCCTGAGGCCTCCCTAGCCAGGCAGAACTGTGAGTCAGTTAAACCTCTTTTCTTTATAAATTACCCAGTCTTGGGTAGTACCTTTATAGCAGCGTGAAAACGGACTAATACAGTACTGTATACTTGAAAATTGCTAAGAGAGATTTTAAATATTCTCACCACAAAAAATGACAAATATGTGAGGTAATGGATATGCTAATTAGCTTAATTTAGCCATTCCTCTTATACATTTTGATAAATGTATACATACATGAAAACATCACGCTATATACCCTAAATGTGTACAATTTTTGTTATCAATTTAAAAACAAAGTTTAATTTTTAAAAAGCTGCTCTAGGATTCTAGCCCTGAATAAGATGGTTTTTGCATAAGAAGGCACTACTCATGCTTGTCAGTAACTCTACAGAAGGGCCTGAATCTTATCATTTTTAACTTCCCTGTATCTAATATAGGGCCTAGAGCATATTAGTCATGCCGGAAGTAACTGTTGACAGAGCAAAACTCTGCAAGATTCTTCTCCAGTCCCTATGGAGTGACTCAGTTTGGAAGTGACTCAGTTTGTTTGGCTGCATGGCATTCCTTATTTGCCTATAGCTGTATTTCTTAAGATGGGTTCTAATAATCATTGATTCCAAAAAAATGTTACTAGGTAGTCCAAGAAAATAGTTTCATATTCAATAAGTTTGGGAAATAATAAAGTCTGCATCACTAACTTAGAGCTTCATAAAATATTAAAAGTATCAATAATTCTTGTAGTAAAGAAACCTGCTCAATTTTTTTAAACTATCATTTTCCACAACTCTAGAACACTTTTTTTCCTTCTAATACTTACCAACACCTTATACTTTTTGTAATATGGCTGGGAAAATGGCTTATGCTTTTTATTCTTATTTAACCCTATGTAACCAGAAGAATTAAACCACCTCTTACTTTCATACCACATGCTTCCTCTCTTATTCAGGGATTATGGACTAGAAAGACCCCTGGTTAGGAATTACTGGCATCTGAAGTTTTCCTAGTTGAATTTTCCTAGCCAAAAGAGTGGATATTAAGAGGCATTTATGGCAATATTATGGCTCTTTCTTACATATAGCATGTCTGAAGGGGCAACGTCTGACAGGCATAGGAGAATGGTGAGTAATAAAAGAAAGGAACCAAGACTATCTTCTTTATCATGTTAAATATGCTTTTCACTAGAAAACAATCTGTCTTACAAATTATGGGGCAGTCATGCCTAGTATAGGTCATAAAAGACAGAAGGTGCCTCATAAATGATTGTTGATTCTCCTTTTCATTATGGGTTTAGAGTCATAGTCATTTTTCTGATAATTAATATTTGATCTTGGAAGGGAGGTATGTGTGTGTGTGTGCATGTGTGTGTGTGTCTGCGCACACAAATGCACATGTATTTCTGTGACCCAGGAATTCCAGTTTAGGGTATACTCCCCCCAAAATAAGTCCATATTTGTACTAAAAGATGTGAAAAGTTTCATGAAATATTATTTATAATGGTCAAAACTGGAAATAACACAAATGTCAAACAATATAATATTTAGATTAATTGCTGTAAATTCATACAAGAGAACAATGAAAAGAACAAACTAATACAACATGGAACAACACGAATGTATCTCATTTACAATAATGTTGAGTGAAAAAGGGCATACTATATTTATTTTATTTATATGAAGTTTAAAAACAACCAACACTGATATACAATGACAGAAGTCAAAATAGTGGTTACATCAGGGGACTATTGACTGGGAAGTAGTATGAGGGTTTTGAATATGTTCTACCTCTGGGTAGTAGTTACACCAATGAGGTCAGGGGTATCCACTAGAATGCACGGAAAAGGAATGACAACTTATAAGGAAACTGCCCAGAATTTCTGAGGGGTAACAAGTGCTTAAAAATGGTGTATAGTTGAACCAGGAGTACTAAGGAGCACTCTCAGGAGACAGACTCCAGAGAAAAGAGAGGGAGAATGGAGTAAAGGCAGAGGAGGAACCAGTGCTCTGTTTACATGCAGTATGGTGGCCATGATGACCTGATTTCTTTTTCTATATAGTAGAGACTTAAGTTGTATATTAGGTTGAATGAATTTTATGCTATAACACATGCTGAGAAGGCTAATATGGAATATCTACTGTTTGCTTCCCCATGGAGTTTCTTGATTTGGGGATTGTTTTGATAGTCTGTCATCATGCCCAGAACTCAAATAATATTCACCAGTTAATCACGATTTCTCAATCAGTACTGAAAATTCATGTTATTTAGCTAGAAGAAAAAGTGTTACAAGGATAATTCAGGAAGAATGAACAAGATGTGGGAAGGTGTAGAGGTTTGAAAAGGCATCATTCTTTTGGATAATTATAAATATTTCATTATGACTTGAATCAAAGAGGCATGTAAGAAACTGACGGGAGATGACAAGAAATGTAGCAATCACCAGATTATAAAGTGCTTGCAGTAACCAGCTCCCATCCCAGTGGCATTTAAAACACTTTCTGGAAGGACACTGATTAAGTCCATATGCAGTTTCTTGGCTTTACTAAGTGAGGTAGCACATAGACAACATATATTAGAATGAAACAGATCTCTAGGGAAAAATAGCTATAACATAACTTTATCAGAAGAGAAAAAAATTTCATCAAATTTGATTTATGGTGTTCATGTCAAGCATTGTTCTAATTACTTCATAAATATTGGTTCATTTAATCCTCATAGCAATTCTCTGAAATAGGTTCCAACATTATCCCTGTGTAACAAATCAGACAGTTGAGGCTCAGAGAAGGGACTTGATTTACCTAAGGTGGCACAGCTTGTAAGTAGTGGAACTAGGCTCTAACTCAAGCAGCCTGGTTCCAGAGTCTGTACACTTGACCATCATAATATGCTGCCTTTTCATTGTCCGATTGATTTAGAAACTATGATATGCATACACATATTAGAAAAAGCACTCATGAATGTGGATTTCACTAAAAGGGTAATGGGGTATTGGGAACCCACTAAGTAGAGTCTCCTGTAGAGTATATTTGTTGGATAATCACACATATAGACATGATTGGATGTTCAAGCAATTTAAATTCCACACTATTCGGATTTAAAATACAAGGACAGTAAAAGGTTCATCAGCTTGAAATTACTTTTTAAATGATGTCAATGCATTTCGAGTCAATTTGAGAGGATTAAGGGATAATATGGATTTGCAAAATACTTTCAAATGCCAAGGAACTGTGAGGGCACTTGTAGGATTACACAGTATATTTAACAGATTTAAGTGTAGCTCTGAGTTTTAAATTCTTTGCTTTCACTTTTGAAACTAACTTTAAAGACTGAAATGGCGGCTATACTAGGCACCAAAGCATAGGTTACAAGTCTGAACACTTACGGGTCTGAAGTAGTGATATTTTGAGCTATTTGTTACTGTTTACTGATTTGGGGTGTTTCCTTACGGTATCACAGGAAAGAAAGAGGACTGGAAGCCTGGAAACTCGGCAGAGCTCTGCTGCCCCAACCTCATTTCAAACAGAATGGCCATGTTGCTATGTCTTTTAGAGAGTAAGCGTTTGCATAGTCTAAACAATGGATTTCATGGCTTTAAAAGCTTTTAAACAACACTGAACATTATTTAATTGTTTTCATTCATTTCATTTAGTCAAGATTCACTAAGGTTATACATTCACAACCATTACGATGGCTATTGTAAAAAACAAGTGAAATAAATTTTGGTGGAGATGTAGAGAAATAGAAAAACTTGTGCATTGTTGGTGGGAATGTAAAATTGTGCTGCCTTTATGGAGAATGGTATGAAAATTCCTCAGAAAATTAAACATAGAAATACCATCCGATCCAGCAATTTCACTTCTGGGTATTTACCCAAAAGAAGTAAAAACAGGGACTAAACCAGGTATTTGTTCGACCATGTTCGTAGCAGCATGATTCATAGCATCCAAAAGGCAGAAGCAATCCAAGTGTCTATCAATAAATTAATACAATAAAAAATTGTATATACAGACAAAGGAATATTTTTATCCTTAAAAAGGAAGTGAATTCTAACACAGGTGAAAATGTGGATGATCCTTGAGGACATTAGGCTAAGTGAAATAAGCCAGTAACAAAAGGAAAGATATTATATGATTCCACTTATATATGATACCTGGAGTAGTCAAATTCAGAAATAGATAGTAGATTGGTGGTTGCCAGGAGCTGAGGAGAGGCGAATGGGAAGTTGTTTAATGGGAAGGAAGTTTCAGTTTGGAAAGGTAAAAAGAGTTCTGGACATGAATGATGGTGATGGTTGCACAACAATGTACTTAACACTACTGAAATGTACGCCTAAAAATGGTTAAGATGGTAAATTTTACGTATATTTTACTACAATGAAAAATTTGTTTAGGCCAGGCAGGGTGGCTCATTCCTGTAATCCCAGCACTTTGAAAGGCCAAGTCGGGAGGATTGCTTGAGTCCAGGAGTTCAAGACCAGCTGGGCCAATATAGTGAGACCTCTTGTCTACAAAAAAATTTAAAAATTAGCCAAGCATGGTGGTGCGTGCCTGTAGTCCCAATTACTCCAGAGGCTGAGGTGGAAGGAGGATCGCTTGAGCTTGGAAGATGGAAGTTTCAGTGAGCCGTGATCGTGCCACTGCATTCCAGCCTGCACTACAGAGTAAGACCCTGTCTCAAAAAAAGCTTAATAAAAACCCAGCATGGTATGATTTAAACTTGCAGATTAAAGATGAAGAGTTTTACCAAAGACTAGTAAGTAAGACATTTGCTACTATTCATGAAAGACACTGCAGTGTACGTGATTTTTTTTAACATTTATTTTATTTTATTTTATTTTTTTAGAGACCGGGTCTCTGTTGCCCAGGCTGGAGTGCAGTGGCATGATCATAGCTCATTGCAGCCTCCAACTCCTAGGTTCCAACAGCCCTCTTGCCTCAGCCTCCCGAGTAACTGGATCTACAGGTGCTCACCATGAGGCCCAGCTAATTGTTTCATTCTTTTGTAGAGATGGGATCTCACCATGTTGCCCAAGCTGATCTTGAATTCCTGGGGTCAAGCTATCCTCCTGCCCTTGCTTCCCAAAGTGCTGGGATTACAGGCATAAGCCCCTAAAGGATATTTTTTAGAAAGTGCTTGCTCTGGATTAAGAATTTTGCAGTTTGCTTAATAAACAAAATATTAGTAAACATTAAGGAAATTAGAAGAAAAGCTCACTAAAGTTATATATCTATATAGCAAACCGATTCGACCAATCTAAAATAATTGGTCCTTAATTACTCTTTAGGCAGTTAGCACTAAATTATTAATGGATCATGTGGCTGACTACACCGTTCTAACACGCCAATTAGTTTATACAAAATAGTTAAACTAGCAGGCAGCTATGCTTAGATGTAGCTTAAATGATTCCTGATACGCTAAAACTGTTCTTGCTTTACTCTGCCTTCAGCAGGTTAAATCTTTTAGGCTTGTATTGTTCAAACCTAAGGGACTGTTTCAGACCCCAAGACTGACTATTACTGAAACATTATTTCATTAAGAACATTACAAAGAGATGGCTTCAAGCTGTTGATATTATCAGCCCAATTTGGAAAGGTTTAGACTTGGAAATCAAAATATTATGAGTCATCCAATGTTACACTGCAAGCTGTTTGCAAATCTGGAAATAAAAAACAGACCTTTTAAAGATTAGAATTATTTTTCCAATGGTTGAATGAGACCCATGTTACATTCTACCAACTAGAGCAACTTAGATTGTGAATTGCATTACATTTCTGAAATAAAAAATAGACTCTGAGAAATGAATTTTCTTAATGACATTTTAATGAAATATCGAGGAAGGTTAGGATGTACCAAACCTTGTCCTACTTGTATAAGTTCTCTCCTGCTTTCTGAAAGCCAACTATAATTGAGGTGGAAAGGTCTGTTAGAACTCTTTCATTTCCATACTATAAAAGAGCTTTAGCAGAAAATTTCCAATCCAGAAAGGAGTTATTAAACCTGAATTAAGATTCAATTACTCCTTGGTAGGTACTACAAGTAGGGGTCTCCATAGCAAAGCCTTTTTTTCTTTGTAGCCAAACAACTATGTATATTTTGTGAGTTAAATTTTGAAATTGGTTTTATTCCTAATGACTTTCAATTATTTTAAAATATTTAATTTGAATTTTAAAACTATATTCCATTTTGTCTCCACATGTATTAACTTTCCCATTTCACTTGGAAACGGAAGGACAAGGTGATTGAGTAAAATAGAAAAATACTATATTTTCCCACTTTTGCTTTGGGTATATTATGGGAGGTAAGGGCTATGATTTGGAGACCAAATACCTAAATCAACCATAAATTTTCAGCTGCCCTCTTGATAAAGAGGTTTTTGATTCTGCTGCTGTTCTTTTATTGTTCTTTAAATTAAATGTATTTTAAAATTAACATTCTCGTGATTCAAAATTCAAAGTGGGCCAGGTGTGGTGGCTCATGCCTGTAATCGTAACCCTTTATGGGGCCAAGGAGGGAGGATTGCCTGAGGCCAGGAGTTCAAGACCATCCTGGACAACAAAGTGAGACCCCCGCCTCTACAAAAGGCAAAAAAAAAAAAAAAAATTAACAGCGTGGTGGTTTGTGTCTGCAGTACCAGCTACACAAGAGGCTGAGGTGGGAGGGATTGTTTGATCCTCAGAGGCAGAAGTTGCAGTAAGAAAAAAAAAAAATCAAAATGTACAAAAGGGTAAAAAATAAAAAAAAAGGTCTTACTTCTGTCCCCTAAGCACTTAGCTCCATTTCATAGAACCTATTATAAGGTTCCCATTTTACTTCCAGAAAAATTGTATGTATATATATGTGTACGCATATACAAACACACATACAAGTTACAAGTAAATATAATTATCTTTTGTTTTCACTTTTAAAGCACTGCTCGAGTACTATACATTCATTTATTCACCTCACTTTTTGGTACTTTACAATATATCTTGAAGATTGTCCCATGTATATATTTATTTATATATTAATAATGTATTGCTTTTGTTTCTTTGATCGTTTGAGCTACATAGCATTCCACTTTATGACTGTATCATAATTCATTTTAACCCATTCCCTATAGACAGCATTTAGGTTGTTCAGATTTCTTGTCATTACAAACAATTTTCAGTAAACAATTTGTGCATATATCATTTTTCCTATATGCAAATGTATCCGCAAGATAAATTCCAAGGATAGAAATGCTGTGAAATTGTTGACCCTCCAATACTAATGATAGATTTTTTTTATGCCTTCTTGAGTAGATTTTGGTACATTACATTTTTCTAAAATATTATGCATTTCATTGTAATAAATTTGTTTGGATAAACTTGAATAAAGGAGTCTTACTATTCTTTTAGATGTCTCCATCTATGGTTATTTTAATATTCTTCCCTTTAAGAAACACCCTCATGTTTTATTTTGATTAGAGTAGCTTAAGCATTTATGGCTTTTATGGTTTTATTTAAAGGATCAACTATTTTAATAAAATTCATTAATATTTATCATTTTAATTTCAGACTTCTGATTTCCTTTGGCTTATTTTCTGTTTGTTTTTTTTCCCCCTAACTTTTTAAGCTTGATGATCATATATTTAAATTTGCTTGCTAGTATAAGTATGTAAGTCTGTGAAATATAAGTATGTAAGTCTGCTGTAGAAGCATCACAGGGTTCTAATAAGTAGTGTTTTAGCTCTCATTATTTGTTAGGTATTCTACAATTTAAGGTTTTATTTTCTCTCGGATTTGTTTGACAGAAAGCATCTAAAACACATTTTTTGTTTGTTTCTGGTTTTGTCATTAACTTTTACTTTAATTGAGTTATGATTAATGAATACTATTCACATTGTTTTACTTTTCTTATATTTTGAAAAACAATTTTTCTTCTAGCAAAATATACAGTCACGTTTCGGGGAAAATGTTTCAAATGTTTCTTAATAGAAAATGAATTCTGTATTCAAGGTATAGGATATGATACATATCCAATAACTTCACCTTCCTAATTGTGTTATCTGTCCACTTGGCCTAACACAAAATGAGTGCATGAATAAAACTACTGCCAATAATCATTTCTGTCTACTTTAAAAATTTATACGTTATTGTTTTGACTCTATAATAATGTTGAGCCATGTTATTTGGTGCAACATTTAAAACTGTAAAGTGTTAGTTGTAACATTTATAATAGTTACAACTTCATTGTGAATTTTAATGTTTAGCATTATACAATAGTACTTTTTTGTTCTTTCATTTAGAGCTTTTACATCATATTCATCCTTGTCTGATATTAAGGTTATGATATCTGCTATTCTTTGCACATTCTTTTGTTTTCGTATTCAGTCTTTCTAAATCACTTCGTTGTAGGTATCTTTTTTCCACAGCAATTATTTTGTGATCCATTTAACCTTTTTTTAGTGAGTGTGTTGAGTTCAGTTACTTTCGTCAAAATTTTATGTTATGTTTTCTCTTTGTATGCCTTTAAAAAAATATTTATTAACTGAATTATTTCTTTGCTTTTTCTGTGTTTCTTCAGATATTTAGAAAAGTTTGCTTTTATAGATTAATATGTAATAATATTTTATTCACTTACCATGAATATTTTAATTATAATTCTCCATTTTTATATTATTTTTATGAACATATTAATTAGGGTTGGTCAGTAAAGCAGAAGCCATTCTAGGAATTTTTTAAAATTTATTTTAATTTTAATTTTATTTTTTATTGACATAATATTTGTACATATTTATTGGGTACATTAAATATTTTTAAGTGCATAGGATGTATAATAATCAAATCAGGTTATTTTGTGTATCCATCTCCTTGACTACTTATTTCTATATGTTGGGAGCATATCAAGTCCTGTCTTCTAGCCATTTTGAAATATACACTACATTGTTGCTAATTATAGTCACGCTACTGAGCTATTTAACTCTAGAACTTATTTTTTCTATCTAACTGTATGTTTTTACCCATTAACCAACCTCTCTTTATTCTCCTGGAACCCTCACTCACACATACTTCCCAGCCTCTGATATCTATCATTCTACTCTCATCTCCATGAGATTTACTTCTATAGCTTCTATATATGAGTGAGAAGATGTGATGTTTGTCTTCCTGTGCCTGGCTTACTTCACTTCATATAATGACCTTCAGTTCCATCCATGTTGCTGCAAATGACATTATTTCATTTTTTATGGCTGAATAGTACTCCATCATGTGCATATACCAGATGTTCTTTATCCATTCATCCATTGATGTACACTTAGGTTGATTTTATATCTTGGTTATTGCGAATAGTGCCACAATAAACATGGATGTATAGGTATCCCTTTGATATACTGATTTCCTTTGCTTTGGATAAATAACTAGTAGTGGAATTACTGGATTGTATCATAATTCTATGTTTAATTTTTTTTAAAGAAAATCTCCATACTGTTTTCCACAGTGGCTGTACTTATTTACATTCCCACCAACAGTGTACCAGAGTTGCCTTTTCTCTGCATCTTTGGCAGTATCTGTTATTTTTTTCTTTTTAATAATAGCCATTCTAACTGGGGTAAGATGATAAATCATTATAGTTTTGATTTGCATTTCTCTAACCATTAGTGATGTTGAACATTAAAAAAAATGCCTGTTGGCCATTTATATGTCTTCTTTTGAAAAATGTCTATTCATGTCTCTTGCCCACTTTTAAATTGGATTATTTACTACTGAGTTGAGTTTCTTGTATAGTCTGGATATTAGTCCTTTTATGGATGAATAGTTTGCAAATATTTTCTCCCATTCAAGAGGTTATTTCTTCACTCTGTTGATTGTTTCCTTTGCTGTGCGGAAGCTTTTTAGCTTTTGCCCCATTTGTCTATTTTTTATTTGCCTGTGCTTTTGAGGTCTTAGCCATAAATTCTTTGCCTAAATCAATGCCCTGAATGTTTTGCTTGTTTTCTTCTAGCAACTGTAGAGCTTTAGGTCTTAGATTTAAGACCTTAATCCATCTTGAGTTTATTTTTTTAATATGGTGAGAGACAGGGGTCCAATTTCATTCTTCTGCATACAGATATCTAGTTTTCCCAGCACCATTTATTGAAGAGGGTGTATTTTCCCCAGTGTATGTTCTTGGCACTTTTATCAAAAAAGAGTTGGTGATCCCCAGGCCCCCAAGATGATGTGCTTGGGCACTGCAGGGGTGAGGCAAACTTGAGCTGGTGGAGCTTGTCCTCAGACCCCCTGTTGATGTGTGCAAATGTTGGCTGTGGTAGGCAGGGGTGGGGTGATCACCAGGTCCCCAGTGAAATGCTCAGGTGGAGGCAGCAGCAGCTGCACTATGGCCCTGCTCCTTGGGAGTGTGGTGTTGCTTTCAGTGGCAGCAGCCACAGGCAGGTGGCTGGAAAGCGTGTACTTTGGCTCTAGGTGGCGCTGTGGGTGAGTAGCCTGACCTCAGGGCGCCTGTAAATGCACAGCAGCCCCATTGCTGGGGGCAAAGAGATAACTGCCAATGGCTTGCACTTCAGCCTAGGCTGCAGCAGTTGGCAGCGGCCGTGGCTGTGGCTGAGGGATGTCAGTGGGGCTCCAGGGATGTGGAGACACAGGGATTGTTGAACCCCAAGGCTGGATGCAGCCTGGTGAGGCTGGACTCTTAAAATGGTGCTGTGCTGTAACTGCTGAGGACTCACGGGGTGTGTGAGATCCAGCATGAGCTCCCCTCTCTGGAGCAATGCCATCTCATAGTCTCCAGGCAGCTTCCTGTGTTAGTCTCAGGGCCTGGGACGGTCAAGCGGCTCTCCTATGCCTAGGATTGCAGGAGTCTACCGTGGGAATGTGAACCACTGGGGGTCTCTCTCAGTTACCCTTTGCCCTGCATTGGGAAACCTCTCCAGGCTCTCAGCTGATTCTGGCTGTGCAAGTTGCTTCGCTTCCCTCTCCTTCCTTGTCTTAGATGTTTCCTGTCATTTATCTGTTGTATTCCAATGTTCTGTCTTCATGATCTATTCAAAGTGTGATTATCTACTCACTATTTTGGTTCCTCTTTGTGGAGGAGGCAAGTACCTGATGCCTCTAGTCAGCCATTTTGAAGCCCCTCTTCTCCCAGAAGTCCTTTCTAGGAATCCGGTAGGAAAGAATTTAATACAAGGATTTAGAGGTTCACAAGCCTTTGTCAGAGCTGTGGAAATGAAGTTCAGGGAAGCTTCTGCTGCAGTTTATAAAATCAAGAAGTGGCAGGATTATAGGAAAGTCCATATGACCATCTCACTTGCCTGAAGTACTGAAAAAAGTGATTCATAGGAATTTATCCTATGAACCTAAAATAAACATGAATCTCAAAGAAAGCCACCATCACTAATCTCAGCTGCTAATAGTTTTAAGAGTGAAAGTTACCTCAAGCCACTGCAAAACTTTTATCTATTATCTGTTCATGCAGCTGCTCAACAATTGTCATCCGTTGTTCAGAGTTGCCAACTGGCTCTTTTGTTTTATCTTCATGATCTCACACAAGTGCCTGTTTTTTGAAAGACTTTAATTTGGAATCACACAAGGAAAGGGTTTCTGGGAAATGTAGTTTCAGATTTCTTCTATTCAATGAGGAGGAAACTGTAGGAGAGGATGGCAGTAATAATAAGCAGACAGAACAATAAAAATAAAACTACAAAATTATATTAAAATCCTTCTTTGTTGGAGCACCACAGTGGTTTTATTTTTCACTGACCAGCCCTGATGGATATACTTTTGATAGGGAGACAATATTATTATTATTAAATTAGCATCATAAACAATATAATAAACTGATAAGTCAGCTTATGTGCTTTGCATATAGATATTTAATCCTCATAACAACTCTATAAAAGTGAGTGGAAATATTACACTAAATGTTTATGCTGGAGACCCAAGGCAGAAAAGGTTAAGCAAATTGCTCAAGGTTTTGCAGCTAGATAACTAGTGGAGTCAGGATTTAAACACAGGTAGTCTGACTCCAGAATCTTTGATCTTAAACACTGTACTTTTGTATCTATTGTATCTCCCTTTCCTTCCTTCATCTTGCCTTTTATCCATCATCTAATTACAACTAATTATGTCATCGTTCTTAGTGTTTGACTTCATACTGCTAAATAATAGTATGCCTCTATTACTTTATATATTAACTTTAATGTTATTTTTGCCCTGAATATTAAAAATAAAGGAAAAAGTACACAAAGATGAATCCCCACCTCTTCACTTCCTATCAAATTTCATTCCCAAAAATTATTACCTTTACATCCCATTCTGGTACCATAACCCCCACAGTTGTTTTAATTTTAGTCCCATGGGGTCAATACTGAAGAGTCATTTTGATAAATTTTTCCCAGTTATTTCTTCATTGATTAAATTATTGGAACTGTCTTTATTTCCTTGAAGATTTTATGAAGATTTTCTTCTAGAATTGGCTGTGGTTGTGGAGTAATATGAAGCCAGTCTAATTATTTTCTCCATACCAATTACTTGATATTTCTGACTGAATATCCAAAGGGCTCTTCATCTTTGAGATTCAAGTATTTACTATGATATACCTCAGTGTTCACCATTCAGGGTCAATTTTCCAGGAGATGTAGTGTATACTTTCAATATGTGGATTCTAGTTTTAGCTTTATTTCTGGAAAGGCTTTTTTTTTTGTTTATACCATAACTTGTTCCTTCTCTTTTCTTACTTAAAAAAATCCTATTGAGAAATTTCAACTGGATATACATTGGAATTTTTCTTTCTTCTATGTCATTTACTCTTTGATTCTCATAGCACTGTTTTCAGTTAAATTCTGCTTATTGGGCCAACCATGGTGGCTCATGCCTGTAATCCCAGCATTTTGGGTGGCCAAGGCAGGAGGATCGCTTGAGCCCAGGAGTTCAAGACCAGCCTCAGCAACATAGTGAGACCCTGTCTCTACAAAAAATATAAGAAAAATTAGCTAGGTGTGGTGGTGCATACCTGCAGTCCCAGTTATTTGGCAGGCTGAAGTGGGAGAATCACTTGAGCCCAGGAGTTCACAGCTGCAGTGAGTTATAATCATGCCACTGCACTCCAGCCTGGGCAACAGAGAGAGAGATCCTGTCTCAGAATAAAAACAATAACAACAAAACAAAACAAAAGCAAACAAAAACAAACAAAAAAACTGCATATTTTTTCTTACTGTATTTGTAACTCACTAAGTTTATCGTAATATCTATTTTTCCTTGTGCTAGTTCTAATTTTGCCTTCATTTCTGTGTTGTGTTTTCTTTGATTTTTTTCTGAAATGTTCAAGCTTGTCATATCTCCATCTGTTGTCTCTTAAGATATTATGATAGCTCTTGCATCTCTATGCTCTTCTAGAGAGGATATTGCTTTGATGATTAAAAAAATTATGGTAAAATATTTTGCCATAGTTTTCATCTCTAATATTGCAACATTGTTCTGGTAAATTTAGAAAAAATTGCCACGTGGTTTTTCTGTCTCTATTTCCCATATTTCTGGAAGTATAATTGTATAGATCCTGTTTCTGTGATTTTTTTTTGTTCTTATCTTTGAATCAGATGAATTTTTTTTCAGGCATGCTATTTGTAGAAAGTTATTGTCTTAGAGAGGACTGGACTCTATTCTAAGGTACAGGTACCTTTATTTGTGCCTGAGGATTTTCTTTTGTGATTGTTCTTTTAACTTTTATTTTTTCCGAGTTGAAGGAAATAGACAGCTGTAGATGGTTCACAATACCAATCACAATGCGATAAATACAAGTTGCTTCCTGGAAATACGAATCGTCTGTGGGATTCCATGTTCACTATTACCTCTTTTGTTTCTAAGAAGAAAACCAGAGCTGCAGAAACTCACACTGTCAGTGCATGCATACTTTTCCTGCTGTTGAAACTGAGAAGCTGTCATTTCACACATCAACATGCTCACCTTACATTATGAAATTGAAATTTTCTGGCTCTTTGTGAGATTTGCTGTCATATGTTTCTCCTTTCAGTTTCTTTTTGCATCCATGCTTGATTTTAAAAGAAAACATAGTGGCATTTTCCTAGTTTTTGATCTATAATTTTACTGTTATCAGGTAAATTGTTCTATAGTATTTTGACCATTTTATATTTATTGGGACTTGTGTAATGATGCTGCAAATGGCCTATGTTGGTGAACATACCATATTCATTTTATGGAAGGTGTATTCTGCAGTTAGCACAGTATTCTGACAACATCATTTAGGTCAGGATAGTTAGCACAGTTATTCGGATTCTTTATGTCTTTACTGAATTTTTATTTAAACTGTTCTGTCAATTGAGAAAACTGTGTTAAAAAACTCTTACTATGACTGTGGAAATGTCTATTTTTCTCTTTAGTTCTGACAATAATATATATGTGTGTACATTAAAGCTCTCTTGTTAGTATATACACACTAAAATTTGTTGTGACTTTCTGGAGAACTGAATCTTTTTCGTTTTGAAATGTCCCCGTGTCTCTAGTAATGATTTTGGTATTTAAGCCTATTTTATCTGACATCAATATAATTACTCAGCCTTCTTATGCTCAGTGTTTGTATGGTATATCTTTTTCTATCTATTTACTCCCAACCTATCTCTGTCTTTATACTTAAAACACAATATTTATGGACAACACACAGTTAATTCTTGCTCTTTTATTTGTTCTGATAACATTTGACTCTTAATTGAAGTATTTAGGCCATTTACAGATAGTAACATCATTTAAATGGTTTGATTCAGGCCTAATATTTTATTATTTGTTTTAGGTTGGTTTCTTGTGTTTTTTTTATTCATATGTTCCCCCTTTCCTGCTATTTTTTGAATTAGTTAATAATTTTTAGAATTCCATTTTCATTTGTCAATTGGCTTTTAAGCTACGCTTCTTTGGATTGGATGGTTTTTATTAATCTAAGTGAAAGTTCACTGATTCTTTCCTTTGTCATCTCCACTGTAAAATTAAGCCCATTCAGCAAAATTTTAATTTTAGGTAGTGCATTTTTTAGTTTTAAAAGTTGCATTTGCTTCATTTATATTGTAAGTATATCTCTTCTATAATTTTCCATTTTTTCATTCATCTACAATGTATTTTTTTAAACCACACTAAACATAGTTATATACAAATGGTTTAAAGTCCTTACTGGGGGAACCAGCCCCCAGTATTTCAACGTAGGTTCTTTTCTATTTTCTCTAAGTGTCAGCTGGTCTGAGAAATAAAGAGAAAGAGTACAAAAGAAAGAAATTTTACAGCTGGGTCTCCGGGGGTGACATCACATGTTGGCAGATTCCGTGATGCCCTAAGCTGCAAAATCAGCAAGTTTTTATTAGCGATTTTCAAAGGGGAGGGAGTGTACGAATAGGGTGTGGGTCACAGAGATCACATGCTTCAAAGGCAATAAAATATCACAAGGCAAATGGGGGCAGAGCAAGATCACAAGGCCAGGGTGAAATTAGAATTACTAATGAGGTTCCATGTCCCGTTGTGCACGCATTGTCATTGATAAACATCTTAACAGGAAACAGGGTTCAGGAGCAGAGAACCGGTCTGACTAGAATTCGCCAGGCTGGAATTTCCTAATCCTAGCAAGCCTGGGGGCACTGCAGGAGACCAGGGTATATTTTATCCCTTATCTTCAACTGCATAAGACAGACACTCCCAGAGCAGCCACTTCAGAGGCCTCCCCCTTGGGAATACATTCTTTTCCCAGGGCTGTTCCTTGCTGAGAAAAAGAATTCAGTGATATTTCTCCTATTCGCTTTCTGAAAGAAGAGAAATATGACTCTGTTCTGCCCAGCCTCACAGGCAGTCAGACTTCATGGTTATCTCCCTTGTTCCCTGAAAATCACTGTTATCCTGTTCTTTTAGGATGCCCAGATTTCATATTGTTCAAACACACACATCTTTTACAAACAATTTGTACAGATAATGCAGTCATCACAGGGTCCTGAGGTGACATACATCCTCCGCTTATGAAGATGACAGGATTAAGACATTAAAGTAAAGACAGGCATAGGAAATTATAAGAGTATTGATTGGGGAAGTGATAAATGTCCATGAAATCTTCACAATTTATGTTCAAAGACTGCAGTAAAGACAGGCGTAAGAAATTATTAAAGTATTAATCTGGGGAACTAATAAATGTCCATGAAATCTTCACAATTTATGTTCTTCTGCCATGGTTTCAGCTGGTCCCTCCGTTCAGGGTCCCTGACTTCCTGCAACAAGTCCTAACCTGATAATTCCAACATCCAGGTTATCTCAGGATTGGCATCTGCTGGTTGTGTTTTCTTTGAGATGGGGTTGCATTGTCCTAGCTTTTATTTTGAATATTATGTTTTGAAGATTCTGGATTTTGTTATATTATTCCTATGACTGTTGATGTTTTTGTTTTAGCAGGCAAAATGTGGTTAGATTCAGGCTGAAAACTGTCATACCAGTTGTAAGCAATAGCCCAGAACTAAGTTCAGTTTCTTAGGCCTTAGCTACAAGCTGATTTCAGCTTTCCCCAGGCATGTAGGATTCAGATGTAAACCAGAGACTCAGGCTGATTTTAGACACAGAATATTGGGGTTTCTTTTCTTTCCTAGATTACCCTGTCATTCTTTGTCAATCTTTATTCCACAGGTTCCTTCACCTGAATATTTTAGCCCCCCAAATATGGCTTTTGTCCCATAGCACCAACCAGAACAATTCTGGCTGCTCTCAGTGTAAAGTTGCAAAAAAATGCAATTCCATTGGAACACTTGGTACAAGTTTCTACTCCCCAGGAATATCTACCTACATTTGTCCAGGCTGAAAAACACTCAAGTAGTTTTTTCAATATACTTTTTATAGAATGCATAGCTGTTGCATGCTGGGAGATCAGGTAATTAAGCTCCCATTCCTTCTTTAAGAGAAACAGAACTTCTCTCAAAGCATAATGAATCATAAAGACCAAAAGGAAAGAAGTAAACATTTATACCAGACAAATATAATCAACTAAGAATAGTACAATTAAAATAATAACAAACAGAATAAATATTAAATAAATATTATTATGCATAAAGCCATCCACTACCAAGGGATAAAAATATTATTTAGAATACTGATGTGCTTACCAGAGCTTCAAAATACTTAAAACAAAATGGATAGAACTACAATGAGGAATTGAGAAAATCACACTTACATTAGTGAACTTTCTGTAACTGATAAATACATCACACTAAATATTATGAAGATATAGAAAGTTTAAACTATGCTATTAATAAGGTTGAGTTCATGAGATATTATACATATTGACTTCAGTTATTTACTTTCTGGAATAAAATCTGTGTATGATGAATGACTGCATATACATTTTTATTTTCTCTACTTCTTCATCATCCATATGTACATACATTGTTCTTAAACTTTTAGAAACAATTGAATTTCTGTGGGAAAAAGGCACCAAACATTAAAAGGATATTTAAGTTAAATATGTTCAAAAAGATTTTTTAATATCTAGAATTATGTGTGATGTGGATTTAAATAACAAACAAACAAAAAACACACCCTTTTCCCCTTTTTGATCAATGATGTGAAAACCTCAAGAACTAAGAGTACATTTGTAACATAGACATCTGAGCTTCATGCAAACATTAATGAAAATAGCGTTTGGCATTTAACTCCTGTAAATAAAGCTGCTGAATAGAACTACTTCAGTGATCAATATTGTCTAATTCAGAACTAGAAGCCTTTGTAATTGCAAAGACAAGGGAAAAATAAATCAATCAAAAAAAGGTTCTAACTTTGTTAGGTTTCTCAACTTAAAAAAATGCTATTTATTCTCTCAGTTCCTATTCTCCACTAGTGCCTGTAATGTAGTGAAACAAATACATTTTAAGAACGACAGTATGCCCATCCTACAATAGAGGTATCTGATCCATTAGGGATGTCTGTCAAAACAGGATATGGCTTTGTGCAAATACTTCTCAAAAGTGATGTCAAATCACATTGATATGTAATTTGTTACTGTTATGTAATTAGTACAGTAATGGTTTATTTCTCTATTTATAACTTAGACCAGTTTCACATAATCTCTAGAATGGTGGCATTTGCATTCATGAGTACTCTGATATGTTTTGAATGGGAAGGAAAATGAAAGTTATACATTGTGGTTTGAGAATTCACTATAACCAGCTACATTCTATAGCTTAACATGAACTCTTTATATATTTTTAAAAGACTGCTGGATATTATCAGTTGCTAACCACCATGTAAAACTATCGTTTTCCCTCCTACTTAAAAAATCAGAGCTTTGTAACTGGTGTATTATGAATAGTTGCTACTATGAATCATAGAGGTCATTCATTTCCCCACAAAATTGGGGGAGTATCATACATATTTTGGAATACAGATTGGAATAAGTCTACTGTCAGGTGACTTCTCAGTGCTTTGTAAGAAATGTGTCTTTTATTCATGGCTGATTTTAGAACCATTTGTTTTTCTTTGCTCTATTATAATTTCACTATGATGCACCTAAGTATGTAGTTTTTTTTTCTGGGGCTGTCTGTGCTTCTTGAATTTGAGGTTGCATGCATTCCATCATTATGGAAAATTTTTCTCATCTCTTTGAAAACGCCTCTACTTCAATCATTCCATTCTCTTCAAGATTTCTTACAAGAGGTATGGTATATTAGACTTTCTCACTGTGTTCTTCTTGACTCCTAAACCTTGCTTTCTTATAGTTGATATCTTTATTAGGCTGTGTTGCATTCTATACTCAATTCTATCTTTACCCTTGGCTACTCTGCTATTTAACCCATCAATTGAGGTTTTCTATATCAAAGACTGCATTTTCATTTATAAATGTTTACTCTTGTTTTGGTCAAATTGGCCTATATTTAATTAAGTATCTAATTTTTTCTTACACTTTTAATTCTTTCTTTTATGTAGTTTTCCATTTAAAATATTTATTTTTTTATAGTCATTCTCAGATTGTTCTTTTATTGCCTCAGATTCTGAGCAGACACAAGAACGAAGAGAAACATTATCAAGCATTTGTGGTGATTGGGTTATTTCATGCTGTGTGATTTGAAAAAGTTAACTCATCTTAAATGTGGTCCTATGAGAACCCCTTGTCACCTTGGTCATGGGAATATCCCTCCAAAGTGGCTTTGCATTTCACTTATATCATGTACCCTAGACTACCACTGGCTCAGAATCAAATTTAAGTCAATTTCTTGCATGGCTGGGCCATATAAGAACTACTGCTATTTTTGCTCTAACTCCAAGTAAGGAATGGGCCAAGGCCCTGAATTCGAATGGAAAGCTTTCCTTTAATGTAGAGCAATAAGCTCCCTTGTTATTTCCTGTGGCCAATGGATAGATTTTATTGAGTTTCCCATTTTACCCAAAGTATAAACTTTGAGGGTCCCATCTTCATGTAGGAATCCCATTTCCAGTTCCCACTTGCATAGTCCCAAGGCCTTGAATTCTTCCTTTACATGTTTTTTTTTTTTTATGATCAAGTAGCTTCATCATCCAGTAACCTCCAAATCTTTCCTTCCCTTCTGTTTTTTTTTTGAACCGACCATGAGTAAACTCATTGCTTACTGCTCTGACTTTCCATTCTCCTCCTCCTCTTTCTTCTCCACACCCTTTTCTTGGTCTTCTTCTTCATACTCTTTGCATGTAGCATTTTATTTTTCTTTCTTGTAAAGTCTGCTGTAAGTTTTTAAAATAATATATTTTATAAATTTTATTTTATTTTTCAATTGACAAATAATAATTGTAGATATTCATCAGGTACATAGCGATGTTTCAATACATATAATGTATAATGATCAGATCAAGGTAATTAGCATATTCATTATCTCAAACATTTATTATTTCTTTGTGTTCAAAACAATTCAATATCTTCATTCTAGCTATTGAAACTTATAATATATTGTTGTTCACTATAGTCATCCTATAGTGGTATAGGACACTATAACTTATTCCTCCTATCTGGCTGTAATTCTGTATCCTTTAACAAAGTCTACTGTAAGTTTTTTAAACAATACTTTAGCATTTAAAAAATGTTTGTAGAGTATGGTTTCCAGATTAATTTAGATGACCACATTGACACTATCAGAAATCCCTGTTGAAGTTATCCAGTTTTCACAGGGTAGATTAGGATTTACTTTATAACTCTCACAGAATGTTTAAACTGGAAAGAAATTAGTTAATAATCTATTCCAGAAATTCCAAGGCTGTAAGTTTCTAGGAGTCAGAAAAGACACAAAAATGTGTAAAATGTCTGGATGCAAGACAATAAGAAGTGGTGGGACCTTGTTGTACATCTGGAAAGGGTTTGACCCACCTAAGAGCATTTAAAAACATCTAACACTAATCTGGATAAACTAATCTGGACAAACAGAATACTGTTTGCAGCCTCTGATTATATACTAACTCCCTTATTCTATATATGATGAAATTGAGAACAGAATATGTCTTGCTTAATTAGCACAGCTGATGACTTGAGGCCCCTTTCCAACAGTCATGACTACCATAAACTTATGAAACAACTAGAAAATCTTGCAAACTTTATAACAAAATTTGATTGTTTGGTACGACTATATAGTATAGGAGCTCAGGAAAGTGACAGATAAAATACTAAACTTTTCAGTATTATCATCCTCTGTTCTCAAATATTGGACCATAAAATCCTCTTTAAGCTGCAAAATGGTATTTTATTTCTTATAAAATGATCACTAATTAGCTTAACTTGATTATAGATGATGCTTAGCAAAGATGTGACCGTGAATAAATATTCCATTACCCAAAACAGGTAAGACCTAGAAGTCTCATTTCTTTTGTCAAATAAAGCCCAACCAAGAATCTCAATGTGAAGCAAAGCACATACTTAATCTTGACTTCTGAGATACAGACTGTGGGCTTCAGCACAAAGATGGAGGAAGATGTATCAAGAGCGGACAGAGCATTGCTCAGATGTTATCAGCTGCCTTTCCTGCAGAATGTTGCCACTCTTGATCAAGCATTTCATTAGAAGAGCATCAATGAGTCCAGAGAAACTTCTGAAGGATGCTTTTTCTCCAATGAATGCAAACATTGTACAAGAGGATTTTCCAAGAAAAGAATAATTCATTGCTTATCTATGAACCTAAACAGTTACAAAAAATTATTTATCTTATTTTTTCCTCAGAAAAATGTTCTGAAGTTGTAATAATTATAAATCTATTTTTTATATGAAGATACTGAGGGCCATACAAAGTATATAATTTTTTATGAATTCACATGATCAGAAAGTAGCAGAACCAATACTCTAATTCAGATATTATGGTTACAAATCATGCTTTTTTATATTCCTACATGCTACCATCATACATATCAATTTACCAGATAAGCAAGATCAAAATTGAACGTTACTGTGTTGTTCTTGTTAAAATGAATGTTTCCTATCTCATATATGCTAAGATTAATTTGACAAATGTGTTCCATTGGCTCATAAATAAGTTTGTTTTTTATTGTACATACTACATTGTTCAAACTTGATTCAGGTGGCTGAGTTTTTGTTTTTGCTTTTAACTTTTTGGAAAGAACAATCTGGAATTTCTGGTGGATCTTTTTGTTAGAGAACAATTAAAGATAATATAAAATATTTTCATTTAATGAGAAAAAATAGAAAGTTATGTGGACAATGGAGAAATAGCCCAGGCTTAATGTAAGGAAATTGTCCTTGATAAATATCAGCTTAAGAAGCTGTGAGGGCCTATGTACTGGGAAGAAATGAGAACTTAGGCTAAAAGCTTCACAAATTACAGTCTTAAAACTGGATCAAATTTACCTCCACCAAACAACTTCCCTAACTGATATGAATGCTGATCACATTTTCACTTTGTGATCTCTCAGGACGTAGGCCACATGTATTCATTAGCACTTGTTGATCTGCTTTGAATCAAATATTTACTGAGCCAGGTTCTACGTTTGAGGCTTCAGGGAGCTATAAAGGGGAATAAAGCAGTATCAGTCTTCCAATGCTTACAATCTAATGAAGGACAAGCCAAATTCACAAATTACTACATGGTAGACTATTTATTTTGCATTTTCAAAAAGGCATCAAGAAAGAGTGTGGGCTTAAGATTAGGAAAGTGTCATTTGCAGGGGACATGAAATTAGTTTGCTCTCAGAATCGATCAATATTTCTAATTAGTTCTGATGTGTGTATAAAATTTGGATTCCATTTTCACTAACCTACGAAGGAGTTTTAGATGACTGATTTGCAAATATGCCTTTAAATATTTATATTTACTTTCCCCTATAGATCATAATATTCTAAAGTTGTGAACCCTTTTCTTTTGTATCTGCACAAACACATATGTGTACATGCACATCATCTCCTGCTGTGTACTATATTTTGCTTGCAGTGAGTGTACAAAGTAGATGTTTGAATAACCTATGGCACAGTAGGAAACCCTCACAAGAACATGAAGAGAGGTGCGATGGGATAAAAAGAAACTAATTTTAGTGTTGGTCATTTCGTTATGCTGTAGTACCAGGCATAAGGGCAAAGAGGGTCAGAAAGATAGTTATAACCAAGTAATTTGATAACCAGAACATGAACAGAGTCTACAAGCCTAGTGACAGGGAGAAGGGCTTGGGAAATGATAAAGCAGTGGCAATAGACTGAGTTATGCTTTGAATGTGTAGAAAGGAGTAGAAAATGATCCTGACATGGCATGCTTGATTTCAGAAGAAACGACTTTGGCTGTCCCAGAGAAAAAGACATAAGACACAGAAAAAATCAGTTTAATTTTCACTCTTTTGCTTTTGATTAGAAGAATTGTAGTAATTAGATAGGTTTGAAACTGGGAAGAAAATCAGTGAAACCAGTTATGGTAACACTGATTTTTTTTTTTTTTTTTTTTTTTTTTGAGACAGGGTCTTGCTCTCGCCTAGGCTGGAGCGCAGTGGAGTGGATTCTGGGCTCACTGCAACCTCCGCCTACCCAGCTCAAGCGAGCGAGCCTCCCACCTCTGCTTCCTGAGTAGCTGGGACTACAGACTTATGCCACCACACCTGGCTAATTTTTGTGCTTTTCTAGAGATGGAGTTTCACCATGTTACCCAGGCTGGTTTTGAACTCTTGGGCTCAAGCAATCCGCCTGCCTCTGCGTCCCAAAGTGCTGGGATAACAGGCGTGAGCCACCGTACCCAACAACACTGAATATTTTTAAAGTGGAGATGTTTCACTTCATTCATACACTCACTTATTAAATATAAATTTATTCAATACTCATTTTTCAGGGACTATTCTAAACACGGAGGGTGCAAAGATGAGTAATATATATTCTGTATCTCAAGGGGTTCTAAAAGATTTTGATCAGGACACAGCCAAATGCTTTGTTTTTCTACTACTGATTTACGTGTTTAGATACAACCAGAGAAATATAAAGAAAACAATATTAATTAGTTGCCTGTGTAGTAAAAGAATTCACGGTAAGTAGTTTAATAAGACACAGAAAAGTCCCATTTAATGGAAGGACCCTGCTCTCACTTGGGTTTTGATAGGTTAGGGGCAAATCACATACATTTACATGGGCAAAGTGGGATATAATAGTCCAGATCACAGGAAGTGGGCTAGTTGGTTTCTTGGTCTGAGCACAGTAAAGGGATTCCACTGTAAAACCAAGGCTTTGCCTTATAACCCTTGATGCTGAAAACAAGGAAACATCACAAGTGAATACTGAGGCTCCAAGCTCAGGCTGAGGCTGCAATATCCATTTCCTTAAGTATAAGTCAAAGTGGTAGCTCTGATTTTTAGACTTCAGACAGTTTTTGTGTGGTTTTGCAGTAATAATCTATTTCTCATACCCTAAGATGAAGCAATGTAATGTGAATCTCCTTCACAATTTATTTTTAAGATGACATTCACTACTAAACTATCAGTTTAAATTCTTGTTCGTGGTAAAACTAGGAGACTTACTATTTTCTTAAGCAGTTTTCATTGCTGGAATTTAATGTGGCAATATAATTCCTGAATGGCTCAATGATATCATGTAAGCCTTCTGCTAAGTGAAGAATGTGAAATGCTGAATGAAAGCTTTCTACAAGCAAAATGATTTGAAAGATAAATTCACCTTAAAGACGAAAATGTGTTCTAGCTAAGTAGAAAGACAATTGTCTTCTCATCAGGCTCATATCCTATTATTTTTATTTAAAAATGAAGCATTACAATATTATTAATTTGCTGCTTTAGTGATAATGAACATTTGTGGACAAGATTTTGGGGGGCATTCACTTTCATTTCTCTTAGATATATACCTAAGAATGGAAGTGCTGGGTCATATGGTAACTTTATATTTAACTTTTTTGTTTTTTATTGAGGTTAAACTCAATTAAATAAAATTCATCATTTCAATAACTTTAAAGTATACAATTAATCAGCTTCCAGTGCATTCACAATATGGGGCAACCAATAACCATATATAATTCCTGGACATTTTTATCACTGTAAAATGATATCCTATACCCATTAAGCAATCATTCTCCATTTCTCTCTGCCCCTATTCCCTAGAAACAACCAATCTGATTTCCATCTCTATGGAGTGGCCTATTCTGGACATTTATATAAACGGAATCATACAATATACGGCTTTTAGTGCCTGGCTTATTCTACTTAGCAAGTTGTTTTCTAGGTCCCTCCATGTTGTAGCATGAATCAGTACTTTACTCCTCTGAATGGTAAAATAATAAATTCCATTGTATGGATATATCACATTAATGGATTAATATTTATGAAGCCATTGATAGACATTTGTATTGATTCTACTTTTTGGTTATATGTGAATAATGCTGCTATAAACATTTATATACAAGTTATTCAAACACTAGTTTTAAATTCTTTTAGGCATATACTGAGGAATGGGATTGCTAACTTATATGGAATTATGTTTAAAATTTGGGGAAATTGCTACACTGTTTTCTGCAGTGGCTGCATGACTTTAACCATGCAACATTGTATGAGGGTTCCAGTTTCTTCACATCCTTACCGCCACTTGTTATTTTCTCTGTTTCATAGTACCCATTCTAATGAGTATCATATTGTGTTTTAATTTGCATTTCCCTAACAATTAGTGATATTGGACTTTTTGTGCTTTTTTTTTTTTTTTTTTTGACAGGGTCTCACTCAGTCACACAGGCTAGAGTGCAGTGGCATGATCACAGCTCACTGCAGCCTTGACCTCCCAGGCTCAAATTATCCTCCCAGTTCAGCCTCCTGAGTAGCTGCGACTTCAGGCGCATGCTACCACAACTGACTAATTTATTTTGTATTTTTTGTAGAGATGGAGTTTTGTCATGTTGCCCAGGCTGGTCTTGAACTCCTGGGCTCAAGACATTTGCCCGCCTTGGCCTCTCAAATTGTTGAGATTACAGGCGTGAGCCACGATGCCCAGCTGAACTATTTTTCATGTACTTATTAACTATCTGTATTTTTTCTTTGAAGAAATGTTTATTGAAACCCTTTGATTTTTTTTAACCGGATTGTTTATTTATTGTCATTGTTTGGCTTGTTCTTTATATATTTCAGACACTAAACATTTATCAGACATATGATTTGCAAATATTTTCTCCCTTTCTGTGGGTTGCCTTTTTTACTCTTTTGATTGTGTCTCTTCATGCACAGAAATTTTGTATTTTGGTATAAACTAATTTATCTGTTTATTCTGTTGTTGCCTCTCCTTTTGGTGTCATATTCAAATAGATTAATCCTCTTTTTTAACGTAGGAATTTATAGCTTTAAATGTATCTCTCAGTACTGTTTTTACTGTATTCCACAAGTTTTAATATGCTTTCATTTTAAATCATCTCAAAGTATTTTCTAATTTCCTTCATGGTTTCTTCATTGACCCATTAGTTAAGAGTGCAGTCTTAAATTACACATATTTGTGAATTTTCCAAACTTTCTATTACTACTATTGTCTAGTTTTATTCCATTTTGGTCAAATAAGATATTTCATATGATTTCAAGCTTTTAAAATTTAATGAAAATTATTCTGTGGTCTGACATCTCTGGGAGATCGTTTTATGTGCATTTGAGAAGAATGTGTATTTTGTTGTTGTTGAGTAGAATCTCCTATATAGATATGACATTCACATTTCCTTCTAGATTCCCAATAAATGTTATCTTTTCAAAGCCCCTATGGACATCTCACTCCCCAGGATTTCCTTTTAAGGATTTTGGCTACTCTTTTTGGCCCCACCTGATATGCACCTTAAGCATCTGTGAATTTAAATATTTTTCTCTAAATGTTTTTGACAATCACCCCAGGAAAAAGGCTCTTTTGCTGGGCCAGCTTCAAGTGCAGTCAAATAAAGACAGCCTAGCAAACGGTGTCTTCCAGTGAATCACAAGACAAGTAAATAATCACAAGACAATTTTCTGGGACTAAGGTTTTGAAAAGAGCTCCAACTTTGTTCTGTCCCCTCTTAATGGCTGCCAGACTGCTGGTTTTCACCACGATTGTGGGTTGTTGTTTTTCAAAGCTCTTGCAGACCTCAATGGAGAAGTGTAGGAATTGAGCCAGTTAAAAAGCCACAAAGCTCACTCTTTGTACTTACTTTCTAAAATAAGTGCTCCCTGGGTTGCTGCAAGCTTTTAGTTAATTTCCAGCTTCCTGAATGTTGATTTAGACAATTTTTGCCATTGTTATTGTTGATTTTCAGATGTTCTCACTCTGCGATCTTCACTGATGTATTTTAGATTTTAGCACTTACTTGACTGATTACAGTTGACCCTTGAACAACACGAGTTTGAACTTATATGTGAATTTTCTTCTGCCTCTGCCACCCCTGAGACAGCAAAACCAACCCCTCTTCTTCCTTCTCCTCTGCCTACTCAACATAAAGACAATGAGCACGAATATCTTTATGATGACCCACTTTCAGTTAATGAATAGTAAACATATTTTTTCTTTCTTATGACTGGCCTAAAAACATTTTTTTCTCTAGCTTACTTTACTGTAAGAATCCAGTACACAATACATGTAACATACAAAATATGTGTTAATCAACTGTTTATGTAATCAGTAAGACTTTCAAACAATAGTGAGAGCTCTTTTCTGGGTAGCTCTCTTTTCGCAGAACTCGGCCCAATATGTTCCGGCCCAATATGTTCCAGCCCCCTCAGCTTCCCTAATTTCCATCTCAATTCTGGGAAACCACCCTGTTCTGGATGGGCTGCCCCTACTACTTTCTGTTGTGAAATGTGCCTACACACAGAAAGCCAGTAGTAATCACAGGGCTCACCTCACTTATTTTCCTTGTGTTGCCTGTTGTCCAATGTGTGAAAACAGTTATTTCATAAATTTGGTGCAATTTTCTAGTTAGTTTCAGTGGGAAGATAAAACCCATCTCTGATATTTCATCATATCCAAAAATAAAAAAATACATGTTATTTACTTTTCGATTGCCCGCAGCACATTTCTAGTGTTGTGGTGAGTGCTAAATAAATGTGCAAATATTGAGATCATTGCAGACATCCAGGACTTATCCTTTAATTTCAATATAATTATGCCTCAGCTCTAACCTCAGATGTAAACGGATCATTAATTTGGCAAGTGATCATTTCTTAGATTGAATTTCCTGTCTTGGCATTAAAATTTATATATTGTGAAAGTGCAAATTATATCTGAATGATCAAGTAGTATCAAGAAAGGCCATTTTAACTCTGAGATTTTCCTTGGGGAGACATGGGTTACTCAAATATGTGTTCCCACTCACTTGCTTTTATCTCACAATTGCTTATTTCTCATCAATAAAAATTTCCTTTTCTACATTTTAGTAAGATAAAATCTTGATTAACCACAACCTAACTAAGCCTGTAATTGATGTATTTTTCTATGGTCCTGTCTTTCTGTTTTATTTGTTCAAAGGAAACTAACAGCAAGAAACAATTTGCTGTATTCATTCAAAAGTAATGAGGGAAAATGGAGAATTATGATAGTTTCTCTAGAATACTTAACTTACTGCTTTACAAAGTACTACAAATGGTAGTAAAAAGAGAATGGTGAATCACATGCATACTCTCAGCTTCCATCCTAACATGATACAAAGCCCTGCACAGCTTATATCCCCTTCCACATACACTCTTCTGGCTACCCTTGAATAAATTGTTTTCTGTTCTATATTGCCTTTGAACTACTTTTGAAGAGATGCTTCTTTTTGACATACTTTATGAGGGAAATGAGGAGAAGAAAAGACAGAGACTGACTTTGTGGGGTCTCGTGTTCTCTAAAAAACACGGAATCTTAGAGTTGGATAACCAGAAATTAACAATTTTTTAATCTCACATTTGATATATTTGTTTATTCAACAAATTCCTGTTCAACAGCTATGCTGTGCCCAGCCATGTGCTAAGGTGCTAGAGATTCAGAGATAGGATTCATTTCTAACTCTCTGAAAAGCTGAATATTTCAAACTATGGGGACTTCAGTGACTCCTCCTAAAGTCATCCATTTCATTTTCAGTCTCCCTGGTAATTATATTTCTTTTTTCTTATGTTAAGCCTAAAGTCATTTACCTGCCATTTCGCACAACCCTTCTAGCTTTGTTCTCTGGGCAACACTTAATAAGTCTATCTTATATTATAAATTTTAAAAGGCTCAACATTGCATTTGGTCTGTATCAGGTACTCAGTAATGATTTGTCTAATGAGCAAATAAAACTCGAATTGAGCTCTCATCCTCAAGCTCCAATTCTCTTTTCTAAACAAGTTCATTACTGATTTCTTGACTAAACAACCCCAGTTGGATCAAACATCACTAATGTGACATATTATTCAATCCTCAACAACATTTCTAATTGCTTTCCTTTGACATTTTTAACTTGTTACTATTATCTTAAAGTATGAGAATGAAACTATATACTCCCAGGATGACTTGAAGGTAGAAGAGATGGCCTGAAGCATATATGCTGTTTTTCTCACACTTTATTCTAGTCGCCTCTATCTGCTATATTTCAATTTATCAAATGTTTACACTGAGATAGAACTTATAGCTTGTTAATTTTAACTTATTCTTTATAGCTGAAAAAGTGAAATGCTGAATTATTTGCCCAAGTTCACACAATTAATTAACAGTAGAATTCACCAGTGCCTTTCAAATTAGGAGTGTTATTGATTAGATAGGGAGTATTTTGGAAAAGTCTGTCAGGATGCTTACTGGAGTTAAGTGGGTAAGAGCCAGCAATGCTAAAATTGAACAACATCCAGGAAGGTTTGCCCCATCTGAAATGAAAATAGAACCCCCAATGAGAAACTGCAAGCTCAGGTATGATGACTCTTACCTGCAGCATCATTCAAAATGATAATTTTGAGAACTCTGGTAAATTGAATTACAAGCCTCAAATTTTCAACATACCCTGTAGCTTCCATGTATCACTGTAGTTCCCACACAAAAGCAGTCACATGCCCCCCAGCCTTTTACATTTGGACTTGATCATGTGACTTGCTTTGGCTAATGGGATGTGAACAGACCTAATGCAAAGCAGGTACTTCAACTGTGCTCACAAAATTGGATGTGCTCTATTTTGCTTATCTTATCATCACCAGAAAACTGTACTTTAATTAAGCCACTTGCCTCAGAGAAAGATGAGAAACACATGGAAATGAATATCCTTGTTACCACCACTGAGCCAGCCTAGTAATCTAATATGAAAATGTGAAATAAACGTTTATTATTATATACCACTGAGATTTTCTTGTTCTACAACAATAGCTGATTGATATAAAACTCACAAAAATCTAGTGATTTGAACACTGTTTCCCAATGTGTGTTACATGATAGTAGCCTCCTAAGATGCTCTCAAGTTTGGTACAGGTAGAAAACCCCATGATCAAAGAACTTCAGGAAAGAATGCTTAATTTTTCATACAACATATTATTCAGAAGTTCTACTGAAAAAAAGTGTTATAAGTTTTTTTTTTCAATCTATTTGGAGCAGCCTAAAAAGAAAAGAACTGAAAATTAGCCTGAAATAAGCCTCAAAACACAGAACATTGTTGACAAAAGGAAAATCATTGAACCACATTAATAGTGAAAAAAAGGGTAAAAATTCAAAGAACTTGTTTAGTCCCACAGATAAGGAGACTGGAAGTCATCTCTCTATCCTAACAACAAGAAAAAGCTGAAAAAACTGAAAAATCAATAACTTTTCTTAGATCTGTAAGAGAAGTGAGTCTGTAGGGCAAACTGCTGTCCCCGAATTGGAGACAGGTGAATACAGAGACACAGCTTACTGAAGCAGAAACCTGTAAGTAGAAACCTTTGTGGGTACTACTACCAGAGTAGGAAAACCGGAACTGTAATTAACAAATTGCTGGAGGCTCAAGTTGGACAAATTTGAAGGTAGAAAACTCCAGGGGAACTCAGTGGGGGTTGGGGGTCTGCATGTTTTTGCAAGTTTTACTTCCAAGAGCTTGACCAGGTTCTGACAGAGAATATTGGAGAAAAATACCTCTGTGCTTCTGGCAATAGTAGAGAAAAAATGGACACTTTGAAATATGCCAGAGCATTCTGTTCTTTTAAATGAGTCCTACCCTCAGGAAAAATTGTTTAACTAGAACCTGCACTATTAGAGCTTTTTCAGAGCCTAAAAGACCCGTGAGAAGGGAAATACCCAATTCCAGTCCCTTCCAACCATCTTGTCCCATATAAGGGAGAAAAATTTTTAAAAATTGAGAAACATTTATGAAGTACACAGTCCAGGGGCATAGACTCAATTAAAGATGGGAACTAATTATAGAATTATAGAACACTTCCATCCCCCCCGATTACTTTAGTAATTTACCACCACATTACTAAAAGCCTATTTGCAATAGTTTCTTTTACCCAGTACATCAAGTCTGGGTATCAACTAAAAGCTACAAGACATACTAAATGGTAAAAAGCGTAGTTTGAAAAGACAAAACAAGCATCAGAACCAGACTCAGCTACTGCAGGGATGTTGGAATTTTCAGACTGGGGATTTAAAATAGCTATAATGAATACACTAAGGTCTTTAGTAAATAGTCATTATGCAAATATGACAGAGAGATGGAAATTCTAAGAATAAAAAAACGAGATTAAAAACACTGTAACAGACATAATGAATGCCTTTGATGGGCTTATGAATAGACTGGCATAGATTAAGAAAGAATCTCTGAGCTTGAGGATATCTCAGTAGAAACCTTCAAAACTGAAAAGCAAAGAGAAACAAAAATTACTACAGTAAAGACCAGAACAGAGTATACAGTAAGTGTGGGACAACTACACAAGGTGTAAAATACAGGTAATGGGATACAAGAAGGAGAAGAGACACAGAAAGGAACATAAGAAATACTTGAAGTATGGACTGGGCTGGCAAGATGGCCATATAGGAACAGCTCTGGTCTGCAGCTCCCACTGAGATCAATGCAGAAGGCAGGTAATTTCTGCATTTCCAACTGAGGTACATGGCTCATCTCATTGGGACTGGTTAGACAGTGGGTGCAGCCCACGGAGGGCAAGCTGAAGCAGGGTGGGGCGTTGCCTCACCTGGGAAGTGCAAGTGGTCGGGAAACTCCCTACCCTAGCCAAGGGAAGCCATGAGGGACTGTGCCATGAGGAACAGCGTATTCCAGCCCAGATACTACGCTTTTCTCATGGCCTTAGCAACTCGCAGACCAGGAGATTCCCTCTGGTGCCTACATCACCAGGGCCCTGGGTTTCAAGCAAAAAACTGGGAGGCCATTTGGGCAGACACTGAGCAAGCTACAGGAGTCTTTTTTCATACCCCAGTGGTGCCAGGAACGCCAGTGAGACAGAACCATTCACTCCCCTGGAAAGGGGGCTGAAGCCAGGGAGCCAAATGGTCTAGCTCAGCAGATTCCACCACCACAAAGCCCAGCAAGCTAAGATCCACTAGCTTGAAATTCTCCTGCCAGGACCGCAGTCTGAAGTCAACCTGAGATGCTCAAGATTGGTGGGGGGAGAGGCGTCCACCATTACTGAGGCTTGAGTAGGCAGTTTTCCCCTCACAGTGTAAACAAAGCCACCAGGAAGCTTGAACAGGGCAGAGCCCACCACAGTGCCACAAAGCCACTGTAGCCAGACTGCCTCGCTAGAATCCTCCCCTCTGGGCAGGGCATCTCTGAAAGAAAGGCAGCAGCCCCAGTCAGGGACTTATAGATCAAACTCCCATCTCCCTGGGACAGAGCACCTGGGAGAAAGGGTGGCTGTGGGTGCAGCTTCAGCAACTTAAAAGTTCCTGCCTGCTGGCTCTGAAGAGAGTAGCGGATCTCTCGACACAGGGCTTGAGCACTGCTAAGGGACAGACAGCCTCCTCAAGTGGGTCCCTGACCCCCGTGCCTCCTGACTGGGAGATACCTCCCAGCAGGGGTCAATAGATAGCTCACAGAGAAGAGCTCCAGCTGGCATCTGGTAGGTGCCCCTCTGGGACAAAGCTACCAGAGGAAGGAACAGGCAGCAATCTTTGCTGTTCTGCAGCCTCTGCTGGTGATACTCAGGAAAATAGGGTCTGGAGTGTACCTCCAGCAAACTCTAGCAGACCTGCAGCAGAGGGGCCTTCCTGTTAGAAGGAAAACTAACAGAAAGGAATAGCATCAACATCAACAAAAAGGACATCTACACAAAAACTTCATCCGAAGGTCACCAACATGAAAGATCAAAGGTAGATAAATCCATGAAGATGAGGAAAAACCAGTACAAAAAGGCTGAAAATTCCAAAAACCAGAATGCCTCTTCTCTTCCGAAGAATCACAACTCCTTGCCAGCAAGGGAACAAAACTGGATGGAGTTTGAGTTTAACGAATTGACAGAAGTAGGCTTCAGAAGGTAGGTAATAACAAACTCCTCCAAGTTAAAGAAGCATGCTCTAATGCAATGCTAGGAGGCCAAGAACCTTAAAAAAAGGTTAGAGGAATTGCTAACTAGAATAACCAGTTTAGAGAAGAACTTAAATGAACTGATGGGGCTGTAAGACTCAGCATGAGAACTTCGTGAATCATACACAAGTATCAATAGCCGAATCAATCAAGTGGAAGAAAGGATATCAGTGATTGAAGATCAACTTAATGAAATAAAGTGTGAAGACACGATTAGAGAAAAAATAATGAGAAGGAATGAACAAAGCCTCCAAGAAATATGGGACTATGTGAAAAGACTAAACCTATATTTGATTGGTGTACTGAAAGTGACAGGGAGAATGGAACCAAGTTTTGGAAAACACTCTTCAGGATATTATCCAGGAGAAGGTCCCCAACCTAGCAAGAGAGGCCAACATTCAAATTCAGGAAATACAGAGAACACAACAAAGATATTCCACGAGAAGAGCAACCCCAAGATACATAATTGTCAGATTCACCAAGGTTGAAATGAAGGAAAAAATGTTAAGGGCAGCCAGAGAGAAAGGTTGGGTTACTCACAAAGGGAAGCCCATCAGACTAACAGTGGATCTCTTGGTAGAAACCCTACAAGCCAGAAGAGAGTGGGGACCAATATTCAAATTCTTAAAGAAAATAATTTTCAACCCAGAATTTCATATCCAGCAAAACTAAGTTTCATAAGTGAAGGAGAAATAAAATCTTTTATAGACAAGCAAATGCTGAGAGATTTTGTCACCACCAGGCCTGCCTTACAAGAGCTCCTGAGGGAAGCAGTAAATATGGAAAGGAAAAACTGGTACCAGCTACTGCAAAACATACCAGATTGTGAAGACCATCAACACTATGAAGAAACTGCATCAACTAACAGGCCAAATAATCAGATAGCATCATGACAGGATCAAATTCACACATAACAATATTAACCTTAAATGTAAACGTGCTAAATGCCTCAAATAAAAGACACAGACTAGCAAATTGGATAAAGAGTCAAGACCTATCAGTGTGCTGTATTCAGGAGACTCATCTCACATGCAAAGACACACATAGTCCCAAAATAAAGGGAGGGAGGAATGTTCACCAAGCAAATGGAAAGCAAAAAAAAAAAAAAAAAAAAAAAGCAGGGGTTGCAACCCTAGTCTCTGATAAAACAGACTTTAAACAAGCAAAGATCAAAAAAGACAAAGTAGGACATTACATAATGGTAAAGGGATCAATGCAACAAGAAGAGCTAACTATCCTAAATATATATGCACCCAATACAGGAGCACTCAGATTCATAAAGCAAGTTCTTAGAGGCCTACAAAGAGACTTAGACTTGCACACAATAATAGTGGGAGACTTTAACACTCCTCTGTCAATATTAGATCAATGAGACAGAAAATTAACCAAGATATTCAGGACTTGAACTCAGCTCTGGACTAAGTGGACCTAATAGACATCTACAGAACTCTCCACTACAAATCAACAGAATATACACTCTTCTCAGCACCACATCACACTTATTCTAAAATCGGCCACATAATTGGAAGTAAAACACTCCTCAGAAAATGCAAAAGAACAGAAATGATAACAAACAGTCTCTCAGACCACAATGCAATCAAATTAGAACTCAGGATTAAGAAACTCACTAAAAACTGCACAACTATGTGGAAACTGAACAACCTGGTAAAAAACAAAGTTAAGGCAGAAATAAATAAGTTATTTGAAACCAATGAGATAAAAGACAGAATGTACCAGAATATCTGGGACACAGCTAAAGCAGCATTTAGAGGGAAATTTATAGCACTAAATGCCCCTGGAGAAAATGGGAAAGATCTATAATTGACACCCTAACATCACAATCAGAAGAACTAGAGAAGCAAGAGCAAACAAATTCAAAAGTATCAGAAGACAAGAAATAACTAAGATCAGAGCAGAAATGAAGGAGAGAGACACACAAAAAACCCTTCAAAAAATCAGTGAATCCAGGAGCTGGTTTATTGAAAAGATTAACAAAATAGATAGACCACGAGCCAGGCTAATAAAAAAGAAAAGAGAGAAGAATCAAATAGACACAATAAAAAATAGTAAAGGGGATATCACCACTGATCCCACAGAAATACAAACTACCATCAGAGAATACTAGAAACACCTCTATTCAAATAAACTAGAAAATCTAAAAGAAATGGATACATTCCTGGACATATACACCCTCCCAAGACTAAACCAGGAAGATGTCAAGTCCCTGAATAGACTAATAACAAGTTCTGAAATTGAGGCAGTAATTAATAGCCTACCAACCAAAAAACGTCCCGGACCAGGTGGATTCACAGCCAAATTCTACTAGAGGTACAAAGAGGAGCTGGTACCATTTCTTCTGAAACTATTCCAAACAACAGAAAAAGAGGGAATCCTCCTAACTCATTTTATGAGGCATCATCTTGTTACCAAAACCTGGCAGAGACACAACAAAAAAAGAAAATTTCAGGCCAATATCCCTGATGAACATCGATGTGTAAATCCTCAATAAAATACTGGCAAACCGAAACCAGCAGCACATCAAAAAGCTTATCCACCATGATCAAGTCAGCTTCATACCTGGGAAGCAAGGCTGGTTCAACATACACAAATCAATAAACATAATCCATCACATAAACAGAGCCAATGATGAAAACCACATGATTATCTCAATAGATGCAGAAAAGACCTTCAACAAAATTCAACACCCCTTCATATTAAAAACTCTCAATAAACTATGTATCAATAGAATATATCTCAAAATAATAAGAGCTATTTATGATAAACCCACAGCCAATATCATACTGAATGGGCAAAAACTGGAAGCATTCCTTTTGAAACCTGGCACAATACAAGGATGCCCTGTCTCACCACTCCTATTCAACATAGTATTGGGAGTTCTGGCCACAGCAATCAGGCAAGAGAAAGAAATAAAGGTATTCAAATAGGAAGAGAGGAAGTCAAATTGTCTCTTTTTGCAGATGACATGATCGTATATTTAGAAAACCCCATTGTCTCAGCCCAAAATCTCCTTAAGCTGATAAGCAACTTCAGCAAAGTCTCAGGATACAAAATCAGTGTGTGCAAAACCCATAAGCATTCTTATACACCAATAACAGGCAGACAGAGAGCCAAATCCTGAGTGAACTCCCATTCTCAATTGCTACAAAGGGAATAAAATACCTAGGAATACAACTTACAATGTATGTGAAGGACCTCTTCAAGGAGAACTACAAACCACTGCTCAAGGAAATAAGAGAGGACACAAACAAATGGGAAAACAGTCTGTGCTCATGGATAGGAAGAATCAATATCGTGAAAATGGCCATACTGCCCAAAGTAGTTTATAGATTCAATGTTATCCCCATCAAGCTACCAGTGGCTTTCTTCACAGAATTGGAAAAATCTACTTTAAACTTCATATGGAACCAAAAAAGAGCCCACATAGCCAAGACAATTCTGGGCAAGAAGAACAAAGCTGGAGGCATCATGCTACCTGACTTCAAACTATACTACAAGGCTACAGTAACCAAAACAGCATGGTACTGGTACCAAAACAGATATGTAGACCAATGGGACAGAACAGAGACCTCAGAAATAACACTACATATCTACGACCATCTGATTTTTGACAAACCTGACACAAACAAGCAATGGGAAAAGATTCCCTATTTAATAAATGGTGCTGGGAAAACTGGCTAGCCACATGCAGAAAACTGAAATGGACCCCTTCCTTACACCTTATACAAAAATCAACTCAAGATGGATTAAAGACTTAAATGTAAAACCCACAACCATAAAATCCCTAGAAGAAAACCTAGGCAATACCATTCAGGACATAGGCATGGGCAAAGACTTCATGAGTAAAACATCAAAAGCAATAGCAACAAAATCCAAAATTAACAAATGGGATCTAATCAAACTAAAGAGCTTCTGCACAGCAAAAGAAAGTATCATCAGAGTTAACAGGCAATCTACAGAATGGGAGAAAATTTTTGCAATCTATCCATCTGACAAAGGACTAATATCCAGAATCTACAAAGAACTTAAACAAATTTGTAAGAAAAAAACAAACAACCTGGTCAAAAAGTGGGCAAAGGATATAAACAGACACTTCTCAAAAGAAGACACTTATGCAGCCAACAAACATGAAAAAAAGCTCATCATCACTAGTCATTAGAGAAATGCAAATCAAAACCACAATGAGATACCTACCATCTCATGCCAGTTAGAATGGCAATCATTAAAAAGTCAAGAAACAACAGATGCTTGAGAGGGTGGGGAGAAATAGTGAGAGGTGAGGCCAGCTGGACTTCCTGGGTCTAGTGGGGACTTGGGGAACTTTCCTGTCTTACAAGAGCTTTGTAAAATGCACCAATCAGTGCTCTGTAAAACGCACCAATCAGCAGGATTCTAAAAGTAGCCAATCGTGGGGATGACTGAATAAAGGGCACTCTGATAGGACAGAAATGGAACACTGGAGGGGACAATAAAGGAATAAAAGCTGGCCACCCCAGCCAGCAGCAGCAACCCGCTCAGGTCCCCTTTCAAACTGTGGAAGCTTTGTCCTTTCGCTCTTCACAATAAACCTTGCTACCACTCACACTTTGGGTCCGTGCCATTTTTAAGAGTTGTAACACCACGAAGGTCCGTGGCTCCATTCTTGAAGTCAGAAGGCCACAAACCCCCCCGGCAGGAATCAACTCTGGACACAACAGGAACGCTTTTACACTGCTGGTGGGAGTGCAAATTACTTCAACCATTGTGGAAGACATTGTGGTGATTCCTTAAGGATCTAGAACCAGAAATACCATTTGACCCAGCAATCCCATTAACTGGGTATATACCCAAAGGATTATACATCATTCTACTATAAAGACACATGCACATGTATGTTTACTGCAGCACTATTCACAATAGCAAAGACTTGGAACCAACCCAAATGCCCATCAGTGATAGATTGGATAAAGAAAATGTGGCACATATATATCATGGAGTACTATGCAGTCATAAAAAAGGATGAGTTCACTTTGCAGGGACATGGATGAAGCTGGAAACCATCATTCTCAGCAACTAACTTAGGAACAGAAAACCAAACACCAGATGTTCTCACTCATAAGTAGAAGTTGAACAATGAGAACACATGAACACAGGGAGGAGAACATCACACATCAGGGCCTGTCGGGGGGTGGGGGGCTAAAGGAGGGATAGCATTGGGAGAAATATGTAATGTAGATGATGGGTTGATGGGTGCAGCAAACCACCATGGCACGTGTATATCTATGTAACAAACCTGCACATTCTGCACATGTATCCCAGAGCTTAAAGTATAATAAAATAAATAAATTAATTAATTAATTAAAAAAAAAATACTTGAAGCAATAATGACTGAGAATTTTTCCCAAATAGTAGCAGAAACAAAACTACAAATCCAGGAAGCTTAGAGAAAAACAAGTAGGATAAATGTTGACAAAAGTATTCCTAGGTATTTTCTGCTATTATATTTAAATAGCAGAAAATCACTGATAAAGAAATAATCCTGAAAGAAGCCAGAGGAAAAAAACAGCTTACTTAGAGAGAAGCAAAGATAATAATTATATCAAACTTCTCAGAAAGTGTGCAAAGCAAGAGAAGAGTGGAATGAAATATTTAAATGGTAAAGGAGTAAATATTATCTACCCAGAATTCTGTATTCTGTAAAATTATCCTTCGAATAAAGACTTTCTCAGCAAATAAAATTAAGGAAATTTGTTCCCAGTAGATATGTCTTGCAAGAAATGGTAAAAGAAGTTCCTTAGAGAGAAAGAAAATGATGTAGGTCAGAAACTCAGAGCTATGTAAAGAACAGAAGAGCATATCGAAGAAGCAATAAATGAGGGTAAAATAAAAACTTGATTTTTAAAATTCTTAATTGAGCTAATAAATATCAATTTGTTCAAAATAATAGGAGCAACAATTAGGATTATTTTGTTACTCTAAGGCGTTCATACTACCCATAAAGCAATATAGTATTATTTAATAGTGGACATGGATTAGTTATAAATGCATATTGCAGGCTGGGTGCGGTGGCTCATGCCTGTCATCCCAGCACTTTGGAAGGCCGAGGCATGTGGATCACCTGAGGTCAGGAGTTTGAGACCAGCCTGGCCAACATAACAAAACCCTGTCTCTAATAAAAATATAAAAATTAGCCATGCATGGTGGCACTCGCCTATAAACCTAGCTACCAGGGTGGGGTGGGAGGGTGGTTGCTGAGGCAGGAGAATCACTTGAACCCAGGAGGTGGAGGTTGCAGTGAGCTGAGATTGCGTCACTGCACTCCAGCCTGGGCAACAAGAGCAAGACTCAGTCTAAAAGAAAAGTAAAAAAGAAAAAATATGTATATTGCATACTCTAGGGCAACAACTAAAAAAAATTTAAAAATGGAAATGTAACTTATATGCTAAAAAAAAGAGAGAAAATGGAATCATATAAAATGTCCAATTAAAACCACAAAAGGCAGAAAAAAGGTGAAAGACAAAAATAGGAGCAAAGAACAAGGGCAACAAATAATAGCAACTATGGTAGATATTAATCTAACTGTATCAATAATCACTTTCAATGTCAATGGCCTAAAGGCACCAACTAAAAAACAGAAGTTGTCACAATAGATCAAAAAAGAAGACCCACTTCTATGTTGTCTACAAGAAACCCACCTTAGATATAAAGAAAAATACATATTAAAAGTAAATAGATAAAGAAATATATTCCATGCTAAAACTAAAGAAAAGAAAGCAGAAGTAGTTTTATTAATTTCGGAGAAGGTAGAGTTCAGAGAAAGGAAATAGAGAGGAGCATTATATAAAAATAAAGCAGTCCATTCTCCAAGAAGACATGACAATCCTCAACTCTATTTGCCTAAGAAAAGAGCATCAAGATACATGAGGCAGAAATTGATAGAATTGCAAGAAATGAATGAATCCACTATTATAGTTGGAGAAATCAATACCCTTCTATCAGAAATGATCAGATCAAGCAAGCAAAACCAGTTATGCCACAGGTAAAGTCAACAACATCATCAATCAATTGCATATAATTGACATCTACAGACTACTTCATTTAACAACAGAAGAATACACATTCTTCCGAAGTGCACGTGAAACTTTCACTAAGATAGACGACGTTCTTGACAATAAAACAACTCTTAAAAATTTTAAAATAATAGAAATTATACAGTGCCTGCTCACTTGCTCTCAGGTCACAGAAATCAATAAGAGAATGACAGGTAGAAAATCCCAAATCACTCGGAGATTAAACAACATGCTTCTAAATAAGATACGGGTTAGAAGAGAAATCTCAAGAGACATATAAAAACATTTTGAAACAAAGGATGGCTAGTCAAAATCACTGGGATGCAGCAAAGCAGTGTATAAAGAGACATTTATAGCACTGAATACATACATTAGTAAATAAGATCAAAAAGCAATCTAAGCTTCCACATTAGGAAACTAGAAAAGTAAGTGCAAATCCAATCCCAAGTAAGAAGAAGAAAATAAATAATAAAAATTAGAGCAGAAAGCAATGAAATTAAAAACAGGAAATCAATAGAGAAACCCAATGAAACCAAAAGCTAGTTCTTGAAATGGACAATAAAACCAATAAGCTTCTAGCCAGGGTAACTAACATTTAAAAAGAGGACACAAATTACTAATATCAGAAATGTAACACAGGCGATTGGTACAGATGACCTGGACCTTGAATAATTAAAGAATATTATGAACAACTTTATGCCCACAAATTTAATACACTAGATGAAATGGACCAGTTCCTTGAAAGACACCATCTGCCAAAACTCACAACCTGAGTAGGCCTATATCTAATAAATAAATTTAATCAGTAAATTATAACTTTCTCAGACAGAAAGCACCAGGCCCAGATAGGTTCACTGATAAATTCTACCAAACATTTAAGGAAAATTCATACCCATTCTTTACAATTTTTTTCAGAAGATAGAAGCAACGGGAATACATCCAATTCGTTCTGTGTCCTATATCATAGTAATATTAAAACCAGATAGAGACATTACAAGAAAACTACAGATCAATATCTCTCGTGAACACAGACACAAAAATCCTCAGCAAAGTATTAGCAAATTTAATCCAATATAGTATTAAAAGAATTATATACCATGACTAAGTGGTTTTTTCCCAGGAATGCAAGGCTGGTTTCACATTTGAAAATCAATTAAGGTGATCAATCACATTAATAGGCTAAAGAAAAAAAATGCATGTTAATATCAATAGATTCAGAAAAAGCATTTGAAAAATCTAATACCCATTTATGACAAAAACTCTCAGTAAACTGAGTATAGAAGGGTAATTTTTTCAACTTGATAAAGAGTACCTTTAAAACACTTATAGTTAATATCATACTTAAAGGTGAGAAACTAAAAGCTTTCCCACTAAGATAGAGAACAAGGTAAGGATGTCCCCTCTCACTACTTTACAACATCACATTGGAAGTCCTAGCTAATGCAGTAAGACAAGAAAAGAAAATAAAACGTATACTGATAGGGAAGGAAGAAATTAAACTGTAATTTTTGCAGATGACATGATTTTATATGTAGAAAAAGAAATCCTTGGAACTAATAAGCAATTATAGCAAGGTTACAGGATACAAAGTCAATATACAAAAGTCAATTGCTTTTCTATATACCAGCAATGAACAACTGAAATTTGAAATTAAAACACAATATCCTTTATATTACCAACACCCCAAATTAAATACTTAGGCTTAATTTCAACAAAATATGTACAAGATCTACTTGAGAAAATTACAAAACTATTTTTATATGAAGATTTCCTATACCTTATGTTCATTGCAGCGTTGTTCATAATACCCAAGATTTTGAATCAACCTAAGTGTCTATCAACAGTTGATTGGAAAAAGAAAAGTGTAGTACACATACACCATGTAATATGATGCAGCCATAAAAAAGAATGAAATTATGTCTCTTGCAGCAACATGGATGGAGTTGTAGGCCATTATCCTAAGTGAATTAAATCAGAAACAGAAAATCAAATTATTGCATGTTCTCATGCAATATTCTCATTCAAAATGTTCTAAGTAGGAGATAAACAATGGATATACATAGACATAAAAATGGAAATAGTAGACACTGGGGTCTCCAAAGGGGGAGAGGATTTGGGGGGAGGGTTTAAAAAATTACCTATGAGGTATGGTATTCACTATTTTGGTGATGGGTACACTAGAAGCCCAAACCTTACCATTACTCAATATATCCATGTAAAAAACCTGCATATGTACTCCCGAACCTAAAATTATTTTTAAAAATCCCAATGAAAGAAATCAAAGGCTAATGAATGGCCATGTTTATGGATAGAAAGACACAATATTATCAAGATGTTGGTTCATTGTTACTAGATCTATAGATCTAACATAATCCCAAACAAAATCCCAGAAGGTAATTTTGTGTGTATCAACAAACATTCTAAAATTTATATGAAGATTCAAAAGACAATGATTAGCCACCACAGTATTGAAGAAGAATAACAAAGTTGGAGGACTGACATTGTTCTACTTTAAGACTTACTATAAATCTAAAGTAAACAAGATAGTGTAGTTTCAGCAAATGAATAAACAAATAGATCCGTTTAGAACAGAATAGGGAGCTGAGAAAGAGACCCAAATGAATACTGTCAACTGAATTTTGACAAAGGAGCAAAGTCAGTGTAATGAAGCAAAGATAGTGTTTCAACAAATGGTGCCGGAACAACTGGACATCTATACACCAAAAAAGGTGGGAGGAGTCTAGATACAGATCTTACATCTTTCTTAAAACAATAACTCAAAATGGACCACAGACCTAAATGTGAAATGCAAAACTATAAAAATTCCTTCAAGATAATATAGGAGAAAATCTCAATGACCTTGCGTTTGGTAATGGCTTTTTAGAAACAACATCATATGCACTATCAATAGAAGAAAGAACTGATAACTGGCTTTTATTAAAGTTAAAAATGTCTGAGTCTGTGAAGACACAATCAAGAGAAGAGAAAGAAAAGCCACAGATTGGGAAAAACGTTTGCAGAATACATTTATCTGATAAAGGACTGTTATTTAAAATGTGCAAAGAACCCTTAAAACTGAAGAGTAAGAAAACAAATAACCATATTAAAAAATGAGCAAAGACCTTAACAGATACCACACCAAAGATTTTATATATATATATATATATATATATAGCAAACAAGCATATTAAAAGATGCTCCATATCATGTGTAGTCAAAAAACGCAAATTAAAACAAGATACTGCTACACAACTATTAGAATGGTCAAAATTCAGAACACTGATAACATGAAATGCTGGTGGGGATGTGGAGCAACAGAAATTCTCATTCATTGCTGGTGGGAATGCAAAATCGTACAGTCACTTAGGAAGACAATTTGGCAGTTTCTTGTAAAATGAAAGATACTCTTACCATTTGTTCTAAGCAGTCATGCTCCTTAGTATTTACTCAAAAATTTGAAAACTTATGTGCACACAAAAACCTGCATGCAGATGTTTATAGTGGCTTTATTCATAACAGCCAAAACGTAGAAACAACCAAGATGTTCTTTAGTAGGTGAATGGGGAAATAAATTATGGTAAGCTAAACCATGGAATATTATTCCACACTTTTAAAAATGAGCTATCAAGACATAAAAAGAAATGACGGAACCTAAAATGCATATTACTAAGCAAAAGAAGGCAAACTGAAAAGTCAACATAATGCATGATTCCAACTATATGACATTCTGGAAAAGGCAAAACTATGAAGATTGTATTAGTCTGTTCTCATGCTGCTAATAAAGACATACAAAAGACTGGGTAATTTATAAAGGAAAGAGGCTTAATTCTCACAGTTCCACATGGCTAAGGAGGCGTCACAATCATGCTGCAAAATGAATGAGGAACAAAGTCACGTCTTGCATAGCAGCAGGCAAGAAAGAGCTTGTACAGGGGAGCTCCCATGTATAAAACCATGAGTTCTTGTGAGACTTATTCACAATTATGAGTACAGTATAGGGGAAACTGCCCCCATGACTCATTTATCTCCACCTGGCCCTGCCCTTGACATGTGGGGATTATTACACTTCAAACTGAGATTTGGGTGGGGACACACCCAAACCATATCACTCCACCCTGATCCCTCCCAAATCTCATGTCCTCACCTTTCAAAACCAATCATGCCATCCCAACAGTCCCCCAAAGTCTTAACTCATTTCAGCATTAACTTGAAAGTCCATAGTCCAAAGTCTCATCTGAGAAAAGGCAAGTCTTTTCCACCTATGAGCCTGAAAGATCAAAAGCAAGTTAGTTAATTCCTAGATACAATGAAGATACAGGCATTGAGTAAATACACCCATTTCAAATGGAAGAAATTGGCCAAAATGAAGGGGCTATAGGCCCCATGCAAGTCTGAAATCCAGCCAGGCAGTCAAATCTTAAAGCTCCAAAATGCTCTCCTTTGACTCCATGTCTCACATCCAGGTCATGCTGATGCAAGAGGTGGATTCCCATGGTCTTGGGCAGCTCCACCCCTGTGGCTTTGCAGGGTACATTCCCTCTCCTGGCTGCTTTCATGGGCTGGCATTGAGTGTCTATGGCTTTTGCCAGCGCATGGTGCAAGCTGTCAGTGGATCTACCATTCTGGGTTCTGGAGGCAGTGGCCCTCTTCTCACAGCTCCACTAGGGAGTGCTCCAATGGGGACTCTGTGTAGGGGCTACCACCTCACATTTCCCTTCTGCACTACCCTAGCAGAGGTTCTTCATGAGGGCTCTGCCCCTGCAGCACACCTCTGTCTGGACATCCAGGCATTTCCATACACCCTCTGAAATATAGGCAGAGGTTCCCAAACCTCAATTCCTGACTTCAGTGCACCTGCAGGCCCAACACCACATGTAAGCCACAAAGCCTTGGGGTTTGCATCCTCTGAAGCAATAGCCTGAGCTGTACCTTGGCCCCTTTTAGCTAGGGCTGGAGCTGAAGTAGCTGGGAAGCAGGGCAGGGCACCATATCCCAAGGCTGCAAACAGCAGGGAGGCCCTGGGCCCGGCCCAGACCATTTTTTCCTTCTAGGCCTCCAGGTCTGTGATGGAAGGGGCTGGGCTGGTGTGAAGGTCTCTGACATGCCCTGGAGACATTTTCCCCATTGTATCGGGGATTAACATCCGGATTACTTATGCAAATTTCTGCAGCCGGCTTGAATTTCTCCATAGAAAATGGGGTTTTCTTTTCTATTGCACCGTCATGTTGCAAATTGTCCAAACTTTTATGCTCTGCTTCATCTTGAACACTTTGCCACTTAGAAATTTCTTCCCCCAGATACCTTAAATCATCTCTCTCAAGTTCAAAGTTCCACAGATTTCTAGGGCAGGGGAAAAATGCTGCTAGTCTCTTTTCACAGCAAGAGTGACCTTTACTCCAGTTCCCAAAAAGTTCCTCATCTCCATCTGAGACAACCTCAGCCTGGACCTTATTGTCCATATCACTATCAGCATTTTGGTCAAAGCCATTCAACAAGTCTCTAGGAAGTTCCAAACTTTCCCACATTTTCCTGTCTTCTTCTGAGCCCTCCAAACTCTTCCAACCTCTGCCTGTTACCTAGTTCCAAAGTCGCTTCTACATTTTCAGGTATCTTTACAATAGCACTGCACTCTACCAGTACCAATTTACTGTATTAGTCTGTTCCCACATGACTGGGTAATTTACAAAGGAAAAAGGTTTTATTGACTCACAGTTGCACATGGCCAGGGAGACCTCACAATCATGAATGAGGAACAAAGTCATGTCTTACATGGCAACAGGCAAGGGAGAGCTTGTACAGGGGAACTCCCATTTATAAACCCATCAGCTATCATGAGACTTATTCACAATCACAAGAACAGTATGGGGGAAACCACCCCCATGATTCAATTATCTCCATCTGGCCCCACCCCTGACATGTGGGGATTACTACAATTCAAGCTGAGATTTGGGTGGGGACACAGCCAAACCATATCAGATATGATACAAAGACGAGTGGTTCCCAGGGTTATGGAGGAAGGAGGGATGAACAGGTGGAGCATAGAGGATTTTTAAAGCAGTGAAACTACTCTCTGTGATACCATAATGGTGGTTACATGTCATTATATATTTGGCCAAACCCATAGAATGTACAACACCAAGAGGGGATCCAAATGTCAACTACGGACTTTGGGTGTAATGATGTATCAGTGTAGGTCCATCAATAGTAATAAATGTACCACTCTGGTTGGGGGATATTAACAGTGGAGAAAGCTATGCATGTCAGGGGGCAGGAAGTATAAGCAAAATCTCTATACCTTTTTCTCAATTTTGTTGTGAATCTAAACCACTCTTTAAAAAAAAAGTTTATTAGAAAACATTTATTTCTACACAAATCCCATTTTCCAAATACATATTATGACCCAGATATGTTAGGAAAATCTTCATTAGAATAAATTTACTAAGAGCATGAATGTGGATTTGGGATTTTAAAGAGGATTTTCAACCAAAAAATGATAAAAAAAAAAAAAAGACAGTCTAATACCCAATTGTTAGAATATGACTATAACTCAAACATCCTGAGTTTTGATAAAAAAAACTATATTATCATCAGATGCCTCTCCTGTATCTTCAGCCTCTTTCTGTTCACAGTGCCCGCACCTCAACTTGTAAATATGCACAAGCCCATTGCATATTTAAAAACAAATTAAAAATCAATCAGACAAAATAGCTATTGAATCTGGCTTTTCTCTTTTAACATATTTCTTTCCTTTTCTTTCTTTCTTTTTTGAGACGGGGTCTCTCTGTTGCCCAGGCTGGAGTGCAGTGGCATCATCTTGGCTCATTGCAACCTCTGCTTCCTGGGTTCAAGTGATTCTCCTGCCTCAGCCTCCCAAGTAGCTGGGATTACAGGCATGCACCACCACACCTGGCTAATTTTTGTAATTGTAGTAGAGATGGGGTTTCACCATGTTGGCCGGGCTGGTCTCAAACTCCTGACCTTGGGTAATCTGCCCACCTTGGCCTCCCAAAGTGCTGAGATTACAGGCGTGAGCCACCGCGCCCAGCCCTTTTCTTATTAGTCATAGTTCTAAAAGGGCACTCTGTAGTGGTCACCCACATTTTCTCACACAACTTTTCACTCATTAAAAAAGTGAATTATTTACAGTTTTGAATAATACATATTCCTTTGGAAAAATGTAATTCTAACATATAGAAGTATGTATACTGTGTGTGCGTGTGTGTCTTCAAAGGTGGATTCTGGGAACAAGCATTGGGGCAGATATGCTGATGTAACCTAGAGAATCCTTCTGAGGCTTTCCAACCACTTGGAGAAGAGAGAAGGTATTGAATTTGATTCTCCCTGATAATGTGCAAGAGCCAAGGGACCAGCAACAGAATCAATGGTTTATTTATTTTTAAGTGATTAGATTTCATAGTCATCTGAGGGAACCCATCTGGCACAAATGTATCAGAATGAGGTACACTTGCTGTTTTGTTTATATGGTTCCATGATGCTTGCCAGATTATTCTGACTTCAGTGGTCCTAAAAAGGTTGATGTACTGGTGACCTGAACTGCTTCTAGACCTTGCAGATGAGAGAGAAATTGGGAGACCCGAGAGCAAAGAGGCATTCTCCATGCACTTCAGCAGAGAGGAAAAATTAGCAGACATCTGAGAGCCAGTCATTACTTGCTAGTTGACTGTATGTCAAGGAACTATAATGGTGTGACATGTATAATTCTGTGGAAGCCCATAATCATGAGGAAACAGAGAAAAAGAAAAACTCAGTTAAAAAATGAGTAACATGGAGGACAAAAATCAGGCTAAATATCCAGAACAATTGTATCCCAGTGAAATCGAGCTGATGGCAATGATAAAGGATAGAGGAAAAAGAAAAAGAAGGAGGGGGAGGAGGAGAACTGTTAGAACACACAATATATTTTATGGTTCTATTAAAGAAAAGATTCTTGATTTTTGAAATTCAACAAACAATCATTGCTGAAACATTACTTAGTGATCTGGAATATTAAGTGTAAAAATATTTTACATAGACCAAAAACATGAAGAGATGGGAATATAGAGGGAAAAGATAAGAGATTTAGAAGAAAATTCCAGAAGTCCTAACTTGCCAATAACTGCAGGTCTAGAGAATTAGCTAACATTTACTGAGCACTTGAAATTTGCCCGACAATCTTCCTAAGGGATTTATATGTATTAACTAATTTAAACTTCAACAAAACAAAGCAAAACACCATATGAGGTAGGTACTGCTATGATCATTAACTCTATTTTATAGGTAAGAAAACAGGAGCATAGAGAAGTTAAGCAAAATTTCCAGAGTCAAAGAGTTTTTAAGTGGAAAAGTTGAGATTTGAACCAAAGTGGTTTGTGCACTTAACCAGTGTACTATACTTTTTTGTGCAAGAGAAAAATGAATAGATGGAAGATAATTGATATTAAAATAAATAATAAAATATAACTTTTTGATATAAAAATACTCCAGTTTGCAGATTGAAAAGGCTACTAGGCAGGATTGATGAAAACCCAAATTCCTGGTAAAATTCCCTAATTTCAAAGAAAAAATATAAAAAGCTTTCAGTTAGCAAGATCTGTCTGCTCACAAAGCAAAAGAATCAGACTAGTATCAGACTTTTCATTCCAAAAGGGGAAAGCTAGAACAATGCTTCTTAAATTTTAATGTAGAAATGGCCTAGGGTTCTATTAAAAAGTAAATTCTGATTCAGTAGGTCTGGGATAGGGTTATAAAGTCTGCAATTATATCAAAATTCCAAGTGATGACAGAGTTATTGAGAGCTAACCTCCAGAATAGGGAAAATGCTTATTAAGAGAGAAGAGAGCTGTGTGACTCTTTATAACCTTGGAGGCACTGTAGAAGACCAAACTCACTACAGATGGGGTAAGATAATGCCAGGACAACTTAACAAATATTTAATGGCCAGCTGAATGTGGTTTACCATGAGAGTGGTAACTCAGAACCAGTTACCAATTACCTGCCAAGTTTCCCCAGAGTGTGGCCTTCTGAAAGCAGGTGTCAGAGGAGCAGAGTGTAGAGCTCCCCTAAGGCACCAAAAGTCAGGCTAGATATGAAAATTAAACAGAAGTCCTGATTGACGTAAAAAACTGGTAAAGGATATTAAAAACAGTATACATACCTCAAATTTCAGAAAGCAGAGCTTAAAGCACAGAAAAAATGCTCAAGCAATGCTGAAGATAATGTCAAGGAAGTCCTCAAAATATTTAGATTCTGTGGAGAACTGCATTAATTGAATGTGTAACAAATCACAGACCCAGCTCAATCACAGCTTAGATGTGAACTCAGACTACCACCTTATTGCCTGACACAGGAAGAAGGGTACCCTTTTCTCAGTATTAATATAATATAGTTCAGTCTCTACTATTTTTTACATACGATATCTGGCATACAATAAAAATAAGATAAAAGATGCAAAGAAGCAACATATGACCCATGATTAAGAGGAAAAATCCATCCAAAGAAGACACATGGCCACTCAGATCCTGGGATTAGCAGAGAAAAATTTTTAAATAACCATGATAAATGTATAAAATAGTCTAGAGGAAAAACTGACCAACATGCACGAAGAGATGCGAAAGATAGGCGTAGAAATGCCATCTATATAAAATATAAAATAAATCCAAATTCTAAAATTAAAAACTACAATATCAGAATTAAAAATTCATTCAGCAGTCTGAATAACAGAACAAACACAGCAGAATAAACACGGCAGTGAACTTGAAGAAAGTAAATGGAAATTTGTCCTAACTGAAACAAAGGGGAAAAACTCTGATAGGTTATCTTTGTAATGAAAGTCCAACAAAGAAAATAGAGTAAGAATAGAGCAGAGAAAAATATTTATAGAGATAACAACGAAGAATTTTCCATGATTGATAAAAGACCCCACAGATCCAAGAATGTCAGTGAATCTGAAGCAGTTTGTTCTGGTTTCTTTCTAATTTGGTCTTGAGGTCTCTGTTGTCAGTGGCCATAAGCCAAGATAGGCACTCACTAGGAGAGCCCTGAGGCTGAAGGGAGGGAGTTAGGCTTGGTATGTGTGTCAGGTGATACACTGTGAGGAGGTAAAACCAAAATGCGTATGTGGGGGCCAAGGCCTTCCGCCCCCTAAAGGTTCACTGAAAAATCACTGACATGAGGCAGATGAATTAATAGCAGAAAAAGTATAGAAGTTTATTTAACGTGTATATACAGGACCCTTCAGAATGAAGATCCAAAGATACAGGGGAAATTGTGCATTTTTATGCTTAGGTTCAACAGAGTAGACAGTCATATAGGCATATGATAGGACAAAAAGGCTATGATCAAATGCTGATAGAATGAGTAGGGAAACCCAACAGGGCCTGTCTAGATTCTTCTAGGCCTCTCTGAGCACACATTCCTTCGTTCTGGCTGTGGGGCAGGGCCCTGTCTGGAACATGGGTCTTATGACCTACAGTCAAACAAGGTAGGCCAGATAATTTCTTTATGGTCAATTTTTACACAGAAAGGTGGAGGGAAAGTTAGGGTAATATTTTTAGGTTTTATGGCTGGCTTTCAGGAAAAGGGGTTCTGGTGTCCATAACCTGTTTTGGGGAAGAGCGATTCTAGTTTCCTTGGCTAGCCTTGGGGGAGAATGGGACTGAGAGACAGGAGGGCAGGAGAAGGTCAGAGAAAAACTTTTGCTTTTGAGGCTGCTTCTGAGGCCTTCACTTGAGGGTATTGTTTTCTGAGCTCCAACACAGAACAAGTAATGTATTGCTTATAGATCCCAGAGAGGTTAGGGGTGCCAGCAGGAGGTCAATGGGACGTCAGGAGGCCATAGGGAGCTCAACTAGTGGGTGGAGAGTTAGAGACAGAGAGAGAGCGAGAGCGAGAGAGAGAGAGAGAGAGAGAGAGAACTTATAGGACTATGCATTTATTAAGGTCCATGGGCATTATCCCTTAGGCTTTCCAACGGGGGGCTGTGGATTGGCTAGTTTAAGAAAACATGAACAAAGCGGGGAACTTATTGACATGACTCTGGCATTGACCAACCATTAGGTTTTATGGTGGTCAGCAGCTGTGGAATGTGTTGGGGTCAGTGAGATGAGGAACAAGTGAGCCATATGGCAAACAACTACACAGTGAGGGGAGATTTCAACTAGGCTAAATGTGATGGGGTATGACTGAGTTTCCAGCAACTTATCTCAGGCCTAAAAATGGATGCTGAGGCAGGAACTATATTAAATTTATGACGCAGGTTAAAATAAAAGGAAATCACATCTAGGCACATCATTGTCAAACTACTAAAAACAAAATACATATATAATTTATCTATGCATTCATGTATCTATGTATTTATGTATCTATTATCTATTTATAGGTAGTGAGCCATGTGATTTGTTGCCAAGATCCTCCTCAGGTTCGGAGCCAAAGGATTTAATTTTCAAGTTATTAGAAGTAATCTTGACTGAGCCTTCAACTTTCAGCCCTTTCCAGAAATTGTCCTTATTGGACAGAGATAACTTCAAGGTCACAACTTCTTTCTGGGAACAGTCTATTTCCAATTACTAGTGTCAATATGAGAATATCAACCCTTGGTTCCCTCAATGTATTGTCAAACAAGTTTGAAAGTTTATCCCAGTTTCATGACTCCCTAGGCTAGGCTAAGGCCTTTGTTGAGACTGCTTTACATCCTAGCTTCTCTACCAAATCTTGCTCCCTTTTTTTCTGCAGTTATTAATCCTAAGAATATCCCCAATAAAATTCCTGTACAGGAATCTTCATCTAAGAGTCTGCTTCCCCACAAAACCAAACTATATATGCAACAATATATGTATACACGTGTGTGCATTGTTTATAAGACTATTGACACTGAAAATCAATAATAATAGTGTATTTGTGGAGTATATAACACATATAGAAAAATATTTTGAAAAAATAACCCAATAATTGGAAATGGATAATTGAAATTATACTGTTTGAAGGTTCGTACGTTGTCTGTGAGGTAATATGATGTTACTTGAAGATAGATGATGATAAATTAAAGATTTTATTCCATTTCCTAGAGTACTCATTTAAAAATACTAAAAGTATTCAATTTAAACATAAAAAGGAGGAAAAGGAGGAACAGAGGAAAAAAGGACAAATGAGACAAATACCCAGCGGTAGGTTTTTAACAAAACATATTAAGAATTACAGTAAATATGAAAAGAGAAATGATCCACTTAGCAGGCAGTGATTGTCAGACTGGATAAAAAAATCAAGATGCAACTCTGCTGTTTATTTAGAAAAAAACATGTTATGAAAAAGCTACAGAAAGACTGAAAGGGGAAAGGGGTAATGATAAAGCACAAAGCATAAGAAAACCTATTGAGGTAGGAGATCAGCAGGACTTGTTTTCTCAGCACTGGTCATGATCCTGCTGACCTAAATAGGATGTAGCAAAGAAACCAGCCCAAACCAGCTAGGACTTAGAATTGTAATACATTTGCATAGGACAATCCCACCAATGCCATGACAGTTAATAAATGCCATGGCAATGGCCCAGAAATTGCCTTATATGGTTCTGGGAACTCCTCACCCCTTTTCCAGAAAGTTCATAAATAACCCTTATTTTGCATAAAATTAAGAGTGTGTATAAATATAGCTAGCCAGCAATCCATGAGTGCTACTCTGTGCTACCCTGCCTATGAAATAACCCTGCTCTGTCTATAGAGGAGCCATTTTGCTATACACTGTTGCTCTAATAAACTTGCTTTCTTCTCATCGTCAGATCACTGTTTTTTTTCTAAATTTATTTTATTTATTTTTAATCTATTTATTTATTTATTTATTTTGAGACTGGGTTATGAGACTGGCTAATTTTTATATTTTTTGTAGAGATGGGGTTTTGCCACGTTGCTCAGGATGGTCTCGATCAAACTCCTGAGTTGAGGCAATCCACCCGCCTCAGCCTCCCAAAGTTCTGGGATTATAGGCGTGAGCCACCATGCCTGGCCTGTTGGCTCACTCTTGAATTCTTTCCTGAGGGAAGCCAAGAACCATCCCCAGCTGAGCCCTAATTTGGAGGTTTGTCAGCATCACTATGGCTATACTAATATCAGATAAAATAGAATTCAAGGCAAGGAGTATTACTCGTGAAAGAAATTGAAATATTTTACCCCAAAACATCTATCTTTTTGACATATTTTGAAGTGGTCCTGCAAAGCTGTTTTTGTGGGAGAAATTTGCATCTGTGGATCTGTAGAGAATCCACATAATGCAGCCAGCCCTTCTCTTGTCCAGATCTAGGAAAGATTAATTGAGAGTTTGACACCTTTCAAAGTCTGTAAAGACATATTTACCATCTATTTTGCCACCTGTGAGATTTCAACAGCATAAGGAGACCACCTTTGTTTACTAATCCTCTTCCTTTCTCCCTCCCATAACCTGTCTTGCCACCAAAGCCTATTTTTATCCATGCTCTGAGCCCGTATTATTTCTACAAACTCAAGATGACATATAGGCTTCTGTACCCCAATGGGAGATTGGATCTTCGTTCTGAAGGCTCCTGTGTATACACATTACATAAATCTCTATGCCTTTTCTTCTATCCGTCTGCCTTTGTGAGTTCATTTTTCATTGAACCTACAGAGGACCAAGGGTTTCCCTTGGCCCCTTCACTAATGATAAATGTAAAAGTGTCAAATAATCAAGGAGCACTAACAACCAAAACTATGGAGGCACCTAATAAGAGAGTTTCAAATGCAATAAAGAAAAACAGTCTGGAATAAAGTGAGAAGAAAAAGTCACAAACATACTTAGAAAATTCCACACCCTGCCTTAGTAATTGTCAGAACAATTAGCCAAAAAGTCAGTAGCAATATAGATTATTTGAAAAATGCTATCAATAAACATGATATAAACAGTTATACCACACTTCAATATGCCTAGGAGCTGCAAAATACATATATTCCTTATTATTACGCATGGAATGTTCACCAAGATAGACTTTATGTAGGCAATAAAACACATATCAATATATTTCAAGTGATTTATATCTGACAGGACGTATTCTCTGGCCACAACAGAATTAAATCAGAAATAATAACTGAATATAAATTATCTAGAAAATTACTAATATTTATAAATTAAGCAGTATATTTCTAAATAATTAAAGGGTCAAATATGAAATTCCAAGGGAAATGAGAAAATATCTAGAACTGCATAATAATGGAACGGTAAGGAAAACAACATATCAGAATTTGTGGAATGCAGCTAAATCAGTAAGGAATTTTAAACAATTCCTATACTGGAACATAGAACCTTTTTAAAATAGTGGTGAAAACTTCTACCTTAAAAAGCCAAGGAGGTGTACTAATTTTAATTCCCAAAAAAGTCAAACTCATAGATGTATTAGGTTGGTGCAATAGTAATTGCAGCTTTTGCCTTTAAAAGTAATGGTAATTTAAAATTTTTTTAAATTTAAAAAATTTTTAAAAAATTTTAAAATACTGCAGTCTGATGGGCAGTATCTGCCTGGGCTCACTCCACATCACCCCCATGGGACCTGTGGGACAATGGGAACTGATGACAACAGGTAGTTTATACTGCCTGCTATGCCATGAGTAATGAACTTTTAAAATTCATTTGGGCTTATTGTTTCCTTATAGGCTGAATCTATGAAAATGTGGCCAATAACATAGGAGCCACAGTAGTCACTGCTGCTTAGAAATAGGTTGATCACATTACAGGAAACAAAAAAATCACTCAGCAAATAATAGAAGAGGGAAAACTTTGTGATTTATTTTCAATATTAATTTTACAAATTTTATAAAATTTGTAATTTATTAACCTGGATTGTAAAATATGATAAGCACACCAGTAAATAAAATTATAGGCCAATATTCCTCATGTACAAAGTTGCAAAACTATTAATAAAATATTAACAAATCAAATACAGCAATATATAAAATAAAATGTAAAACAAATGTACAGTAGTATCAAATATGTAGCTATATATAACAGTATAAAAAATGTACATATATTGTAATAAAACTAATGAAAATTGTACAAGATCTTTAAACTGAAAGCTACAAAATTTTTCTGAGAGAAATTTTGTAAGGCCTATACAAATGAAGAAACATAATCTGTTAATAATTTTCAAGATTAAATATGGTTAAAATGGCCATTTGCTATTAATTGATATGTAAAGAAAATATAATCCCAATCAAAATCCACATGGAGTTTTTGTAGAAATCAGCAAGTTGATATGGCTAAATGACGAGTTAATGGGTGCAGCACACCAACATGGCACATGTATACATATGTAACAAACCTGCACGTTGTGCACATGTACCCTAAAACTTAAAGTATAATAATAATAAAATAAAATAAATAAAATAAAATAAAATAAAATAAAATAAAAATTATTAGCCCAATGGAAAAAAAAAAAAGAAATTTGGATTTTATGCTCACTTCCTGGGTGACAGGTTCAATCATACTCCAAACCTCAGCATCACACAATATACCTTTGTAACAAACCTGCACATGTACTTCCAGAATCTAAAATAAAAGTTGAAAAAAATAAATAAAAATAAAAATTAATGTATTTAAAATAAAGTATGGACAAAAAAATTATATATGGAAATGCAAAGGACAGAATAGCCAAGATAACCTTCAAAAAGACAAAGTTGCAGGACTTACACTACTGATTTCAATACTTATTATAAATCTACCTCGAAATTAAGAAGCACTTTTCTGAATTACATTTGAGATTAAAGAAGAAATCAAAATTGAAATTAAATATTTTATTGAATATGCAATTTTAAAAACCTTCATGCTCAATCCTGTATGTCAAGACTAAAACTATACTCACTGGGAAATGTCTAGATCAACAGACATATATTATTTAAAAAGACAAAGACTGAAAAGTTATCCTAATAGTCTAATTCTAAGAGATTAGAAAAAGTACAATGAAGTAAGGAAAGTAAGAGAAGAGAGGCAAAAGAAAAGGCAAGCTGAAATTAATGAAGTGGGAAATGATGCTATCAAATTATAGGAAGAATAAATACAACTACACCTGGATCCTTTGAAAAGTCAATAATGTAGATAAACTCATAATAAGTGTTATTAAAAGAGAAAAGTAACAGGATATGCAAATAAAGGTGGAGTTAGTTATGGGAATTGTCACAGTCCATTCAGGTTGCTATAACAAAATAGCATAGACTGAGTGTTTATAAACAATAGAAATTTATTTCTTCCGTAGACTGAGTGTTTATAAACAATAGAAATTTATTTCTTCCACTTCTGAAGGCTGCAGTTCCAAGATCAAGACAATTGCAGATTTGATGTCTGGTGAGGGCACACTTTCTGGCTCATAAATGGCACCTTCTAGCTGTGCCCTCACATGGATAGAGGAGCAGGCTTCTGGTCTCTTCAGCCCCTTATAAGGGTAGTAATCCCATTCATGAGGGCTCCACCTTCATGACCTCATTACCCCCCACAGCTCCGCCTCTTAATAACATCTACTGTGATCTGAATGTGTCCGCCAGTCTGTGGTGTTCATTGTAGGAGCACAAAACAAAGACACTGTCACACTTGGGATTAGGTTTCAACATATGAATTTTGAGGGGGAAGCAAACATAGTATTCCACTTCTGGCTCCCAAAATTCATGTCCTTCTTACATGCAAAATACATTCATTCCATCCCAATCACCCAAAAAAATCTTAACCCATTCTAGCATCAACTCAACGTCTAAAGTCCAAAGTGTCATCTACTATCATTTAAGTCAGATATGGGTAAAACCCGAGGTACAATTCATTCTGAGGTGAATTGCTCTCCGTCTGTGAACCTGCGAAATTAAACATGTTATGTGCTTCCAAAACACAATGGTGGGGCAGGCACAGAATAGACATTCTCAGTCCCAAAATGAGAAATAGACAAAAAGAAAGGAGTAACAGGTATCAAGTGAATCTGAAATGCACTGGGGAAATAACATTAAATCTTAAGGCTCAAAAATAATCCTCTTTGGAGAAGTGAGGATTCCACCTTCTAGACCCACTGGGATGGAGGTCTTGCCTTCACAACCCACTGGTATCGTGGCCCTCCCCCGACATCTTTGGGCACTATGCCCCCAAGTGGTGGCAGCTCTTGTGCCTGGGCCCTGCCCCTACAGTAGTCTTCTGAGGTGACCTCTCACTTGCTGAGGCTTTTGCACTCTCAGCCTGTGATGGGAGAGGCAGCCCTAATGATTTCTGAACTACTTTCAAGGTCTTTCATCCATTGTCTTGGACAACAGGTCCTGATTCTCTTTAGATGTCAGACTAAACTTATCAGATTGTCGTTTGGCCACACCATCACCACAGCTTGGCATTCTATTGCTAACAAGCTTTCTCATTGTTCACAATAGAGATAGGCTAAGAATTGTCCAAATCATTAAGTTCTTCCCTTTTGATTAACAATTCTGTCTTTAAATTATGTCTCTCTTCTCACATTTTACTGTAAGTCATTGAGAGGAAGAGGCCACCTCTTTGATACTATGCTTAGATATTTCCTCAGCCATGTATTCAATTTCACCGCTCACAAGTTCTACTTCCTATGAAACACTGGGACTTTAACATAATTCAGCTAAGTTTGAAATGGAGCAGGGAACATTCTTACGGGCCTGCTAGGGGACCCCCTCTAAGCATAAAAATAATGAAAAGTCTTGAGTTGGCCTGGTGCGGTGGCTCAGGCCTGTAATCCCAGCACTTTGGGAGGCCGAGTTGGGCGGATCATGAGGTCAGGAGATCGAGACCATCCTAGCTAACACGGTGAAACCCCGTCTCTACTAAAAATACAAAAAATTAGCCAGGCGTGGTGGCGGGCGCCTGTAGTCCCAGCTACTCGGGAGGCTGAGGCAGGAGAATGGCGTGAACCCAGGAGGCGGAGCTTGTGGTGAGCCGAGATCGCGCCACTGCACTCCAGCCTGGACGACAGAGCAAGACTCCACCTCAGAAAAAAAAAAAAAACAAAAAGAAAAAATAAAGTCTTGAGTTCCTTCAAGGGAAATTCCGGCATCTAGCAAGCTTTGAGAAGTAAATAAGCAACCTGATAAGCAAGTAGCTTAAAACAATGACCACAGAAGTTAGAGACATGAGATGTTTGGTTCCCTATAGAAACCAAAGATAGCATCTTAACATATCACCGAGTTATTTTTCAGAAACCTGGACCCCCACCAAATGGATCCTCTGGCATGTAGACCTCAGATAAGGGGCAAATGAGGACTGAACTTTGACCACTGCTTTTTGTTCTAAGTTTCTTCCTGAGGGTCCTGGAAGAAGTCATGCCAATGGGTAAGACTGACCATTCTTCTCCTGACCCCAAGTCTTTAGACAAAGCTTCCCTTCTTTAACCAATCACATCAGAAAATCTGTGAATCTACCTATGATCTGTGAGCACAACCTCCCTCCCCTGCTGTTGGATATGTCCTGCCTTTTTAGGTCAAACCAATGTATAGCCTCCGTGTATTGTTTATGATTTTGCCTGTAACCTCTGTCTCCCCACCTTTAATAACCCTTATGTGTAACTCATCAGGGAGGCCCTGTCTTAAGCATGAGCTTCCCAATTCTCTTTGCTTGGCACCCTGAAAATAAATGTCCTCCTTTCTCTCATTGCAAAACCTTGGTGTGGATGTTTTGTTTTACTCTGCTGGATGAGTGGACCCCAGTTAGGTTCTGTAACAACTTATTTGCCAGTTTATAACAAGAAGGGTCTCTCCTGCATAGTCCAACAACATATTCCTCATTTCTGAGGCCTCATCAGAATGGCCTTTGTCATCCATATGTCTACCAACATTCTGTTCCAGATTACTTAGGTATTCTCTAAGAAGATTCAGGCTTTCTCTACACCTGTCCCCTTTTCTTTGAGTCCTAACTAGAATCACCCTTAACAGTCTGTTAATCTCAGTGTAGGCTTTTTCTAGCGTGCACCTCAAAACTGTTCCAGCCTCTACCCATTACCTGTTTTTAAAACTGCTCCCACATTTTTAGGCATCTGTTAACAGTAGTACCTCCAATTCTTGGTATAAATTTGCTATCTTAGTATGTTCAGCCTGCTATAACAAAATACCATAGACTTGAGTGGCTTATAAACATCATCAGAAATTTGGGCTGTAAGCATTGGAGGAGGCTATGGGTCAGGAGATAATTCTTGACTTCTGTGCACCTGCAGGCCTAATACCATGTGTAAGCCACCAAGGCTTCGGGCTTGCGGCCTCTGAAGCAATGGTCTGAGCTGCACATTGGCCCCTTTTAGCCAGGCTGGAGCTGAAGCAGCTGGGATACTGAGCACCAGTCCTGAGGCTGCATAGAGGAGGGGGGCAGGGGCCCTCGGCCTGGCCCACAAAACAATTTTTCCTTCCTATGCCTTAAGGCCTGTGATGGGAGGGGCTGGTGTGAAGGTCTCTGATATGCCCTGGAGATATTTTCCCCATTGTCTTAGTAATTAACATTCATCTCCTCATTACTTATGCAAATTTCTGCAGCCAGCTTGAATTTCTCACCCCAAAATGGGGTTTTATTTTCTATCTCATCATCAGGCTGCAAATTTTCCAAACTTTTATGCTCTGCTTCCTCTTGAACACTTTGCCACTTAGAAATTTCTTCTCTCAGATACTCTTAATCATCTTTCTCAAGTTCAAAGTTCCACAGATCTCTAAGGCAGAGGCAAAAAGCCACCAGTCTTTTTGCATAGCAAAAGTGACCTTTACTCCAGTTTCCAACAAGTTCCTTATCTCCATCTGAGACCACCTCGGCTTGGACTTCATTGTCCATATCACTATCAGCATTTTGGTCAAAGCCATTCAACAAATCTCTAGGAAGTTCCAAACATTCTCACATCTTCCTGTCTTCTGACCCTCCAAGTATCTAGGAAGTTCCAAACTTTCCCACATATTTCTATCTTCTTCTGAGCCTTCCAAACTTCCTGTTACCCAGTTCCATGGTCAATCCCACATTTTTGGGTATGCTTATAGTGGCACCCCACTCTCTGTAGTACCAATTTACTATATTAGTTCGTTCTCATGCTGCTATAAGGACATACCTGAGACTGTATAATTTATGAAGAAGTTTGATTGACTCACAATTCCGCAGGGCTAGGGAGGCCTCATGAAACTTATAATCATGGTGGCGGGGGAAGCAAACATGTTCTTCTCATAGCAACAGGCAGGGGAAGAAAGAAAGCCAAGAGAAGGGGGAAGCCCCGTATAAAACCATCAGATCTCATGAGAACTTACTCACTATCGTGAGAATAGCATGAGGGCAACGGCCCCCATGATTCAATTACCTCCCACCGGGTCCCTCCCATGACACATGGGGATTATGGGAACTACAAGTCAAGATGAAATTTGGCTGGGGACACAGCAAAACCATGTCAGTCTTGTTAGAGGATCTTACTTTAGTTAAACATCTCATTACAGAAGTTACATGTAAATGTTGAAAAGAAACTATGTGAGTGGGTTCAGATGATAACACAGTATTTTGAATACTGGCTTCCTTTCTTGAAGGCTTGATTTTCCTAGTGACCAAATTACTAGTGACTAATTCACCAACTAGGTCATTCAGGGAAGTCAAGTTAACACAAAAGAAACATGTCACCTAAATGCGCTTGATGGTGTTAAAATGTCCACCTTCTTAAACTGCTAAGATGAAATTAGTTCTAGAGAAGATAGCAGGCCAACCCTGAAGTCCTCCCAGTTTGCTGCAGAATCTCACACGTTTTGGATGTTAGAGTCCTGTTTACCCCAGTTAATATAAATTTTTTTTGCCTGTCTTGTGGACTGGCTGTTTTAGAACTCTGTCAAAAAAGTGCATGGAATATAATTTGTAAAGCCACTCACAACTGAAAGTATATGTGTGTGTGTTTAAACCAAATTTAGAAAGCATACAGTAGAGCTGCATAGTAGTGGTATTTATTAAAGAATCACAATTGTAAACATGAGAACAACTTAATTATGAATTCTAGTTTAGTTCTTTTGTAATTGTAAAATTATACTTTTGCTGCTGTTATAGTAGAATAATTTTCAAATGTCATCTTGAAATAGAAATGCGTATTTTAAGCACTAATGCAAAGGTAAATAAAGAACACTTTTTAAATGTGTACACTGTTTATTTTCTCCATAAGAACTGTAAATATTAAACTAAACAAATTACCTATAATAGAATTAATGATTTATGAGCAAGTTGGTTTTACCAGACAACATACACAAACTTTGATATACTACAGAATGCTTTATTACACTTGTGAAATTCTCTTGCCTAACCTGAATTTGCATTCCATGGGGCTAACATGGTATATGTGTTGTATGTGTTGTTATTAAAGTACATTACCATGTCAAAAACTAAAAATAAATAAACATTAGAAATTTATTTCTCACAGTTCTGGAAACTGGAAGTCCAAGATCAAGGTGCCAACACAGTTAGGTTCTGGTGAGGGCTGGCTTCCAGACTTCAAACTTCTGGCTGTGCCCTCACATGGCAGAAAGAACGGAGCTTTCTTGGGCCTCTTTTCTGAGGGCACTAATCCTATACATGAGGGCTGTGCCCTTATGACCTTATCAGCTCCTAAAGGCCACACCTCTTAATACCATCACCTTGGAGCAGTAGGATTTCAATATGTGAATTTAGGGAAGACATAAACAATCAGACTACAGCAGGAATGTAAGGATATGTATTAGGCTGTTCTTGCATTGCTATAAAAAAGTAACTGAGGTTGGGTAATTATAAAGAAAAGAGATTTAATTGGCTCACATTTCTGCAGGCTTTACAGGAAGCATGGTGCAGACATCTGCTTCTGGTAAGGCCTCAAGGAGCTTTTACTAATGGCGGAATATGAACTAGGAGGAGGCATGCCACATGATGAGAGAGGGAGCAAGAGAGAGAAGGAGGAAGGAGGCGTTCCCAGAATCTTTTTTTTTTTTTTTGAGACAGTCCCACTGTGTCACCCAGGCTGGAGTACAGTGGCGCGATCTCGGCTCACTACAACCTCTGCTTCTCAGGTTCAAGTGATTCTTCCACCTCAGCCTCCCGGTAACTGGGATTATAGGTGTGTATCACCACACCCAGCTTTGTATTTTTAGTAGAGATGGGGTTTTGCCATTTTGGCCAGGCTAGTCTCAAACTCCTGATCTCAAGTGATCCACCCACCGTGGCCTCCCAAAGTGCTAGGATTACAGGTGTGAGCCACCACGCCTGGTCTGGTCCCAGACTCTTCTAAACAACCAGATATCTTGTGAACTAACTGAGCAAGAACTCACTTATCACCAAAGGGAGGGTGCTAAACCATTCATGAGGAATCTACCCCCATGATCGAATCACCTCCCACCAGGCCACACCTCCAATATTGGGACTCACATTTCAACATGAGATTTGGAGGGGACACATATCCAAACCACATCAGGATAGGTCAACATTAGGAAAATTATTAACAATTTCTCATATTAAAAAATTGTAACAGGAGAAACATATAATTATACCAAAATACTGCCAAAAGACATTTGATAAAATCTGTAAGCCATGCCTAGAAAGAAGGAAGGGAGAGAGAGGGAGGAAGATTAAAAAAAAAAAAACACTCTAAGAAAGTGTAGTACTTTCATGTTTACTGTTGACATACTAGAAACTCCTCTTGTTCTTTCATTAAATGTCTGCAAGATCCCATCATTTTCTTACCAAGTGAGGACTATGAGAGCCTATTTAAGATCCCTACATGTGTTTTGTGAATGGGATGTATATATAGGGTCCCAAAGAGGGAAATAGGTTATGAGCATCCTTATAACATGTTTCAATATATGAATCTGTCATAATTTTTTCTTTTATGCTTATAAACATCAGGCTTCCACGTTCCTATACATTTGCCTGAAGAAAATTTAACATTTTCCTATATTTACCTCAGATATTTTATTTCAAACAAACAAAGAGTAACTGATATATTTGAAGTTTGCCCTTAATCCTATTCCATGTCCTCACCACTCTTCGATAATTTGGCGGTTATAATTTTCATGGCATTTTTAAAATTTTTACAATATATGTAAAAGTAGGAATAAAATATAAAATATGAAGAATTCTTGTGCATTATATAGATGGTATCATGTTGCATGTAACAGTTTTCAACTTGCTTTATTCACGTAATGTTTTGTTTTACCTGATTTAGATAATTAGAAACGCATTTCAATCGCTAAGGTTACTGAATTATATTTCATTGTATGAATATACCATAGTTTCTTAATATATTCACAGGTTGATAGGCATTTTTAAATATTTTAAAATTAAAAAGTATGTTGCAAAGCACATCTCTATATACATATGTAGTAATCACCCTAGGATATAATCAAAGAGTGGAATTAATTAATTAATTTATTGGTCTCATATTTATTGAGCACCTATTATTTCCCAAGGTGCTGGTCTAAGCATTGGTGATGCAGCAGTGGGCAAAAAAGGTCCCTGTTTGGAGCCTTTGTTTTAGTGGAGGAGACAGCCTTCTGCATAGAAATAAATTTGGAGGTCCTTATCGTATAGATGTTATTTTATACCATGAGATTAGACTGTTAGATGATCATATAGGTGTAGACACAAAAAGATGCCTTAGCATTGATTCCTGGGACTGACATGTTAAATTGAATAAATAAGAGGGACAAACAAGACTAGAAAGGTGCATCCAGTGAAATAATAGATTTGAGAAAATGGTATTCTGCAACTTGATCAGAGAATATGTTTTGTGGACAAACTTGTCAAAGTCAAGTACAGCAGGCAATGATCTTTGTATTTGGCATAGTGGAGGTCATTGGTGACTTTTACAAGAGCTGTCTCAGTGGGGTTTGGGGTTTAAAGCTTTATTTGGGGGGATTTTAAGACAGAAATAGAGGAGACAAACTAGTAAGAGATATTACAGAGAATTGTTTCAAGGAATTTTGACAGAAAGGGGAGCAGGTAAAATGGCTTGTCTTTTAGTAGATAGAGGAATATGTGGGATGAAAGGAGTATAAAATTAACAGCATGTTTTGTTTGCTGATGGTAAAGATCAAGTTAAGAAAAATAAATTATGACTCAATAGAAAGGGGAGCAAATTGCTGTATTGATGTCTCCATGTAGGTGCTAAGGGATGAGATCCAGTGCATGAGTAATGAGACTGGTTTAATAATACTGCCCCTTATGTTGTATAATGTGCACTCTGCACTATCATTCAGAATGGTCCCACTTTGAATCACAAACAGTCCACACATAGTAATGGAAGGGAAGGCTGAGTATGTGCGTGCTGACTGTAGATGTACTGACTGGGAATTTGTGGAAATTATTTCATGATTGCTTTATTTTCCACAGTTAAGGAGAAGCAACTAAGAGGAAAGATGAAACAGAAGGTATTGGGAATTTGAGCAGTAAGAAGAACCTATGATATAGTTTTCAATAATGGTGCAAAATGAATGGACTAGTATAATACAATAGAACTTCAAGGAACATTGAGGGCCCACCTGAAGTTAATATTTGTGAATTTAAATAATGAGCCCAGTCATCATGATAGTGGATTTTTCTCCATCCATATTCAGCTGCGTGTATGAAAGTGGAGAAAAGATAGAGTTAAATTTAAACTGAATTAATATTTGAGAGGCAAAAATGAGAAAGAAAGAAAAAGGCAAGAGAAGTAAGGGTATAAACAAAGGATGGAGTATCATGATTGTCCATGGAATTTAAATGGTGTGAAGAGGCAAATGAATATAGCAGATGTTTGGGGGACAGCCAAAAAGATAATAGCGACAATGGATGTAGTTAAATAATTAGTGGAATTAATTTTTCCTGGTATAATCCATTATTGGAATCAAGGTTCTAGAAGAAACTAGCTAGAAAGATAGCACATGTAGTTGAAGAGTAATGGAGTGTTTAAAATTAAGAAGACGGAGCTGCTTTTGATAATGGAAAGGTCTAGGGTACAATTTGTGGAGTGTGTGATTGAGGTAGGTTGGAGGACCAGTCTATTGGAAGACAGGATACAGAGCAACTGAGATATAGATTTCTACAAAAATGTCTCCATACTGACTTCACATCAGAATCACCTAGATAAATTAAAACCCCCAAATGCCCAAGTCCCACCCATACATATTCTAAATTAATTGGTCTATAGTAATGCTTTTAAAAAGACTCCCCAGCTGATTAAAATGTGAGAATAGAATTGAGAATAATTGGTATTATATGAATTTTGAACTTAATCATAAATGGTGACAGGACCTGTATTGGAGATTGTGTTAAAAAGCCTGTGATATTTTATTCCCTTGATTTCAATGATCACAACCTAGAGTAGATCTTTTGTCCACATCTTTGCTTTGAGCTTCACTTGTGCATATCCAACTACTATCATACATTTCTGCATGGATATGACACTTCCACCTAATCTCAGAAATCCAAAATTAAATGTATCCCCACCTCTCTTTCACCTATGCTCACTTTTTGTATTCCTTTTCTTGGTTAATGACAGCGAATATTAAATTAAGGAATCAGGGAGCCATCCTAAACTTCTAGATTGCGTCTCAATTCATCTTTGTACTGACTATCTTAATCCATATTCAATAGGTCAAAGATTCATATGCTACCATAATATTAGTAAATATCTCTGAAATCTACCCCCAATGTTTTATTTTTATAACCATTCTGCTATTCCAGTCATTCATAATCACAATTCCAATAGGCTCAAAAGTAGTCCTTAAGCTCGTATATTAGCTTTTACAATCTATACTCCACAGTGCCGTCAGTGATCTTTTTATTCATCTGATTAATTAAAATTTGATCATTTTATTCATCTTAACACCTATTATTCCCAAATTGCTGATCCATACTATTCACTCTATTGTGGGAAAAAGTTGTAACTTTTTAAAAATATTCATTTTACATCATCCTTTAAAATTTCATTTTATATGCTTTATAATGTATATCTTGTATTCATTAAGTAATTCATAAATAAATAAATAAGTGACATTCTGAAAGTCCATGTTCAGTTAATTTTTTGTAGCTGATTGGGTTGCTACAAAAATTAGGAGACCATTGACTCCTAAGAAGTCCAAATTACTTAGCATTGTATGTGAGGCCTCTCTATATTCTGCCTTCTCCTCTTTTTCCAATTTCAAGAAACATCACGTTGCTCTTCAGCATTCCTCTACAAAGAATGTAAGTAAGACTTTTCCTTTCCATCATCACTACCTTGATATATACCACTATTTAGTGCACTTATCATAAGATTATTATACATTCTAATTCACACCAGACTTTTCCATTAAATTAAGTTTTATGAGTTTAGGGGCTCTGACCTTCTCTTACTATCCAAATTTTCTAACACAGCACCTGACACACAGTAGGCATTCTATAGATTTGAATTGGTTAGACACATTTCCTGCCTACCCTGTTCTTTGGCTGAAGTTGTATAATCTCAGTTCTCTGTGGCCTTATATGTTTAGAATAACATCCCTGTGCTCACTTGACAACATGCCTTTGTAAAAATTTATTATAAATGCTTTTGTGGAGCTTTTATTTAATCATTATAGGAGCACAGATAAAGATTAGAGAAGGTAAGTCACTGTTTTGTGTCTTATTACACAGTGACCTGCAAATATTTCTTGTTTTCTTCTCACATATTCTATTCATTACCCATTCTCTTTTTAGATCATAGGCTTATAAAGCAAATATGCAGATTATTTTATATGCATGAAATAAAAGGATTGTACAGGTGTTTATAATAGGTTTTAAAATCTCATTAAACCAGGATTAGCTATCTGAGAGTTGAATGAAAAAAGTGAATCATTTTGACTTATAACTTGGATTTCAGGTTGAAATGCTTTTTCTTACATTGATATAAGTTATTAATATTTTCATTTGTATATATTTTAATTTCTTGAAAATTACAAATTAAGTAATGAGTGTATATTTGTTAAAATTTAGAGGGTATAGGGTAAGATTTGAAAGTCTTCTTTCAATACTGTTCCTTATTTCCCTCACTATAGGTAATTATACTATACTATTGAAGCCTTAGTCTATGTCCTCTTCTTTGTTCACTTGGTAATTCATGAATACATTGTTTCAGTAGTTATCTATTGAATATGTAATTAGTGCCACATAGTATGTTGGGATACAAGGATAAATAAAAACAATATGATCTTCATGGAGTTGACAGTGGAGTAAAAAAGACAAACAATGAATGAGTATACAAGCAGTCAATAACTTCTGGATGGAGTAATAGTCTGAAGAAAATAAACAAGAGAATGAGCTACTGGTAGGTGGAGGCCCCTTTAGATATGGTGTGTTAGTCGGATGCCTCTGAGAAACAGCCACCAAGATAGGATTAAAAATGCAAGAGGTTTACTGGGGAAAATGCCTGTGAGAGAAAACACAGAGGGGGCCAGAGGAAGCTGAGAGACCCTTGATGATGATGTTGTAACTTCTGTGAAGAAGAGAAGGAAGGAAATAAAATTATAGAACTAAAATTCTATAAACGTTCTATAGACTTTTCAGTTAATGGGGAATCACCAAGCTAAAGTTCCTTATCAAAGGAGTTCTGTATCACCCAGGAAATAACTTGACTTAGCATCCCTGTTAGACCTAGACGTTGGCTGGGAGCAGCCCATGTGAAGTGAGGCCTTGGTTTCAAAGCAGTGATGATTTCAGAGTGGTAGTCTACCTGGTCAATTCTATACTCTGCAGTTGTGAATCTGCAAGGAACAAATTCATCACTGCTTCATATGGTGCCCAAAAGAGACTCTCTGAAGAGGTGAAACTTGAGTTGAAACTTTAATGATGAGAATGAGCCAGTGGTTTTAAGCATTAGTGGAAGTGTATCTTAGTCAAAGTGACAAGCAAGTACAAAGGACTTGAGTTAGGAAACACATGATTTGACCCAGGATTAGAATGGGAGCTCCTAGACTGCAAGAAATCACAGTGTGAGAAGAAGTTTCAGCGAGAGGCAAGAACCAGATCATGTAAGGTTTTTAAGGCCATGATAAAGAGGATTCATTTTTTCTTCTTTTTTTTCATGAAGAGGAGAGATAACCTATAGAAAGGTTTTAAGCAGAGGTGACTGATGTAACCTACATTGGGCAAGCATTTCTTAAGCTCCTGTGCACACAATGTATTGAACGGGCAAGAGAGAAGACAAATAGAAGAGTTAGGTGGCTATGCAGTAGTACAGGGGAGAGAAGATGATATGTCGGACTAGGGTGGAAACAGTGTCCTGCAGATAGACTCATGGTCTTTCCTTTCACAAATATATTTAGTAAATTATACATATTATTCTCTGACTTCCTTTTTAAAATATACAATGTATATACTTTAGAGACTCTTGCATGTCAGTTTTATAGATCTATTGCTTTCTTTTTTAATAGGCACATAGTCTTCCAAGCCATATTTAATTTATCTATTTTCCTATTGCTGGACATTTAGGTAAATAAGTTTTATCTCCCCTTTGTTGAATAATGCTACAATGAATATTCTTATAAGTGCCTAATTGTGAATATATACCAATGGAGTTGCTGTGCATACTTTAAAATTTAATAGGCATTGACAGCTATTCTCTTAAAAGAGTGTATTAACTTAGACACCATCAGGAGTGTATGAGATGTATCCTTGCTTCACATTTTACTGACACAAAATATTATCCATCTTTATTTTTTTTCAAGTAAGAGGGAAAATGATTGCTTTTATATGGATAGTACTGAGGAAAAGAGAAAGCAATTTTGTTGCATTTAAGGAACATGATAGCAACTGCTGGTCCTTTCTATTGCCTTGACCAGATTAGAAAAACCAAATATTAGTGTATTAGTTTCCTGGGATGCCATAACAAATTTCTACAAACTTAGTGGCTCAAAGTAACAGAAATTTATTTTCTCACAGTTCTAGATGCCTGAACTCTGAAACCATGATGTTGGCAGGGCCTTATTACATCTGGCTCTAGGAAAGAACAATTTCCATGCCTCCTCTAGCATCTGGTGACTGTCAGCATTCCTTGGTATTTTGGTACTTGTGGCTGCATCATTCCAATCTCTGGTTCCTTGTTCACATTGCCTTTTCCTCTGTGTGTCACAGTTCCCTCTGCCTCTCTCATAAAAATACATGTGATGGCATTTAGGGCCCACCAGGATACACTCTTCTCAAGATCCTTAACTTAATCACATATTTTGCCATATAAGGTAATTCTTCGGCCATATAGTGTCATAATCACAGGTTCTGGGGATTAGGACATGGATATCACACTTCCTCCCCTGTGGACATCACATGAAAGGCAGTGGTGGAGGGAGAATTCAGGATTCAACAGATCCCCTAATTGCTAACGAAGTTTGGGTAACTTGTTGTATGTCTGCATTTCTACTTCCTTTTATACAAATTACCTCTTCATGGCTTCTGCCTTTCATTCTCCTGAGATGTTAGTCTGTTTTTAAAATTATTACTAAGTTTTATAAAATGTTTATGCATTGTAATATTTGGAAAATATGTTTAAAAATGTTTCTACCAATCTATAATGCATCTCTTGGGGGTAGGTGAGTGGGCTGGGGCTCTTTGCCATGGGAGATTTTCATGATTATGAGTTCAAGTATACTTACCTTTCTATTGTTTATTTCAGAGTTTATTTTAGTTAACAATAAATGGAATCATGTTGTACAAATTATTTTGAACCTCTTTTTGATTTGGTGTGAGCCTTTCCCCAGCATATGCATAATTTTTACCTTTTATGGCTTTTGAGTGTTTTGTTTTCTTTTTATAATAAGCTGGGTATACAATGATTCTGATTCACTATGTGTCCAGCACCATGATACATGCTTCATAAGTATGCAATTACTGAACCTTTTAGAGAAATATGCATATCTTCATTTTACTGCTGAGTGAGCTAAAATGTAGGTCAAGTTAGTAGCTCGCCCAAGATCAAACACATAGTAAGTAGTAGAACCCAACCACGGGCCCAGTCTATAAAGAGTATTCTGTTCCATTGAATATTTTCCTTTTATATACTCCACTCCTTAAAATATAGGTCTTCAAATAACTGAATTTTAGGAAAAAAATGAATTTTCTGAAATCAAACAAAGAATTCAAAACATTTGCTCCAGTGGTAAAGGGAAAATGTATGTTAGCTTTTTACTCAAATATAATGTAGACAGTATGTGTAGAGATGGAAGTGGGATTTGCAGGTGAGGCTCAAGGGAGGCACAGAGCAGCCTCTGGTAAGAAGCAGGACATAAGAATCACTGTATTATCTATTAACTGCATCTTTCTGATTGAGGTCAATTATAGCCATATGAATGCCCTATTAGCCATGCTGTCATCCAGAAAAATAATAAAACAGCAAAAATAATTTCCTCTATGCAAAGATTAAAACACAAAACTCCTGCACAAACGTTTAGACATAAACATTTAAGCACAGACATTTAAATAAAGAAAATTATTTTCTTTCAGATGGTATGTTTGAATTAAAATGTCTTTTCAGGTCTGATCCTGTAAGCATATTGTGATGCCTCAAGTAGTAAGAGGTAAACAAAAAATATATAACTCATGATAAAAGATAATAGTAATTTTAATATCTCATTTTATTTAGCTTTTAGTTAGGAGGGGGATTTTGGGGTTTCTGTTTTTGTTTTTTAGTGGAGGAATTACTTAATGAAAATTGACGTTACAATGGATATTTTAATATCAGTGTCCACAGCCATCCAGTACAATATAGACAACACAGTATGCAGACCATCTGGGCTTATTGTCATTATCCTGCAAACTAGCTAGGCACGAGTGATCCTCTGAAGCCTAATTCCAATGCACCCTGGTTTGTCTGTTTCAAAAGAATTCCATTTGTCAATATTTTGGAGCAGGTGCAAAGCCATTCTGGAGTTTCCTGCTGAGGTTTATGCAAATAGCTGGCTTAACTGGACTGTGGGCTCAGATTTCCTACAGCCAGAGCACTGAGATTCAGGCATGATTTGGCTTATATTTCCCTCCCAACTTAATTTATTCTTTTTCAACAGTTTCCTTTAGCTCTTTTGTCCAAATCATACCCTGTTATTACTTTGTACAGTGTTTCTCAAACAAAAGAAATGAGAGTATGATCACAGTTAATAGTAGATGATAACTTGAATTCATAAACCAGTATCTGAGGACTCACAGTTGTGTGAAGTAATTTTTGATCCAGAAGGCATTTGGATAATTCTGAATAAAGATGACCACTCTGGGCTCCTCCGCCAACTTTATAGCGCTTGTGAAGAATCAGATGAGGTACGATATGAGAAGGCACTGAAATACACAACACACTCTACCAATATAAGATATTAAGTTAGATTGAAAGAGAATGTGAATGAGATTAATACAGCGAGGAGTTTTAGAAAGGGCGTGAGAAAACAGCCCCCGCCTTGAGTTTCCCATTTCTGACTCAAAAGGTAATTACCAAACAAAAGGCAATTTGTTTGGATGATAACGTACTTGCTACAATGAGTAAGGGCAGAATATGAGGACAGAAGAATAGCATGGACTAGACTACATAAAGTCTTTCTGGCCACTCTACAGTACAGCAGACACTATTGTTTGCCTACACCCCTACTTCCTTTCTTTATTGCCGAGAGAGTTCTGGTTTTTGTGCTCATATAAGATGGCCTACATGTCTCCCTCTATGATCCCAGAGGTTGAAGTTTGATTGATCTAAGAAGATGATGGTCATTCTGTGGTTGGTCATTCGCTGAATGGGTACGTGATCCAGTACTAGGCAATGAGATGATGTCACTAGGTGATGTCTCTAAAGGAGTGTCTCAAATGATTTTCTTCCCTGATAAAAAATACACCCATGAGGAGAAACTCTGCCTTTGAACAATATTGTGTGAGCTTCACCGATCCTGTAAATTTAGAAACAACAAAATTTCAGACTATTCCGAAAACTAGAGGAGAAGGGAATACCTTCAAACTCATTCTACAAGGCCACTATTACACTGATAGGAAAACCAGACAAAGACACATGAAAAACAACAACAAAACTACAGGCCAATGTCTCTGATGAATATTGTTGCAAAAATCCTCGACAAAATACTAGCAAACTGGATTCAGCAATACTTTAAAAAGATCATCCATCATGACCAAATGAGATTTATCCCAGGGATGCAATGATAATTCAACACGTGCAAATCAATCAATGTGATACATCATATCAACAGAATGGAGGACAAAAACCATATGATCATTTAAATTGGTGCTGAAGAAGCCTTTGATTAAATTCAACATCCACTCATGATAAAAACCCTAAAAAAACTGGATGTAGAAGGAACATACCTCAATATGTTGTATAAAAGACATATACAACAGACCCATAGCAAGTATCATATTGAATGGGGAAAAACTGAAAGCCTTTCCTCTAAGATCTGAAAAACAACAAGGATGCCCACTTTCACCACTGTTATTCAACATAGTACTGGAAGTCCATGCTAGAGCAATCAGACAAGAGAAAAATATCAAAGGCATTCAAATCGGAAAGGAAGAAGTCAAATCACCTTGTTTGCAGATGATATGATCTTATATTTGGAAAGTCATAAAGACTCCACCAAAAAACTATCAGCGCCTATAAACAAATATAGTAAAGTTGCAGGATACAAAATCATCATAAAAATTCAGTACATTTCTATATGCCAACAGTGGGCAATATGAAAAAGAAATTTAAAATTAATCCCATTTACAATAGCCACACATAAAATTAAATACCAAAGAATTAACTTAACCAACATAGTAAAATATCTCTATAAAGAAAACTACAAAAAACTGATGAAAGAAATTAAAGAGAACATCAAAAATAGAAAGATATTCCATGTCCATGAATTAGAAGAAAAAATATTGTTAAAATGTTTATACTACCCAAAGCTATCTGCAGATTCAATGCAATCCCTATCAAAACCACAATGACATTCTTCATAAAAATAGGAAAAAACAATCCAAACATTTGCATGGAACCACAAAAAACTCATAGTAGCCAAAGGTATCCTGAGCAAAAAGAACGAAACTGAGGAGAATCACATTACCTGACTTCATTTTATGCTACAGAGCTATGGTAACCAAAACAGCATGGTGCTGGCATAAAAACAGACACATGGATCACTGCAACAAAATAGAGAACGCAGAGAGAAATCCATACATCTAGAGTGAACTCATTTTTGATGAAGGTGCCAAGAACATACACTGAGGAAAAGACAGTCTCTTCAATAGATGGTGCTGGGAAAACTGCATGGCCTTATATAGATGAGTGAAACTAGACCCTTATCTCTCACCCTATACAAAAATAAATCAACATGGATTAAAGTCTTAAATCTAAGACCTAAACTGTGAAACCACTATAAGAAAACACTGGGGAAACTCTCCAGGACATTGGTCTGGGCAAAAAATTCTTGAGTAATAACCCACAAGCACAGGCAACCAAAGCAAAAATGGACAAATGGAATACCATCAAGTTAAAAAGCATCTGTACAGCAAAGTAAACAATCAACAAAGTGAGGAGACAACCCACGGAATGGGAGAAAATATTTGCATACTATCTATCTGACAAGAGATTAATAATCAGAATATATAAGGAGCTCAAACAACTCTGTAGAAAAGAATCTACTAATTCGGTTAAAAAATGGGCAAAAGATTTGACTTGACATTTCTCAAAAGAAGACATACAAATGGCAAACAGCCATATGAAAAGGTTATCAAAATCACTGGTCATCAGAGAAATGCAAATCAAAACTATAATGAGATATTATCTAGCTCCAGTTAAAATAGCTTTTATATAAAAGATAAGCAATAACAAATGGTGGTAGAATGTGGGGAAAAGGGAATGCTCATACACTGTTACTGAGAATGTAAATTCATACAATCACTATGAAGAACAGTTTGGAGGTTCCTCAAAAAAACTAAAAATACAGCTACTGTATGATCCAGCGATCCCATTGCTAGGTTTATACTCAAAAGAAAGGAAATCAACATATTTAAGAGAGATCTGCACCCCCATGTTTGTTGCAGCACTGTTTACAATAGCCAAGATTTGGAAGCAACCTGTGTCCATCAACAGATGAATGCATAAAGAAAATGTGGTACTTATACACAATGGTGTACTATTCAGACATAAAAAAAATGAGATCCTGTCATTTACAATAACATGGATGAAACTGGATGTCATTATGTTAAGTAAAATAAGCCAAGAATAGAAAGAAAAACACTGTATGTTGTCATTTACTTGTGGGATCTAAAAACCAAAACAATTGGACTCATGGAGATAGAGAGTAGAAGGATGGTTACCAGAGGTTGGGAAAGGTAGTGAGCAGGTGGGGGAAGGAGGTGGGGATGATTGATGGGTTGAAAAAAAGTAGATGGAAAGAATGAATAATACCTAGTATTTGATAGCACAACAAGGTGACTATAGTCAATAAATTAATTGGACATTTAAAAATAACTAAGAGAATATAATCGGATTGTTTGTAACATAAAGGATAAATGCTTAAGATGTCAAATACCCCATTTACCTTGATGTGATTATTATGCATTGCATGCCTGTATCAAAATATCTCATGTGCCCCATAAATATATATACCTACTATGTACCCACAAAAACTAAAAATTAAAAAAAATTTGCAAAGAAGCTAACATAGACCTTGAAGTTCTTTAGCTACTGAATTTACTAACCCTGAAGACATTCTGTATCCGTTCATCTTGTTTTATGATGTAATAACATTTCTTTTTTGTTTAATCATTCTGTTATATAAGCTTAGGCAAACACCATAATCTTTATATTCTTAATTGAGAAATTGTTGCAGAAAGGAGAGTTGCTACAGGTCACATTATGTACTTTACCTCTAAATGAGAATAATTCAAATATCAAATTATAAATGTAATCATGTCAATTCTTTGCCAAAAGTATTTCAACAGCTCTCCATTGTCCTCAAGACAAAAATCCTTACTAGACACTGTCTAGGCAATGATCTGGCCCCTTCTTTTTTTTATTATTATACTTTAAGTTCTAGGGTACATGTGCTCAACAGTTTTATCCTGTGCAAACATCCTTTCACAGCCTGCACTGCTGTCATAAGAAAATTCACTCAGTTGCTATAAATTCCATGATCTCCTGGAAATTTATATTGCATATAATGCTCTTTTCCTTCATCTTTGGCTAGATAATCATTATTCAACCATCATATATTAACTGAAACACTTCCTTCAAGTATCCTTCCCAGATTTCTTAAGCTAAGTTACTTGTCCTTGTGATATGCCATTATAGAACCTTTACTTCCTTTATGTTAGTAAAACCTAATTTATTGTAATTGCTTACCTGATTATTTTCCCCACTGAGTTGTATGCTCTATTAGGAGAGCAACAATGTTGGTCATGCTCACCATTGTATTCTCTTCATAGTTTCTGGAGTATAACTGCTCAACAAATGTATCTGAAGAATTAATGAATAAAATCTCTACAAATCTAATATTTTGCCCTAGGAAGGAGAAATATCGATGTCTGATGAGCATACTATTTTCTTTAAGAAAAGGAATGTTTGTGTATTGTAGAAATAAATAGGGAAAGAATACAGAATTAATAAAGTACTGTTAGAACTAATAAGAGTATGGAAAAAAGGGTTGCCAATTTTAAGAGCAACCTACAAAAGCAATAGTATTTTTATAATAGAAATAAGCAACTAGAATATATAACTAAAGTAAAATGAATTTGCAATAGCAACAAAAATAGTTAAGTATCTAGGAAATAAAAAAGAATATAAAAGACCTCTCTGATGAAAACTTCAGAACAATAATAAAGGACATAGCAAACGATTTAAATTAATAAAAGAGCCACATGTTTATTAATTTAAATGAATAAAAGAGCCACATTAGCTCCCACTTATAAGTGAGAAGCTAAATGATGAGAAAACATAGACACATAGAGGGGAATGACACACACTGGGGTCTTTTGGATGGTGGAGGGTGGGAGGAGGAAAAGGATCAGGAAAAACAACTAATGGCTACTAGGCTTAATACCTGGGTAATAAAATAATCCAGACAACAAACCTCCGTGACACAAGTTTACCTATGTAACAAACCTGCACCTGTGCCCCTGAACTTAATAAAAGTTAAAAATAAATTAAATTAAAAAATAAAAGAGGTATCCCATGTTCTTCAATGGGATGATTTGATAGTATAATAACCATAATGTCTATACATTGATCTATAAATTTAAAGAAATCCACTCTAAATTTTTAGTTGGATTTTTTTGAGCAACATGATAAACTTAAGACAAAATTTATATGGAGGAATAAAGACCTTTATCTGAATTTTAAAAATTAATGAAGGAAGATGTGCCATACTTGATATGAATACATATTTTAAAACCTTAGTAATTAAAAAAAAGTTCTTTGGTATCCACCAAAGGGGAAAAACTACCAATGGAGAAGAGTTGAGCACTCAGAGGCAGACTGGTGTGATATGATGTGATGTGATATGTGTGTGTATAAACTTATAAGATAATGGGAACACTATAAACCAATGAAGAAAGGATGATTTTTTTTTAACACATGATATTGGGGAAACTGGCTCCCCAAATTGAAATAAATGAAATTAGATCTCTGCTTAACACTTGATATAAAGTTGTACCTATAGAGGATTATAATATCAAAGTTAACTATGTATTTACCATAAAAATATCTTTTAAAACCTCCTTGTTACCTAGGAGCAGGGAAGGTTGTCTGAAATACAATCTCAAAATCATAAACTATCAGGCAGCAAATTGATATAAAGTCAATTCAAAATTAATGATTTCTGGACACTATATACAAAGTTAAAAGACTGTTGAGAACATTCTCATAAAAGATATAATTTAACCAGTGGCTGCCTATGGGGATAATGGGAATTTGGGGTGAATATAAAAGAGAATAAACAAACAAATAACATTATAAAGCATTGCAATCAACCAATGATAAATATGTACAATAAACTGAGAAGTAGAATTAATTCACCTACTCTATTTTTGTTAGGAGAAAGAGAAAGAAATGTACAGCAGCAGGCTTTATCTTGAAAGTAATCTTCCCCAATATCTATTATAGGAGCACTTGTGGTAAGAAAGCCTATATAGACCAATTCACATTATATTTTCAAAGGAAAAATATTTTTTAATATAAAAACAATGTTTCCTCTAAAATTATACTCACATGGATTAATTTGTCTTCATGGTATTTAATTTACTTTGAAATGTTAGTTATCATTGATTATAGCTTTACTTCCTAATAATTTTCAGAAAAAGACGTGGTACCAAAAAGATTGAGACACACAGGCCCATGATCATAGTTAGGAGTGTTAGCATTGCTACTGTGACCTTTGGTATGTAGAATCCCCTTTCTAGGTCCGTTTCATCACAATCTAAAACAGAGTTCATACTAAAGCAGTGGTGTCCTAACCTAACCTCCTCCCTCCTCCTTGGCCAGAATGAGTTAAAATCACCAGGAATGGGCATAGGCATCTAGATTTTTAAAAGATCCCTCAGCTAATATTGATGTGCAGTGGAGCACAGAAACCATTAGATAAGATTATCTGAAACCCTCCGGTTAAATAACATTGAATTCATCATGATGCTCTGAAATATGTTGTTCTGTCTTTCATGTTGTAGATGTGTTATACAGCCATTCATGGATGATGGGATAAATCTGGGAAAATCTTCGAATAAAGCTTATTGTACAGTCTAGTAATGCTGCTTAGAGATTTATTTGACCGACAGTATACTTAAAGATCAGCAAAATGCCTAAGGCACTCTCAGTCACTTGAAACTGAAATTGCTGCTACTTTTCCCCCTTTTTTTTACTTGGCCTGAGTGTGTGTATGGTGGAAGACAGATTTGCTGTCAGCCTTCATAAATTTTACCATTTCCATTAAATGTGAGAATGTGTTGTATAGGATATCTAATGTTATAGCTTTGTGTATTTCTTTCATTAAATGAACTGTAATGATGTACATAATTACAGAATATTGCCTTAATCATTTTACACATTTTTTTTTGAGCCACATTAAGTAGTTTCTTCAGGAGGCAAAAAGAAATATAGAAATCACATTTCTGAAGGGCAAAGTAGATCGTAAGATTGACTGTGATAACTCAGTGCAAAAGAAATAAGAAAAGTGGAAGTAAAGAAATGCTGTTCTTTTTTATAGTTAGAAAATAGTTCCAAAGAATTATCAGACAGTGTTTGGCTTTTATTCAAGTTTCACAGGTAACATAATTTAGCTTGGATGGTGGTATTTACTGGGAATAACAGAGCACTCCATGTTGGCTCCATTAGGGAGTTTTCTATGCAGCATGAAGTAAATCACATTGTCACTTCTTATCCTGATTCTTTCTCCAAAGCAAAATGCTAACAGCAGTGTGTAACGAGCTTTTTACATTGATTTGGCATAAGGGGATATTAGCACAGAGACCGATAAAGACATTAGAATAACGAAAGTTAACTTTGTTCCTGGAATGGCAACGGTTTATAAAAAGGCCACAGGTATTTTATAGTACGCATGATAAATTTGTCAGGTTTTTATTTGTCAGATAAGGTATTTATAAACTGAAAACAGGCAGAGAAAATAGGACATATTATTTCTAAAGGAACAGCCTTCTTTGGGATACTTTGCCCAGATGCTATCATTTTCTAATTTAAAAAACCATAGAGATAGAATTGTTAGAGAGAAATTATTTATACAAGGGGAAATTGTTATTTACAATACTTTGTAATCTGTTGAGAAGGGTGAATTTGAAGGAAGTTTCTTAGTTTGATATACAGAGTGGTGATTGTAAAAATTCAAGATAAGAGAAGCAGAGCAACAGTTAAACAATACTCATAACAAAAAGAAAACAAAATTTGGGGATAAAAGAAATAACAAGGGAAGATTTTTATTAACAAAGCAGGCTGTTAAATATGACTTTTTCTATGGGTTCAGAGGTTCAGCAAAGACTTAAAAGTTAAAAGAACAACAAAATAAAGGTCAAGTAGCCTAATATGCTAAAGTAAGATGGTACATCAAACAATACTAAGATATTGTAAAATGGTCATAAGATATTTCTTATGTGGATCAGCCAATAGAAAGCACCCATTGCCAAAAAGAAATTCAGTTTTGAAAAAAGACTAAAGGAATGAAAGTTTGGCCTGATAAGCCTATGGTTAAAGAGTAGAGGGAGACAAGGGGAAAGTGTTCAGAGTGAGCTTCACTTAAATAAATAAGGGCAAAAGTAAATAAGTACCATAGAACAGATATGTATCATCTGGAAGCAAATACAACTGAATTGTCTTGAAACTGACTCTGCTCAAGAACATTGACAGCACTGTCGGTGACCCCAAACAATAAATACTGAGCCAGAATCTAGGGATTGAATTAAAAGTAGTCATAAAGAGTCAGGGAGGAAAAGTATTGCCCACAACTCAGAACTGTCATAAGAGCTTCTCAGTGGTGGAATCTTCCACGAACAAACAAACGTGTTCCAACAAGAGAAAGAATTAGCTCTTGAAATCTAGGTACAGGGAGTCACAGTAACAGACACAGATTAAAAGTACTAGACGAAGATTACAAAGTCACAGATCATGTTCTGTTCCCAGTAATGGCAGTGTTACCTTGTATAAGACCAACCTTACTACCAGTAACAAATATAAGCTCTGGAATATGAATATTTGAAGAATATGAGCATGTCAGATGACAGCTGATTTTCTTGGCTTTGTTTTATGATTGTGGCAAAATACACATAACATAAAATTTGCCATTTAAACCATTTTAAAGTGTACAATTCAGTGGTATTTAGTAAACTCATAATGTTGTTTAACCATCACCACTACGTAGTTCAGGAGCATTTCCACTACCCAAAAAGAAAATCTCATATCTATTAAATAGTTATTCTCTATTTTTTCCCTTCTCCAGCTCCTGGGTACTACTAGTCTGCTGGATATTTCACATAAGTGGATTCATACTATACGTGGCCTTTTTTATCTAGCTACTTTTACTCAGCACGTTGTTTTCACGGTACTTCCTTGTTGTAACATGTATCAGTACTTCATTTCTTTTTACGGCTGAATGATATACCATTACATGAATATGTCACATACTGTTATCCATTCATCAATTGTTTCACATTTGGGTTGTTTCCACCTTTTGGCTATTATGAATAGTGCAGGTATATAACATTTACAAATATTAGTTTGAACATCTTCTTTCAATTCTTTTGGGTATATGCCTAGGAGTAAAATTGCTAGGTCATATGATAATTTTGTACAACTTTTTAAGGAACCACCAAGCTGTTTCTCACAGCAGGTACATGATTTTACATCCCCACCAGTCATGTATGAGAGTGTAAATTTCTCTAGATCCTCACCAACATTTTTTTTTGTGTTTTCTCTTTGTATTTTCTAATTATTACGGATATATAGTAGTTTTATATATTTATGGGATACATATGATGTTTTGATACAAACTTGCAATTCCCTAATGACTAATAACACTGAGTATTCTTTCAGATGCTTGGTAGACATTTGTATATCTTCTCTGGAATATATATCATGGGATAAGACTTTGATGAGATATGTAATTTGTGAGTATTTTTCCCATTCTGTGGGTTGTCTTTACATTTTCTTGATAGTGTCATTTGATGCACAAAAGGTTCAATTTTGAAGAAGTTCAATGGATCCATTTTTTTTCTTTCATTGCTTGTGAGTTTAGTTTCATATCTAAGAAACCACTGCCAAATCTAAGGTCAAGATTTATCCCTATGTATTCTTCCAAGAATTATATAGTTTTAACTCTTAAATTTAGGTGGCTGATCCATTTCGAGTTAATTTTTGGACATGGTATGGGATAGGGGTTAAAATTCATTATTTTGCATGTGGCTATCTAGTTGTCTCATCACTATTTGTCAAAGAAACTATTCTTTCCCTATCAAATGGTCTTGGCACTCATGGTCTTGGCACTCACGTCAAAAAATCAATTGCTCATTCATGTATGGGTTTATTTACGGATTTATGGGCTCTCAATCCTATTCCATTTTTCTATAGATCTATCTTTATCTCAATACTGACTGGCTTAATTACCATACCTTAGTACTATATTTTGAAATCGGAAAGTGTGAGTTCTCCAACTTTGCTCTTTTTCAAGATTAATTTGGCTGCTCAGGGTACTGTATATATTTTAGAATCAAATTATTCATTTCTCCAAAGAGATCGTTTGCTTTTTCATAGAGATTAATTACATTGAATCTGTAGGTCACTTTAAAAAGTATTTCCATCATAGCAACATTTAGTTTTCCAACCCATTAACCTAGAATATCTTCCCATTTATGTAGGTCTTTAATTAATTTCAGCAGTGTTGTGTGGTTTTCAGTGTCTATATCTTTCACCTCCTTGATTAAATTTATTTTTGAGTATTTTAATCTTTTGGATGCTATTATAAATGGAATTTTCTTAATTTTCTTTCAAATTATGCATTGTTGATGTATGAAAACACAAGAGTTTTTGCATGTTTATCTTGTACCTTCAATTTTGCTGTATTCATTTATTAGCACTAACAGTTTTTTGTGGATTCTTTAGAATTTTCTATATATAAGATCATGTCATCTATGAACAGAGGTAATTTCACTTCTTCTTTTTCAATTTGAATTTAAATTATTTTCTTGCCTAATGGTGCTGGTGAGAACTTCCAGTACAATGAATAGAAGCAGTAAAAATGAGCATCTTTGTCTTGTTCCTAATCTTAGGGGAAAAAATTTCAGTCTTTCACCACTGAGTATGATGTTAGGTGTGAATTTTTCAAATAATGCCTTTTTTTAACTTTAAAAATGTTTTAATTGTCAAATAAAAATGGTATATATTTATCATATACAATATGTTGTTTTGAAATATGTGTACAGTCCTAAGTTTCTTCAGGGAATTGGTTCCAGAAACATCACCCGCCCCATACCAAAATCTGCACAACTCATGTCCTATAATCAGCCCTTCAGAACCTGTGTACAGGTAAAGTCAGCCCCTCCATATATGTGGGTTTGCCATCCCACAAATAATGTATTTTCGATCTGCATTTTGTTGAAAAAAAGTCAGATGTAAGTGGACCTTCACAGTTCAAACTCATGTTATTCAAGGATCAAGGGTACATTGTAGAATGGCTAAATTGAGCTAGTTAACATATGCATTGCTTCGCATACTTATTTTTTGTGGTGAGAACACTTAAAGTCTACTCTCTTAGCAGTTTTCAAGAATATAGTACATTATTATTAACTATAGTCACTATGTTGTTATACAATAGATCTCTTAGACTTATTCCTCCTATATAACTGAAATCTTATATTCTTTGACCAATATCTCTCCCCTCCCTTACCCCAGCCCTGGTAATCACCATTTTACTCTCAATTTCTATGAGGTCAACTCTTTTAGATTGAACATATAAGTGAAATCATCCAGTATTTGTCTTTCCATGCCTAGCTTATTTCACTTAATGAAAATATGGTACGTACACTTGATGGAATACTATTCAGCCTTTAAAAAGAAGAAAATCCTATCATTTGCAACAACATGAATGAACCAGGAGGACTTTAGGTTAATTCAAATAAGCCAGTCAGGCAAAGACAAATACCACATGATCTTACTTATATATGGAATCTAAAAAAAAAAAAGATGAATAGAAACAGAGAGTAAAATGTTGGTTACCAGATTGGTTGGATTGGGGAGATATTGGTCAAAAGACACAAAATTTCAGCTAGAATGAAGGAGTAATTTCAAGAGATCTATTGTAAAACATGATGACTATAGTTAATAACAATATATTGTATATCTGAAAATTGCTGAGAGAGTAGATTTTAAATGTTCTCACCACAAAAATGGCATGACATAATCATGTGGTAAATAGCTAAATTTAGCCATTCCACAATTTATATATACATTAAAACATCATATTTTATACTATAAATATATGCAGTTTTTACTTTTCTGTTACAAATATAAATGAAAACCAAGATTTTATGCAACTGTTTAAAATATATTTTCATGATAGCCAAAAACTGAAAATAATCCAACTGCTCAGCAACTGACTAAAATAAATTGCCTGATGTCACACAGCTAATAAATATTGGTAGTAGGATTTAAACCCCAGAAGTCTCTTTCTAGAATCCAGACACTTAAATACTACCCTCAACTGTCTTTCATATCTTATAGTAATATCTGTATTAAGGGTAAAATATTCTCTCCCTTATAAGGTAGAGGGACAGGTGCAAGGCTAAATGTTTACCAGAAGATACACTGAAACCCAAAGATCAAAGCACATTGAAATGATATGATCAGCAAGGCAATACCAGAATGATAATGCTACTTACTATTCCAAGTATGAAGCAAAAGGATCAGTTAAAACCTGAGATGACCATTGAGGTCAATAATGAGGAGAACTTAGATCTCTCCTCAGGGAGATAGTAAGACAACATGGATTTTGAGAAAAAGATGCAAAAACAGTGCAGGGTATATTTAAACGTGTAGCTCAGGACCAAATTATCAAGACCTTCAAGTGTTTATTTAAGATGATTTAAGTAATTGAGAGTATAACAATTAATTCAATTTTTATATTACTTATTCTTCTTAAGTAGCTAAAGTCTTCAACTTATAAAGAATATTGGAGAGATCAAGAAAGCAATCAGAGAAAGAGAGACAGTAGATGGCAATTGACTATTTTCATGGATTTAAAAATTTGCCTAAGTTGTTTGCCAGGGCTAAAAGAGAATGCCTGTTGTTAGAGAAGGAAGGGGACTACATCTGCAAAGCATTTGCTTTCTTCTCCATTACTCCTCAAAGATTTCACTGGCCTTTCGTTTCTGTGGCTCAATAAAGGATGACTTTAAAAGGTCAGAGCTATTGATGTGCCAACTGAGAGACAGAGCACATAAAATGCAGAAAAATTATGATGAAATGTCTCATGCTTGCAGAATGTCTCCCTTAGTCTGGGTCAGCATTTCCTGAACTTAAGGCTGATGCCCCGGAACTTGGACTCACCCTGATGAGTACTCAGGGCTTGGGCTGACACTTGCCTCACACCTCTCTATGGCAAGTTCCCACTATCAGCATATTTTCAGAGCTATTTTTGGCTCTCCTCACTTCCCTCTGATAAATTTACAGGTAGTTTGGAACACTTTAAAACAACTGAGTTTTTACACTGTGTGATTTTAGATAATCCCATTTCTCTCTTGTCAAGCAGATACGGTGTTTCCTTTAGGCAATTTTCTTTATGCTCATGCTTCCATTAGGTATCTTTACTTAGCTACACTTATTTTATGTGAATAAAAATTTGTTTCTGATTGCCTACTTAAAGACAATGATTGATCTTTTTGGCCCATCTGAAACTTCAGCTATTAGGTCAGGCACTGGAAGCTTCAGTCATTCACTTTTAGAAACAGTATTCTTGATGGTTCTTCAGTGAGTGAATTAGAGGGAACAGCATCCCTGGTTTACATTAATTTGGGGAAGTACATACATTGTATGACTATAAAAATATAGAAATAGGAAAGAGATGAATAGGTATGACATAGACAATGATTCGATATATTAAAATACTATGAAGAAAGCACAATTTTCTCTTACTAGCCAATCATCCCACTAGTTGATTTAAAAGTCTTTTTAAGAAATTTGATGAACTAATGATATGAAAAATGTACACTAATATCAAGTCCCTTGGATGGATTTTTAGGTATGTCTCTGGAGCCCATTTTGGTCTGTATCTATTGTTTGTTGTTTCTGCTAATTTTTATTCATATAACTTTGTTTTTGCCTGTGATATTTTTAACTTTTTCTAGGCATTGTATTCACACAATTTTTTGCAGAAATAATCTCTCACCAAAAAGGATATATATTTGCTTCTGCTGAATGCTGGTCAGCACTTGCAATTTGAGATCATCTCAATCTAATTTTAGGAAATGAGATGGCCTGTCTCCACATTGGTGGGTGCTGGACTCTAAACCTTATCTTGTGAAACCTGAAAATCATTCAAAAGTGCTGCCTGGTATCTCAGACAGCCTCTTCTGGAATCCTCCAATACTCTGATAGTCAATGAGTAAATATTTTAAGCTTTGCAGGCCGTAAGGTCTTTGCCATACCTACTTACCTCTGCTGTTGAAGCATGATAGCAGCCATAGACAATACATAAACAAATGAATGTGGCTAAGTTACAGTAAAACATTATTGAAGGAAACGAGGCGAGATGGATAAGACATGCACCTCATAGTTTGTCAATTCTGCTATAGGAAAAAAATGGCTCTATATGTCCACCCACCTTCAAATCTTCCATATTATCTCAAATCCCAAAGCTAATAATTCTCTTCTATTTCGGTAGTTTGTAAGTGCTTCCAAGCAGATGATTTCTATGTTTTAATCAGCTATTCTTTGGTTGTCTTCAGTGGAAATATTAATCCAAATTACCTAGCTCACCATTACCTCAAATTCAAGCAACCTTTTTTAGAATTGGGGTCAAAAAACTCCATGCAAGGAAAAGCCATTAATTGGAATAAAACTTAGAATTTCTACTGGTTAGAATTGAATTAACTATTTGTACATTGTCAGAAGAAGCATATTTTAATTAAAATCTCTAAGGATATATTTGTCGCCTCAGGGTAATCATCAAAAGCCTGGAAATTGTCTCCTATGTCCATGTTCATGAAATCTTAAATATTTATTGAGCGCTCTTATGTGTTTTCCACTTGATTATCCAAAAACCTACAAACTTGGATTATTCACACTTCATACTCCAAAGCAAGACTTGAACAGGGATAATCCTGCTCTCTAGGAAAGGCCTCTCAGTCCATTCTTCTCTGTTGTCAGTGGTTATACTCTATAGAATTTGCCATATATGAATTGGATGACATGTTTATGTACTATTAAAGAGATGAATAGATTTCCTTTTTTAATTTTTAGTTTTATTATTATACTTTAAGTTCTAGGGTACATGTGCACAACGTACAGGTTTGTTACATAGGTATACATGTGCTATGTTGGTGTGCTGCACCCATTAACTCATCATTTACATTAGGCATTTCTCCTAATGCTATCCCTCCCCCTGCCCCTTACCCCACAGCAGGCCCCCATGTGTGATGTTCCCTGCCCTGTGTCCAAATGTTCTTATTGTTCAATTCCCACCTATGAGTGAGAAAATGCGGTGTTTGGTTTTCTGTCTTTGTGATAGTTTGCTGAGAATGATGGCTTCCAGCTTCATCCATGTCCCTGCAAAGGACATGAACTCATCCTTTTTTATAGCTGCATAGTGTTCCATGGTGTATATGTGCCACATTTTCTTAATCCAGTCTATCATTGATGGACATTTGGGTTGGTTCCAAGTCTTTGCTATTGTGAATAGTGCGGCAATAAACATACATGTGCATGTGTCTTTATAGTAGCATGATTTATAATCCTTTGGGTATATACCCAGTAATGGGATCACTGGGTCAAATGGTATTTCTAGTTCTAGATCCTTGAGAAATCGCCACACTGACTTCCACAATGGTTGAACTAGTTTACACTCCCATCAACAGTGTAAAAGCCTTCCTATTTCTCCACATTCTCTCCAGCATCTGTTGTTTCCTGACTTTTTAATGATGGCCATTCTAACCGGTGTGAGATGGTATCTCATTGTGGTTTTGATTTGCATTTCTCTGGTGACCAGTGATGATGAGCATTTTTTCTTGTGTCTGTTGGCTGCATAAATGTCTTGAGAAGTGTCTTGAACAGATTTCTTAACCAATTTAATCTGTATACATAGTTGGGGACCCAAGTTTCCTTTTAAATCTTAATAGTCATAGTGGCATGCTTCAATTGGCAATATAACTCTCTAAAACTCAGTAGGCTTCCTATCTACTTTAGTTTAGTCAGTTTCACTTGCCAAATACTTAACAACAGTTCTGTTCAAAACATAATTTCTAGAAATACTATATTTATTGGCTTTGAAACTTCTATTTGTATCTATTGAATCAATGACCAGTTTCTTAAACCTGTAGGGTTTCAGCATGAGACACATTCTCTTAAATTTTTTTCCTTGAACGATTTTATTCAATGAAAAAGTTTTATTGGTCACAACACTCTTAATTTGACCTTTGTTTTGAGGCACCTAAATCCATCTGCAGAATTTAACTATAAGTGTGGAGGTTTATCTTTACTTTGATATTTGCCTCAAGGATCAGTTTTACTTGGACTTAATATTTTAAAGCCTCTCTTAATTTCAACTCCTATTGTTTCTCTTCCAAGAAGTAGTTACTTTTGCCAGCTTTGTAATACCTCCAATTTCTAGTTCTCTTATTTTCTTATTTTTTCTTTTTCTAGGCTCTTTTTTTTCTTGTCAAATACTGCCTAAAGCAGATAACTACTGCTACTAATATTCTTCTTTCCAATCTCTTGCTTGTGAAGCTGCAAGTTCACTAGGTACATGAACTGCCTTTGAATCTATAACAGGAGACCAATTTGACAAATGTTTTGTCAAGGCATCCCCATCTTTCCAGCCTCAGATAGCAGTTTTCTCTGCCAAATATTATGGGCTTTAAAGCTAATGCTGTTTATCTTAGGGATTTGTTGTTGTTGTTGTTGTTGTTATGGCAGCACGCTACTTCTGGAACTAACATTTATATAAGTCAAGAAAGGCTAGGTCATGCTATAAGGGGCAAACAAACTCCAGCTCTCTGTGGCTTACAAAGAACAAGGTACATGCTTCCTGCTTTTACTACATGCCAATTATGCGTTCACAGGGGTCTCCGCTCCACATCATTTTCACTCAGGGGTCTAGGGTAATGGAGACTTTACCATCTGTAACATTGCTGGTAGCTGCACCAGGAAAAGGGAGAGCACAGAATATTGGCCACAAGCTTTTAAATGCATCTCTCCAGAAGTGGCACATATCACTTCTACACACATTTCATTGGCCAAAGCAAACACACACCTAGCTTTGTGGGTCCTGAAGGGCAAAAAAAGCAGACATATTAGTGAGCATTGTTAGTATCTGTCACCGAAAGGTCTTTTGAAATCTTCTAGAAAAATTTTGTCATTTGACACATAAAACATGAGAAAGCAAGAGAAGAGGCATTGCTTTTTCATGGAAATTATACACATTAGATCTTGAACTAGTAACAATCTCCTGAATCCTATTCCAATGTTGCTACTATATGGTTTTGTCTCAGCTGATTCAGTTTCTCATATAATGTTGTAACTTGGGACCTGGATACTTTAGTTTTCACCTGCAACTAATATTTGAATATGAGTTAAAATTAACTTGTATCACATATAATTTTATAAATGTGTTAATCACTGACAATTTCATTTTGTGATTCTATATCAATGATGTTAGAGATATGCAATACAATAGTGGTTGAAATTTTGTTTTCTATAACTAGCCAATGATATACCCCAAACAAAAAATATAAGTAGAGAACAGATTTTACAGTGAAAACATTTTTATTTTGACAAAAATATAACCTTTAAAAATTAACCAAATTAACCTTTTAAAATTAAGAAGAGCTAACATATCTATGTGTTAATTTAATACAATATTTCCTAAACAATTTTTCATTTAAAGGGTTTTGTTTATATATCTTTATACACTCTGAACGGTGTATATCTATCATAGCACAACAATAAAGTGTATCAGGCTCACTTAAACATTGTTGTACTTTTAGGTGCCCTGAGTGTAGAGGCTTTAATTACTGTTATGCCTTTTTTATGTCTCATTTTATGGAAAGATTTCTACTTTTTGCGCAGAACCAAGGATTCTTTTTGCTTTGATAACGTGTTGCTTTTCTAGCTTAATTACTGAACATTGTGCTCATTGAAACTTGTTTAATATTGCTAATGGCTTTTCTAAACGTAATTGCATTTCTGAGGTGGAATGTCCATATGAACACATTACACTCAGTAATCATTTGAACTCACCTCACAGCAGCTAAATAAAACATATCCTATTAAGCAGAATTAATAAGTGTGTTACCAACATCTCGGTATCGTATTTGTAATGGGTTATACTTAGGATTCTCTGTAATTGCAAACCAATTTGCTGTTGCCACTATCTTTTTTATAAAAGCTTTGTTGAGATATAACTCATGCATGAAATTTACCCATTTAACATGTACAATTCAATATTTTTTACTATATTCACAGACCTGTGCAATTATCACCACAATCAATTTTAGAATATTTTCATTACCCCAAAAAAGAAACACTGTACCCTTTAGCCATCACCCCTCATTTCCACATCCCCCATCTCTAGGCAACAGCTAAATCTACTTTCTATCTCTATAGATTCGCCTATTCTGGACATTTTTGGACTTTTGTGATTGGCTTCTTTCGTTTAGCATAATGAAAGGTTCAGCCATGTATAACATGTATCAATACTTCATTTTTTTTGTTAAGACTGAGTAATATTCCATGGTATGGATTTTACCACATTTTATTTATCCTTTCATCAGTTGATAGAAATTTGACTTATTTTTACCAAATTTTGGCTACTATGCTGCTATGATTATTTCATATACAATTTTTTAACATATGTTTTCATTTCTCTCGAGTAAATACCAAGGAGTGTAATGGTTGTTTCATAGGATAACTCTATGTTTAATCATTTGAGGAATTTCCAAAGTGACCAGCAGTGTGTAAGAGTTCCAATTACTCCACCTTTCACCAATACTTGTTATTATAAACCTTCTTGATTATAGCCATCACAGTGAATGTGAAGTGTTTCATTTTGGTTTTAATTTACATTTCCGTGATGAGTAATGAGCATTTTTCATGTGCTTACTAGTCAGGTATACCTCCTTTAGAAAAATGTCTGTTCATGAGTTAATGGGTGCAGCACACCAACATGGCACATGTATACATATGTAACAAACCTGCACGTTGTGCACATGTACCCTAAAACTTAAAGTATAATAATAATTAAAAAAAGAAAAATGTCTGTTCAGATTCTTTGCCTACTTTTAAATTGGGTTATATGTATCTTTATTATTGAGATGTAAGAGTTCTTGTACAAGTCCCTTATATGAGATCTATGATTAACAATTTTCTTCTATTCTGTGGGATGTGTTTTCACTTTTTTGATGGCATTTTTTGAAGGAAAAAAAAGTTCTTACATTTGAATAAAATATAACATTTATTTATTTTGGTTGCTATTTCTTCTGTCTTTTAAAGAGGTGTTTAAACAGTGAAATTGTTTTTTCCCCCCTGTGGATAAAAACACAATCTTATTATTTACTTTTCCCATCCCTAAATAGTAGAATCTATACATTTATAATCATTATTTTTTAAGGAACAACTTTTCTTTTACTTAAGAATAAATTTTTGAGTCAGTAGTAATTTTATTTTATTATATGCATGGTGGGGTTTAAGCGACTTTTTTTTTTCACTTGATTAAACTTCTCCTTATAATTATGTAAACCCTACTCACCTATTAATGATTGCCGGCCCAGTTTTGTTTTTTTCGGTAATCCATATTTACAGCTAGAAATTTTGTTGCTCTTGTCTATGTTTAATCTGTTTAATAAGGTCTAATGCTTTACAAAAACAAATGACCCTGTGGGATGTGATTCTAGGTGTGCTAGATTGTGGCAACCATGAAAATGCACCAGATAGCTATCCTTCTGTGTGGAGCACAGTTGAGTGATACCCCCAGCTGCGACTTGTCCGGATCCACCATCATGTTAGTGCCAAGGCCATACTTTCCCTGGACTGTTCATGGCCAATGACTGAACATGGCAGTGGTGCCATTGCAACCCCTTTCCTATCTGACATGTGATTCCATTAATAAGAAATTTTGACTCGTGGACTCCTCATAAGCCTGGCCAAAATCATCTTACAACTGCACTGTTCTCTGAAACTTTTCCTACCAAACCCTTCTTCCTTTCCATTCTTTTTCATAGGTGTCATAACTGTGTCACAGCTGGAAGGCTCTCTCTGCCTATCCTGTTTCCTCTCCATTTATCCTTCAAGGGATCCAGTTATTTTCTTTCATATCTAATTGCAACTTGATATGTGCTTCTTGGAAGAACTAAACTAACACAATAAAGTTAAATAGCTTCCTCTAAATCATAAAATGAATATAAATCTTGAATGTTACATAGATATCTTCAATGGGGTAATGGCTCACAGCTATTATTTGAACACCCACTCAAGATTAAGATAAGATTTGTCTCCAGGAGGGAGACTGTAGGGCACATTTTCACACATATCCACAGGGGCCAATCCCCCTCTAGGAAGAACACAAGAGGAGAGGAATTGGTGAGCTGAGAGGACAAAAAAATATGCTCCAAGATATAACGAAAGAAAGTCAGAGCTATAGCCGCTGAGGAGAGAGTACTTATTACCAGACATTATGAACATAAGAAAATGTAAGGGGCTAAATACTATGGCACTTGAGAGAAATTGAATGTCTCAGTACTTTGCAAAAATAATTTACTACGCCACAGGGATCCATAGAAACAATATTTAGATGAGTGGCTTCTCATTATGAGAGGGGGATTAAAATGCTTCACCTGATTCAAAATAAAAGAATAGTATAGTTGATTTTTTATTTTAGGAAGACTTAATGTAGGCTTAAGTGTATAAACTCTGAAGTCATCTATGAGCTCATTATTTGGCTCAGTCACTTCAAAGATGTAGCAAATACTTAGCTTTATCATTCTGAGGGCAATATTACTTACTTTATAAAGATATTGTGAGGGAAATATAACATCATATGTGCAAAGTGAAAGGTACATGCCAAGTCCTCAAATAATAATAGTTACAAAGAAAGGAAGGGGTGACAACAATTGTAAATGGCTCCACAAAAGCATGTAGTGAAGGATAAGGTAGGCAAAATTGTAAACTACCTGGCTGAGTGTTGAAGGCATGCCCAACATGAACACAGAACCCCTAAGAAAAGACTGAGAGGCTGATTGGTTCTAGGCATTTAAGGAAGATTCTGCTGATTATTAGCTGACCACCAAACTAATTTAAAAGAGATTTCAGTGTCCACACATGACAAAGATACAGAATGTACAGACTTAGTTCCGAAAAGTCATTAAACAACAAACTACAACAACCAGCATCAACAACAAACCCTGGGGAGGGCAGAAAATCTGATTTTCAGTATTGCCACAATAAATTATATAAAATATCCAGTTTTCAATAAAAAATTATGAGGCATGCAAAGAAACAGAAAAGTATGGACCATACACAGAAACAAAAACAGTCAATACAAACCATCCTTGAGAAAACCCAGACATTAGACTTACCAGATAAAAATTTTAAAATCAATCGAAAAGTGCTTGTTAGAAATAGGATGCTAATTGTAATCTCCAGGAAGCCATTAAGAAATTAAACAAATTCTAATACTGAAATTCTTCCAAAAAATTTTTAAAAATGAAATACTTCCTAGTTCATTATATGAAGCCAGTATTACCCTGATAACAAAACCTGACAAAGACATCACAAGAAAATAAAACTACAGATCCATATGAACCATAAATAGAAACAAAAATCCTCACCAAAATGCTGTCAAATTCAGCATCATGTAAAAAGTATTATACAATAGGACCGTGTGGGAATTATCACAGGAATGTAGGATTAGACATTCCCAGTATGTAGACATAGAATGTAGATATTAGAACGTTGACATAAAAAAATCAATCACTAGGCCGGGCGCAGTGGCTCACACCTGTAATCCCAGCACTTTGGGAGGCCGAGGTGGGCAGTTCACCTGAGGTCAGGAGTTCGAGACCAGCCTGGCTAACATGGTGAAACCCCTTTTCTACTAAAAATACAAAAAATGAGCCGGGTGTGGTGGCACATGCCTGTAATCCCAGCTACTTAGGAGGCTGAGGCAGGAGAATCGCTTGAACCTGGGAGGCGAAGGTTGCAGTGAGCCAAGATCATGCCATTGCACTCCAGCCTGGGCAACAAGAGCAAAACTCCTTTAAAAAAAAAATCAATCACTATAGCACATCATAATACACATGATTATTTCAATAGACTCAGAAAAATGCATTTGATAACATCCACTTTTATGATAAAGACACTCGATAAATGGGAATATTCTTAACCTAATAAAGGACATGTATGAATAATGTACGGCTAACATCATACTTAACAATGAAAAACAGAATGCTTTCTTCCGAAGACCATATATAAGACAAAGATGTCCACCCTCACCTCTACTATTCAATATTATACTGGAGATTCTAGAAAAGTCAATTAGGCAAGAAAACTAAATTATAACATCCAGATTAGAAGGGAAGAAGTACAATTATATGTGCAGATGACATGAATTTATATATAGAAGTTTCTAAGAATCCTAAGAAAATTACTATAGCTAATAAAAATACAGCAAGTCTAGAGGATACGAAATCAATATATAAAACTCAATTGTATTTCTATACACTAGCAATGTACAATGCAAGAATAAAATTAAGAAACAGCTACATTTACAATAGCATCAAAATGAATAAAATACTTAGAAATAAATTTAACAAAAGAAGTAACGAAATTGAATACTGAAATCTATTAAATATCATTGAAAGAAATGTAAAAGACCTAAATAAATGGAAAGATATTTTATGTGCATGGGTTAGAAGACTTAATATTAAGATGCAATTACTCCTCAAATTAATCTGCAGATTCAACGCAATCATTATCAAAATCCCAGATGGCATTTTTGGAGAAACTGATGAGATGCTCTTAAAATTCATATGAAAATCCAAGGGACTCCAAATAACTCAAACTATCTTTAAAAAAGAACAACAAAGGGGAGAACTTACCCTCCCTGATTTTCAAACTTATTACAAAGCTACACTAATCAAGACTGCATAGTATTGACATAAGGATAGACTTACAGTTCAATGGAATAAGATGAGAGTCCAGAAATAAACCCATACCTCTATGGCAACTGATTTTTGACAAGAGTGCTAAGGCAATTCAGTGGAGACAGAATAGTTTCTTCAAAAACACTGCTGGGACAACTGGAGGTACACATGTAAATGAATAAAGGTGAACCCCTCCCCATATCATACAGAAAAATTAACTCAAAATAGATTAAAGACACAAGTGTAAGAAAATTATAAAACCCTTGAAAGTAAGTATAGGGGTACACCTTTCTGTCTTTGACTTCACAATGGTTTCCTTATATATGACACCAAAAGCATAAGAAAAATAAATAAAAAAAATAAAAATAGATAAATGAGACTTCATCAAAATGAGAAACCCCTGTGCTTCAAAGTACATTATCAGGACAAGAAAAACAGAAACCACAGAATGGAAGAAAATAATTGTCAGTCATATTTAAGATAAAGGTCTAGTATCCACAATATGTAAAGAATTATTACAACTCAACAACAAAAAGTCAAACGACTCAATTAATAAAGGACAAATGACTTGAATAGCTAATTTTTAAAAGAAAATCTGCAAATGGCCATCAGAGAACATGAAGTTTGTCATTAAAACAATGCAAAGCAAACCCATATGAGATACCGCTTTGCATCCACCAGAATGGCTATACTCAGAAAGTCAAACAGTAGCTAATCCTGACAAGGATGTGGGGAAACTGGAGCTCTCATACATTGCTGGTGGAAATGGTGCAGATACTTTAGAAAACAGTTTTTAGTTCCTCAAACTAAAAGAGTTATTATATGACCCAGTAATTACAGTTTTAGGTACATACTCACAAAATATAAAAACATATGTCCATGAAAAACTTGTATATGAATGTTCATAGCAGCATTATTGACAAAGTGTCTAATTCTATTTATGAATTTTCAGAATCAGCAAATCAATTGAGACAGAGAGCAGATTTGCAGCTGAAATGGATGAGCGAAGGGGAAGTGTAATAAGTATAGGGCTTCCCTTTGGGGTGACAAAAATGTTGTGGAGTTAGTGTTGATGGTTGCACAACTTCATGAATACACAAAAACCCACCAAATTGTACACTTTGATATGGCCAAAATGGCTAATTTTCTGTTACGTGTATTTTGTCACAATAACCAGAAGAACATGAATTTACTGAAGTCTCTGAACTGAATGTCAATATATGCGTATCAATTTTAGTTCTATATCTCTCTATATTATTAAAAGAATCAAAAATTAATGTAAAAAACACAGCATTATAGAAAACAGTGTGGTTTCTCAAAAAGTTAAGAAATAGAACTACCATATGAACTACCATATGATCCAGCAATTCCACTTCTGGGTATAAATCCAAAGGAGGTAAAATCACTACTCAGAGAGAAATCTGGTCATTGCAGCACTATTTACAACAGCTGAAATATGGAAACAACCTAAGTGTCTGTAGACAAATGAGTAGATAAAGAAAAAGGTGTGTGTAAATGTTATTCTGCCCTAAAAAAGAAGAAAATCCTGTCATATGTGACAACATGTATGAACTTGGATTATACTAACTGAAATAACACAGACATAGAAAGACAAATACTATATGATCTCACTTATATGTGGAATCTTAAAAAAAAAAAAAGTCCAACTGATGGTAACAGAGAATGGAATGGCGGTTACTAGGACCTGGTGGCTGTGGTGGAAATGAGATGTTGGTCAAAGGGTAAAAACTTCAAGTTATATAAGTTCTGAAGACCCAATGTACAGCATGATGACTATAGTTAATAACAATGTATTATGTTCTTTGAAATTTGCCTAGAGAGTATATCTCAAGCGTTCTCACTACAAAAAAGAATGGTAATTAGGTGAGGTGATGGATATGTTAGCTAGCTTGACTGTGGTAGTCACTTCACAATGAACACATATATCAAAATGTCATGTTGTACACCATAAATATATACAATTTTTGTCAATCATATCTCAAAAAAGTTAGAAAAAAATAGACAAATCAAAAAAGAAGTTGATAAAACCTACAATAACATTAACAATCTCAAAATCAAGCGGTAAATCTACATGGGAATTGGCAAACATTATTGAAAGACATTAGGGCAGGCCTAAATAAATAGAAAAATATACCATATCCATATATTTGAAGGTTCAACATTATGAAGGTATCATTTCTCCAAACTTAATCCATAGATCCAATGCAATCATCATCAAAATCTTAGTTTTCTTCGTGTTTGAGGGAACAATGTCTGATTTCTTTTTTTTTTGAGACAGAGTCTTGCTCTGTTGCCCAGGCTGGAGTGCAGTGGCGCTATCTCGGCTCACTGCAACCTCTGCCTCCCGGGTTCAAGCGATTCTCCTGCCTCAGCCTCCCAGGCACCCACCACCACGCCCGCCTAATTTTTGTATTTTTAGTAGAGACGGGTTTTCGCCATATTGGCCAGGCTGCTCTTGATCTCCTGACCTCAGGTGATCCACCCGCCTTGGTTTCCCAAAATGCTGGGATTACAGACATGAGACACCATGTCCGGCCTGTTTGTTTTGCTTTTGAGATAGGATCTCAGTCTGTCACCCAGGCTGGAATGCATTGGTGCGATCTTGACTCACTGCAGCCTGGACCTCCTGGACTCAAGCCATTCTCCCACCTCAGCCTCCCAAGCAGCTGGGACTACAGGAGCAGTCACCACACCTGGCTAATCTTTGTATTTTTTGTAGAGATGAGGTTTCTTCTTGTTGCCCAGACTGGTCTTGAACTCCTGAGCTCAAGCAATCCACCTGCCTCAGCCTTCTAAAGCGCTGGGATTACAGGCATTAGCCACCTCATCTAGCCACAGTGTCTAATTTTAAAATTGCTATACACAGTTTGTATTTGTGCAAGGTCATCAAACAGACCAATGAAACAGAATAGAGCTCAGATTAAAACTCAAATATATATGGATAAAAAGGTTATAAGAAATCAACTACAGTAGTAGAGCAAGGATAATCTTTTAAACAAATGCTGCTGGAATAATTGATAGCTAAATGGAAATAAAATGAAATTGAACCCCCACCTCATAATATACACAAAAATAGCTCCTGTTAGATTTTTTTTTTTTGAGACAGAGTTTTGCTCTGTCCCTCAGGCTGGAGTGCAGTGGCATGATCATAGCTCACTGCAGCCTCAAACTCCTAGACTCAAGCGATTCCCCCACCTCAGCCTCCCAAGCAGCTAGGACTACAGGCACACACCACCACACCTGACTAATTAAAAAAATATATATAGAGGTGAGGTCTTGCTATGTTGCCCAGGCTGGTCTTAAACTTCTGGCCTCAAGTGATCCTCCTGCCTTGGCTTCCCAAAGTGCTGGGATTACAGGTGTGTGCCACCATGCCTGGCATGGTTAAACTTAAATGTGATAGGAAAAAAATACAATAAAGTTATAGAAGATAACATAGAAAAATATCTTTATAACCTTCAGATAGACAAAACTTTCTTGAACAGAATAAAAAATTCACAATCATGAAAGAAATGATTGATAAATCTCATCTCAATAAAATTAAGAAATTTTGTTCATTGAAACATGCAATTAATAGAGTGAAAGTGTAAGTCATCAAGTGAGAGAAGATATTTGAAGCACAGTCAAATAAAACAAAGGATTCATATCCAGAATTTACAAAGATATTCTGCAAGTCAATGAAAAAAACCGACAGGTTAAACCAAAAGAAAATCAGAAAAAAGACTAAAACAGGTACTAGCTGAATATGGAAAACCAATTAGCCATTATACATATGCAGAATTTCTCAACCTGATTGGTCATTAAGGAAATGCAAGATAAAGCCACATTATAATACTGCTACACTCCCAAGAGAATGGCTAAAAATAAAAATTCTGTCAAATACAAAATGTGGGCAAGGTTATGGAATAACTGGATCTCTCATGCCCTGCTACTGGGAGTGAACAAGCACTTTAGAAAAATTGGTAGTATATAAGAAAGCAAAACCTATATATGCCTTTTGATCTAGTGATTTCACTCACAAGAATATACTCTAGTGCAGTGATTGACAAACTATACTTTGCATTTTAAATGCTTGTGAAAATAAAAACAATACAACAAAGAACATGAGACAGAGACGATATGTGTCCAGAAAAGCCTAAAATATTTATTATCTAGCCCGCTGCAGAAAATGTTTGCTGGGCCCTGCCCTAGAGCAATTTGTGCATAGGTATCCCAAGAGGTATGTTTAAGAATATTCACTGTTGCATTATTCATAAAAGTCTTATCTTTGTTTTGGTTTCCCTTCAAGCAGACTCTGAGACAAGAATTTGAGTTCAGGTGGTTCATTTGAGAGGTGATCTTAGGAAGTACCATTGAGGACGTGGGAAGAATGAGATGGGGAAAGAGGGAAAACCAATAAAGTGTGCATTTTTAAGCTGAATAGCACTCAAGGCAACTGGGGCTCATTTGTGTTATGAAGAACTACATAGTATTCAGCTAAAAATTGTCCCTCCAAAAGGCTGCTGTCCCTCATTGGTTGAGAACTGATCCTCGAAGAATTAGCTTCTGTGTGCTTTTCTGGGCTGCCCTGCTAGCAAGCCAATCAATCAATCAAGTGAGGCCTAAATAAACAACCTGAAGTGAAAGAAAAAGGAAAACAAACAAACACATCCAGAATGTCTGTGAGCATTGATTCAGCTGGGGCGCTTCTGTTCTAGTATGCAGGAGTACTGCTGACCACTGCTGCGACTGAAATCTGATGGTGGTCGTGGGAAGGTGGTGCAGGGCATAAACCAGAAATGTCCAAATGTATTAGCAGAGAATGGATGTATAAATTCTGAAACATTCATAGAACGGGCTATCACACAGCTGTAACATTAAACCAAGTACAGCTAAAAACTGCAATATGAATTAATCTGAAAAACAATTGCTATGGATTGAATATTTGTCCTCTCCAAAACTCATGTTCAAACTTAATCATCAATGTGGCAGTATTGAGAGGTGGAGCCTTTTAGAGGTGATTGAGTGACGAGCCCTCACGAATGCATTAATCCATTCATGGATTAATGGGTTATCATGGGAGGAGAACTGGTGGCTTTATAAGAAGAGGAAGAGAGACTGAGCTAGCATGTTAGCATGCGGAGCTCCTTCACCATGTGATGCCCTGCACCACCTCAGGACTCTGCAGAGTCTTTATCAGCAGGTAGGCCCTCACCAGATGTGGTCCCTTGACCTTGGACTTAGCCTTCAGAACTGGAGGAAATAAATTATTTTTATTTATAAATTACCCAGTTTCAGGTATGCTGTTATAAGCAACAGAAAACACACTAATACAATAGTGAAAGAAGCAAAACAAAAATACATACAATGCGATTGAATTTATCCAAATGCCAAAATCTGGCTAAACCAAACAATTGGTGCTTAGAGATACAAATTTGTATGATGAAAATATAAAGATATGAAAAGAATCATTGAGAAAGTCAAGATGGTGCTTTAAGGGGAAAGGACAAGTTTTTGATCAAGAAGGGCCTATGCTGGACTTCTAGGATGCTGCAGTGTTCTACTTCTTGACTTAGGTGGTAGTTACTCGGCTGTTCCTTGAATAATTATTTATTAAACTACATTCATGCTTGATACAGTTTTGCATAGGTATCATATGTCACAAATTAAAAAAGAAAAAAAAAACCTTCTTTGATCTCACACACTTCCTCAAGCTACTATTTATTTTTTCCTTGCCTTTACAGCAAAACTCCTCTAAAGGTGCATTGGAAACCTCTTTCCCTGTTCTCTTGAACTCATTCTAACCAGGCTTTCCTACTCACCACTGCCCTGAAACTACTCTTGTCTAGATTGCCAGTATCTCCACATTGCTGAATCTACTTATCCATGTGCATCTTACTTACCTATCCGCAACATTTGAAACAAGTGAACGCTCTCTTCTCTGTAAAGCACTTATTTGACCTGGCCTTCAGAACTTCACGTACTTTTACTTTCTTATTATTCCTCTTTCCTACTTGTTAAAATTGCAGTCTCAGGACTCAGTTCTTGCTTGGACTTATTCTTTACCTCCAGTCACCCCCTTAGTGATCAAATTAGCTTAATGTCTTTAATTACTACTTATTTTCTAATGATTCTTAAATTTTTATCTCCAGGCTAAATCTCTCTCCTGAAATGAAGAGTCATATGTCAAACTGCTGACTTCACATTTTTACTGAGATGTCCAATAATCTTCTCAAGCCTAACATGTCCAAAATGGAATCACCGGTTATCCCATCAAGATCTGGACTTCTCCTGCTGTCTTTCAGTGTATGGCATATCAGTAAAAAGAAACTACATACTTTTGGTTATTGAACCTAAAACTCTAGGGTCATTCTGGATGCTACTTTTCCTCTTATACCTCACTTCCATACTATAAGCAAATCCTTACGTTGTACCTCAAATATGTGTATAAAAATCAATCCCTTCTCTTACTTTCTACTGCTATTGCCCTGATCCAAGCTGTCAGTATTCTCTCATCTAATTATAGCAATAGTTTCCTAAATAATTTTTGTATTTATACCCTGACCCAACAGTCTGTTGTCAACACAGCATCTATTGTGATCTTATAAAAATTCAACTGTAATCATATCACTCATGTAATCAAAATCTTTCAGTATTTCTCTTCTCACTCAGAGTAAAATCCAAAGTCCTTGCAGTAATCTGCAAGATCCCACACAATATAGTCCTGCTTTAACTCTCTGACATCTATTTTTACACTAACTCACTCAGCTTCAGCAACACTGGCTTCGTTGCTGTTACTAGAACATGCCAGGAATGCTTCTGGCTCAGGTCTATCGTGCTAGATTGCTCTTCTTCAGATATTCACATAGCTCGCTCCTTCACTTCTTTCATGTTTTATCTCAAATGTTAACTTTTCAGCAAGGCATTTCCTGACAACCCTTTTTAAAACCACAACTTCTTCCATTTAAACACACACACACACCTTCTATTACCATTCCTTGCCTGATTTTTCTCCATAATACTTACCACTATTTGATAGAATATATACATATTTTTTCTGCTGATTCATATATAGCTACTGATTTTTCGTTTGCCTCCACCCAATAGAATGTAAGCTCCATGATGGCAATGATTTTTGTCTAATTTGTTTATTGCCATGGTCTTGGTGCTTTGGGCAGGTATGCCACCTTATAGTCCTTCAATAAATATTCGTTGAACTGAAGGAAGAAAAGAAGACAGATAAATTTCCTTGAATTTTCCAAGCCTCAACTCACATTTTCTGAGACTTCCAGAAGCTTTTTAGCCTCTCCAGTATTGGTTATTTTTAATCATCTCACATCCATTTCCCTGGAGTGAAAAGCAATAAAGAGCTGTTTTAAAAAATAAAGATATGTAGCCTTTTTTTTTAAAGACAGCCTGGAGAGAAAATGTTGCAAGTTTTGTAGAGCAGTGCTAGAGGAGCTTGAGCAAGAAAAGTGAGAAGTGTTAAAGTGTCAACCAGCTACACTTCTTTGAGAAAAAAAAGGTAAATAAATAAACACATGTATGTACATACGTGGAGTTCTATAGGGATAGCAAAATAGGCCCTGAGGAATCCGTGTGTATAGATGAGAATATCGATATTATGAGGTTACAGAATTTACTTAAGGTCACACAGCTATGTGTTAGAACTGGGATAGGAAAAAACTCAATTCTCCCAACTCTTATCTCAGTGCTTCTTCATCCATATTGTACCATTTTGAGGGAAAATTTCTATGACATTGGTGTATGGAAGGGATATTTGCATAACAGTTAATACTGTGCAGGAGAATAATTTTAACTTTTTTTCCTACCACAATAGGTAGAAGCTTGCTTTGTCTATCCAAAATGCTAACTCTCTCAGTCTACAAATGCATGGTCTACAGTCTCTTATCCCCCTCTTCTCTCTCTCTGTTTCTCTCTGTCACACACACACACACACAAATATGCATACACATGAACATATGCACAGACATGTACTTACATACAGACACTGCTAGTCTATATGAGTTTCTGTGAAAATTAGAAAAAAGCCAATCTCTATGAATGGTTGAATCAAAATAAAAGGTGGTCCCTCAGGCACATAGTTGGTGGGCAAAGGTAACCTCTCAGAAAGGGAAACAAGTACCCCCTTCCTCCTGGCATTATCCACCACTGCACCAAAGTACATGTCAAGGACAGGCTAGATTTCAGCATCCTTTGCCCCCTGCATAGGCACACACACACAAACACACACACAGATACAGTGAATACACAGACATGTGCATACATGTGCAATGAATATACAAACACACACATAAATACACACACACACACACACACACAGGCACATTGTTTAGTTTAGCTAATTAATCTTCTCACAATGTCAACTTGACCCATCAAATGATTAAATAGTGGGCTATTTTTTTCATAAGGCAAAATTCCCATTTCCATCAGAGTAAATTTTTACAGCACACAGAGAATAAAATACAGCGAAGTGATCTTTTAGATGATGACATTATTTTCAAGGGAGCAAGGGGCAATAAGACCTCAACAGACTGACAAATGAATAAGACTAATGGAAACACTTGGTGTGGGTTAGGAACATTGGCATTCTTCAGGACTGAAAAGAGACAAAGTAAACACTGGCACATCTTTCTCTTTGAATCTAGGATGGAATTGGGAATGTGAATAAATTGAAAGCTTCTTGAAACAGCAGAGAATCAGTATTTGGAACCCTGAAACTGTAATCATTAATGCAGAATGATGGGGAAAGTGACTGAAATATGATTTTCATTATGTTTTTGGGGTTGCTATGCTCAACGTGAGAAATATTTCTGCCTTTTGCATCACCACTCTATTGTGACCATACTTTGAAGCTCAATGGCTAAGTAAGAACTAAATGTCACTTTGAAAAATTAAATTCTCAGGCAGCACCAAGTTTGATGGAAAAGAAAGGAGAAGTAGTAGAGTAAGCAAAGGACACAGACCAATATAATTTCCTACAACACCTTGGCGGCTACTTAGCTTAGTGGACTAGAACACTGAAATAGCAAGGTCAATTTATAAACCATACTGAATGCCTGTTGTGTGCAGGGCCAGTACTAGGGGGTTTGGGAATGTGATTGAAATGTAGACTTACCAGAAGATAAGGCTGGAAATGCCAGAACAGGACAATGAAAGGTGGGCCTTGAATGCCAAGCTGAAGAGTCTGTATTTAACCCCCAAAGGCCGATGTTTTTCAACTTTAAATGGGTATCAACATCCCTCAGGGAGCTTGTTAAATAAACAAGTTACCTAGATTTGAAAATTACATTTTCTTCAAGTTTCCTGGATTATTTTGATTTATGCCACATTTGAAAACGTTGTCAGAGGCACAGGGGAGACATTGAATGTTTAAAAGCAGGCAAATGGCATCAGCTATTTGCTTATGAGACATAGCTCCAACAAGCATGAATGTGTAACATGGGTGATATGGTTTGGCTCTGTGTCCCCACCCAAATCTCATCTCGAATTGTAATCTCCACATGTCAAAGGAGGGATCTGGTGGGAGGTGATTGGATCATGGGGACAGTTTCCCCCATGCTGTTCTCATCATAGTGAGGAAGTTCTCACAAGATCTGATGGTTTTATAAGTGGCAGTTTCCCATGTGCTCTCTCTCCTGTCACCTTGTGAAGACGTGCCTTGCTTCCCTTTACCTTCTGCCATGATTGCAAGTTTCCTGAGGCCTCCAAGCCATGTGGAACTGTGATTAAATTAAATCCCATTTCTTTATAAATTGCCCAGTCTTGTGTAGTTCTTATAGCAGTGTGAAAATGGACTAATATAGTGGAGGAATATGTATGTGTAACATGGGGAGTGACTGGAAGAGGAAAGACTATTTGGCTTAACTCTTCTGTGAACTCATTTGTTTTCTTCTAGTCTGTAGTCACAGAATGTCACCCTCACCTCTGGAACTAAATTGCTAATCAGTGTTTTTGATGACCACGGGCAATGGATGGTTATGGCTCATCAGCTCAAAATCATTTCCATTCCTGGAAAACAATTTCAACATGGGTTGGAAAAAAAACAATTCAATATATAAGAAAGAATGATATTTTTCACATTAATGTCAAATATTCACTGCCATAAGGGGTTCAAAGAAAAAAAGAATAAGGAAACTTCTTTAGACCTTTTTCCTGTTCTGGAAAAAATTGCTAAATTGTTGCCTGTGTGCTCAAGGAGCTATCATTCTCTTTCAAATTATTTGCTTGACTCCCTCTCTTATGTAGAATGCTGTTCTAAACCCTATTTGTAGTACAGAAGAACTTGAGTTACAGCCTGTCTATTGAGTGAGACATGAAAAAAAGATTGAACAACACTTATAAAACAATATTTAATTAAAAGCAAAGTAAAATAATTCACATTGAGTATAGAATGAAATGGATAGAAATGCAAGTCCTCTGGAGCCAGATTGTCGGCATTCATACATTAATAATCCAGCTCCTTCCTTCCTTCCTTCCTTCCTTCCTTCCTTCTTTCCTTCCTTCCTTCCCTCCCTCCCTCTCTCTCTCTTTCTTTCTTTTTCTTTCTTTCTCTGTTTCCACAGCGTCTTGCTCTATCGCTTAGCCTGGAGTGCAGTAGTGCAATCACAGCTCACTGCTGCCCTGAACTCAAACACTGGAACATTCCTCCAACCTTAGCCTCCCAAGTAGCTAATTCAGCTTCTTACCACTTCTCTAAGACTGGACAAGTCACATAACCAATTTATGTCCTAGTATCCTCATCTATAAAATGGGAATTGCAATGGAATCTACCTCAAGAGGATGCTATGAGCTCTAAGTGAATCACTACATGCATAGTGCCTAGAACAAGATCTGGTGCATAGAAGACTCAACAAATATTAGCTATTATTATCACATGAAACTTGGAAGTACAGAAGATAAATGAAGAACACACATGATTTGAGGTCAAATGGTATTACCAGGAGATACTTCCTAGAGCAGTTATGTTTTAAACTAGAGTTTTAAGGAGCTTTGGAAGAAAAGAGCATCTTCTGAGGGTCACTGAGACATTGTTTTATGTTGAAAATATAGTAATTGGCATTGGAAGACATGAGCTCCAATCTCAGTAATAACTCTGCTTAGTTATATAATGTAACTTTTATAAATAACAGTTTTTTGATCCATAAAACAATGAAGAGTATCTTCTCTTTCTGCACAGAGTATAACTAAGAATATATATGTGTATGTGTGTGTATTTCTATGCAAAAAAGTGATATAAATGCATATATATAATATATATACATATACAATGTAAAGACAGTTTGAAAACTAGTCTTCACTATGAATGCTAATTATATGATGTTCTAGCACTTTGTAGTATACGGTACCATAATATTAGGGAGACAGTGTGATCTAACAGAAAAAGTACAGGATTTGGAGCAAAAGAAAAAAAACAACCAACCAACCAAACAAAAAACCCATAGCTTTCAAATTCCAGCTGTGCCAATTGGGTAAAACATTTAACCTCATGAGCCTTAGTACATTCATCTGTAAAATGGGATAATCAAATCTACCTCATGGTGCTGCTATGAAAATTAAATGAGAACACACAAATATATGATACACTTTAGCATTATCCAGAATATAATTTGTACTTGATTAATATTAAAATTATGTCCAAATAAGATATGCATAACTAACAGAGTTGGAGACAATAAGGAAAACACAAATTACCAAAACTGGAAATGATCCTAGAAGTCATCTAATTTAACCTAATTTATTCATTCAGTATAATGTATATCAGGGCTCCTGCTTTGTGCTTGACACTGCCATCAGTACAACTCACAATCTTTGTGCTGGCAGCTTTGACACTGATAGAGGACTCGGTTTATAGTCTTCCTCTCTCTATATATGTGTCTACGTTCATTGTTACATCCCCAGCACCAAGAATAGGACCTGGAACATTGTCAGTATTCAATAAGTATCTGTTGAAAGAATGTAAAGGGGATCTTAAATCTGGAAAATAATGCTTGAGTAGAATAGAATTTTTTTAAGAGATGAGTGATTCCTTTAAGTGTACCTGCAAGCATATAATGTAAGCAGTTTTTCCACTTCATCTTGTATCCTCTGTATCTGAAAACCAGCTTCAGAGAAAAGCAGCCAACTCTCACTTCAGTCTTATCATTAATCCCCTGACTCCTTATTAAAATTGGACCTTGAGTTGTTTTGCCCTGGAAGTGACCTGAATCACCTCTAATTTCCACATGCTTTTATGAGAAGCTACTGAGATCCTAACTTCCTTGCCTCGTCCAAAAAGCCAGAGCAAAGTGGAATATAGGACGCCACTCTCTCTTCTGCCCCCAGCTCATTACATTATCTCTGTACACACTGCTCGCATGGGCTACCTTAGCAGATCTCTTGCCTTCAGAAATCTCTGGACCGGAAACAGACACCATCTTTATGTTCCTGTAGGCTCCGAAACTTCGAGAAACAACTACAAAGCAATGTCAAGAAATCTGCCTTCTTGCTTCTTTCTCACGAGAACATCAGATAGGCCTGCTGCTCTCATCTCAGCAGGCACTTAAGCTGAGGAGAGTGATGCTAGTGTTTCCTTCTTGAAAGCCATATCCAGTCTTCAACTGATCTTTTTGGAATTCTTCTTTTCCTTGGCACAGAGAGAAAAGATCAAGGACTAGAAAAGACCATTCTCTTGCTTAAATTCTGCACAACCAATGCCTCAAATTTTTCCTGTGTCTAATCCTCTCATGTAGATTGAGGACAGGGATAGAGATGGTTTAATACCTTCTTAGAAAATCCTACAAGAAGGAGTCTGGTCCCAAATTTGAGGCCAGAAAGATGATTTTCTTTAGAATATGAGAGTAGTTAGCAGCTTTCGTTTCCAGCTCAATAATTTTATCAACAATTCTGGTGGCTACAGGGGAAAAAAAATCAGGCAATAGAACAATCAACATCTGTGTGTGTGTGTGTGTGTGTGTGTGTGTGTGTGTGTGTGAACCTCTATCTATCTATCTATCATCTATCTACCACATCATTGTCAAACTGCTGAAAATAAACTATGTATACATAATTTATCTATGTATCTATCCTGTGTGTGTGTGTGTGTGTGTGTGTGTGTGTCTGTGAGACCAAAAATTCCACTAGAATATAAACACCATGAAAGAAGAAGCTGTTCTAGCCCCAACACCTGCAACAGTGCCTGGGACCTGGTTAGCACTCAAGAAATGTTGTTAAATAAATCAAGGAATCAGAAAGACAAAGGGCTTGTGCAGGTTCTTTGAGCTACCAAGTTTGCTGAATGATCGTATCTGTCAAAACATAGTGACAATGAGAATTTTGATGTCTATACTGCAGTGGTGTCATCTTAGATATTAAGGAAAGATACCAAACAATGATGTCCTTGAATGTGTGTGTGTGTGTGTGTGTGTGTGTGTGTGTGTGTGTATGTGTCCTGTTTATGTATCTGTATCCATCTATGTCTGGATGTCTGGACTGATATCTTAAATATTTTCATTTCCATCATAATTTTCAATGTATTTTTGTTACGATGAGAGTTTACAATGTTAGTTGATAGAAAAATGATAAAAAGAGGTTCAAAATTAATCACAATATAATTGCTAGTTTTTTCTTTCTATGCATTTTGCTGATTTTAATATTGTTTGCTAGAATCTTGGAAGGTTAAATATTAAGTGTATGAAAAGACATTTTAGTACTTAAATTGAAGACCTTAAGAATAACTTGAATATCGCTTCTTTCTTGAGAATTGCATTATTTACTTATTCAGCATCTTATGGAAAAGTAAAATGAATAGATACTATGTAACATCTTTCTGTTAATTGGTAAACTTCATATTTCTTATATTGTATTTCAACAACTAAATGTAAAAAAAGCACTCAAAATATTTATAATTAAGAGTATGTAATATATAATCTCAATAAAATGCATATAAAAATTAACAGAACTCTAAGACTGCAATGAAGCATCAAACTTAAAATGTACTCAGTAATGGCAATAGGAAATTCAAATCAATTAATAAAAACCATTAAATGGGTGAAGGAATCAGTGTCAGCAAAACCAGAATTTACTCCATCTAGCCTTTAAGATTATTCTTCGTAGTATAATTGAAGTCTATTGATGTTTTCTGCTTAAATTTATAATAGACTATACTGAAAAAAAATCAGGAAAAAAATAATTTAAAACCCTAAACTTTTATTTTTGCCAGGGTTATTTTCCTTACTAGCTGCTGAAAAATGTTATTGCATCTTGAATTGTGCGTGTAGCAAGTTAGTTTCCTCAAGGGAACAGAAGTAATGTATTGACTTATTGACTCAACAGAGGTGCCTTTAATTTCTGTGACACTCAGTTCTTAAACCACTTTATAGTTTCAGTCAGCCAAACTATTCAATGGCATAAAAAGTTATTTTCCCAGTTAAAAGTGTTTCTGCTCTTTATCTTCATCTTGTAATGTAAAAACATTAAAAGGGAAAGAAATTAACTACTATAATTCAATATTTGCAATTCTAGTTCATAAGACAAATAATTTCCATCTCCTCCCACAGGCTTTTGCTAAATGATGTCTTATGATATTTTAAAGGTTCTCATAACATTCTATTTTATTTTTTGTAGCAAACTCACATTGTATTTTAAAAAATTTATGATTGACACATAATAATTGTACATATTTATAGGCTACAATGTTATGTTTTGATATAGGTTGAGGATACTAAATCTAAAAATCAGAAATTCAAAATGTTCCAAAATCTGAATCTTTTTGAGCACCAGTATGATGCTCAAAGGAAATGCTCATTGGAACATTTCAGATTTTGGATTTGGGGATTTGGAATGCTCAACCAGTACAATGCAAATATTCCCAAAATCTGAAAAACTCTGAAATCTGAAATACTTCTGGTCCTAAGCATTTTAGATAAGGGATACTCAATCTGTACATGTATACATTGTGTAATGATCAAATCAGGGTAATTGGCATATTCATCACTTTAAACATTTATTATTTACTTTTAATGAGAACATTTGGAAACCTCTCTTCTACCTATTTTGAAATATATATTAACTCCAGCCTTCTACCATGCAATAGAACATCAGAACTTACTCCTCTTATCTAATTGTAGCTTTATACTTATTGATCGATGTCTTTCAATCCCTCAGCCCATCCACTCTCTCCATCTTCTGGTACCACTATTCTACTTTCTACTTTCATGAGAATGACTTTTTATACCCACATATGAGTGAGTTCATGCAGTATTTACCTTTTTTGTGTCTAGCTTATTTCCCTTAACCTAAGGTCTTCCAGGTCCATCCATATTGCCACAAATGACAGTATTTCATTCTTGTTAATGTCTTAATCCATTGATGGATATTTGGCAGAAAAATATTTGATAAAATTCAACATTTCTTCACGATAAAAGCTCCTAAGAAATTAGGTATAGAAGGACTGTACTTCAACATAATAAAGGCCATGAATTACAAACCCACAGCTAACATCACAATGAACTGGGAAAAGCTGAAAGCTTTCTTTTAAAATCTGAAACCAGACAAGAATGTCTTCTTTCACCGTTTTTATTGAATATAGTACTGGAAGTCCTAGCCAGAGTAATCAGGCAAGAGAGAGAAATAAAGGGCATCCAAACTGGAAAAAATAAAGTCAAATCGTCCCTGTTTGTTAATGACATCATATATATACATATATACACACGTACGTGTACACATAAACCTATACGCACACACGTACGTGTACACATAAACCTATACGCACACACGTACGTGTACACATAAACCTATACGCACACACGTACGTGTACACATAAACCTATACGCACACACGTACGTGTACACATAAACCTATACGCACACACGTACGTGTACACATAAACCTATACGCACACACGTACGTGTACACATAAACCTATACGCACACACGTACGTGTACACATAAACCTATACGCACACACGTACGTGTACATATAAACCTATACGCACACACGTACGTGTACATATAAACATGTGTACACACGTACGTGTACATATAAACATGTGTACACACGTACGTGTACATATAAACATGTGTACACACGTACGTGTACATATAAACATATGTGTACACGTACGTGTACATATAAACATATGTGTACACGTACGTGTACATATAAACATATATATACACATACAAAAGGGAAAGAAATTAACTAGTATAATACAGTACTTGCAATTCTAATTTATAAGATGAATTATTTATAACTCCTCCCATAGGCTTTTTCTAGTGTCTTACAATATTACGCATATATGTGTGTATATGTATGTATATAGATATACATATTATATATTACAGACACACATATACACACATCTGTAATATCATGACATTATTTAGAATATATATCTATAAACAAATATACATATATGTGCTTATAATATAAATATATGTATATGTGCTTATAATATACATATATATATAAAACCCAAAGATTCTCCCAAAAAACATTAGAATAAAAGTAAGGTTGCAGGATACAAAATCAATACACAAAAATAAGTAGCACTTCTATATACCACTAGCAAATTATCTGGAAAAAAAATCAAGAAAGTAATCCCATTTACAAAAATATGAAAACAATTAAAATACCTAGGAATACACTTAACAATGAAAGTTATAAAACATTGATGAAAGAAACTGAGGAAAACACACACAGAAAATAGAAAGATATCACATGTTCAGGAATTGAAATAACTAATATCGTTAAAATGATCAGGGCATCTAAAGTGAGATACAGATTCAGTGCAATCCTTATCAAAATACCAATGACATTATTTACAGGAAGACAAAATGCAATCCTAAAATTTGTACGAAACCACAGAAGACCCTGGATAGCCAAAGCAAACTTGAGCAAAAAGAATAAAGCTGGTGGCATCACGCTACTTGAGTTCAAAACATACTACAAACCTAGAGTAAGCAAAACAGCATTGGACTGGCATAAAAATAGACACATAGACCAATGAAATAGAATAGAGAGCCAAGAAATAAATTCACACATCTATAGCTAACCGATTTTTGACAAGGTGCCAAGAACACACATTAAGGAAAGGACAGCCTCTTCAATAACAATGCTGAGAAAACTGGATATCCACATGAGAAAGAATGATATTAGAGCTTTCTCTCTCACCATAAGCAAATATTATCTCAAAACAGATTAAAGACTTAAAATGTAACACCCGAAACTACTAGAAGAAAATATAGGGGAAAAGCTTCATGACAGTGGTCTAGACAAAGATTTTTTAGATAAAACCTCAAAAGCAAAGGTAATCAAAGCAAAAATGGACAAATAGGATCACATCAGGTTAAACAGCTTCTGCACAACTAAGAAAACAATCAACAGAGCTTAAAAAGACAACCCACAGAATGGGAGAATATATTTGCAAACTATATACCTGATACGGGGTTAATAACCAAAATATATAAGGAACAAAAATAACTCAATATTTTTTTAAAAAACTGATTAAAAATGAACAAAAGATCTGAATAAACATTTCTCAGAAGAAGACATACAAATGGACAACAGATATGTGAAAAATGCTCAACATTCCTAATGATCAAGGAAATACAAATCAAAATTATAATCAGATATAACCTCATTATCAGAATGGTTACTATCAAAAAATGAAAAAAATAACAAGTATTCACGAGATGTGGAGAAAAAGTAATCCTTACACACTGTTGGTGGGACTGTAAATTAATACAGCCATTATGAAAAACAATATGGAGGTTCCTCAAAGAATTAAAAATAAAACTACCATGCAATCCAGCAATCCCACTACTGGGCATATATCCAAAGGAAATGGAATCAGTATACCAAAAAGATACCTGCACTCCTGTTTATTATAGCATTAGTCACAATAGCCAAGGTATGGAACCAACTACACTTTCTATGGTGAAAAGTACTTTTGGTATTTATTTGTTTAATATCTGTTTCCTTACAGGCTGTGAGAACTTAAATCATGCCTAGTTTTTAACACCCCAGGACCTAGCATAGTGCTTGGTACATAGTAAGTGCTCAAGAAATGTTTATTAAAATGAATGATGTTTGTGTCTTAAATTGTCCTAAGTATTCTTTAAAGAACTTTTTTAAAAAATAAAAACACATATGAGACCTTGATAATAGTACTTAGAGTATTGTACATTTTCATATAATGACAAATGACAATCTTGCTGTACAGTTTGTATTGGAATTTACATTAAGAATATTAATATAAATCATGTAATATGAGAATATGCAAAAACTCTGTATCTTAGAGGTACTCTAATTAGGAGACAACACTGAGAAGTGATTACTTGGCACCTCAAATATCATCATTGAAATCTACATAAAAGAATTTATTAATTAAGCATAAGAGATACTGGAAATATTTTTCCACTGGTAAAATGCACCATGTTCAAAATAGGTAACTGATTATGCAAATTTGTACAAGTCCCATTGTCCTTGCGTGAACAAGGTATTAGAATCTAACAAGGCACTGTTGGACCATTTGTGCAGTGCTCAAGGTCTGCAGCCCCATTGTTTTCTAATCCTGCGTCAGAACACCATTGTGTCTGCCTTTCAGTGACTCTTTCACATAAGGTACCAGCTGAAAGGCCTAGGATGGAGAGGAGCACTCCTGACAGATTTGTAGGGGAGGGGATATAAAACCCCAACTCGCCTGTAACTACAGGACACTACCAATATTTGCAAAAACAATCTTTCATTTGAGGAATGCCAACATTGTCTTATATCAGTACGCATCAACTCTTAAAATAAATTTCTGCTTATAAAAATTTTTCGGCTGGGCGAGGTGGCTCAAGCCTCTAATCCCAGCACTTTGGGAGGCCGAGGTGGGCGGATCACGAGGTCAGAAGATCAAGACCATCCTGGCTAACACGGTGAAACCCCGTCTCTACTAAAAATACAAGAAATTAGCCCGGCGTGGTGGCAGGCGCCTGTAGTCCCAGCTACTTGGGAGGCTGAGGCAGGAGAATGGTGTGAACTCGGGAGGTGGAGCTTGCAGTGAGCCGAGATCTCGCCACTGCACTCCAGCCTGGGCGACAGAGGAAGACTCCGTCTCAAAAAAAAAAAAATTTTTTTGAAGGAACTTATTCATAGAATTGGACACATGCCAACCCTGTCATCTTTAAAAACCAGTAATAGGCCTGGCGTGGTGGCTCACACCTGTAATCCCAGCACTTTGGGATGCCAAGGTGAGCGGATCACTTGAGATCAGGAGTTCGAGACCAGCCTGGCCAACATGGTGAAACCCCGTCTCTGCTAAAAGTACAAAAATTAGCCGGACTTGGTGGTGCATGCCTGTAATACCAGTTACTCAGGATGCTGAGGCAGGAGAATTGCTTGAGCCCAGGAGGCAGAGGTTGTAGTGCAGAGGTTGCAGTGAGCCAAGATTGTGCCACTGCACTCCAGCCTGGGCGACAGAGCGAGATTCTGTCTTAAAAAAATAAAAAATAAAAAATAAAAAGCAGTAATAATGGTGTGATTTGAAATAATATAAATAATAAAAGTAATATTTCTTAAACTACTTTCTTTTTCACAATATTTATACATCTGTTTTTCTTCATTTGAGACAACAATCCTGTGTGAACAATATAATGCTTTGTTATCCTCATTTTTGGTGAGATTAAGTGACATGACCCCCATTATTTAGCAGATAAAATTCAGATCCTACTTCCAGCCCAATGCGGTGCTCTTTTGTTTTTATCTGTTAAAAAGTTTGCACAGCTAGTTTCCTGAACGACTGAGATCCTAAAATAGTCTCAATAGTTTCTGAGATAAACACTTCATTCTTCTAGAAGTCAGGAGAGTTGAAAAAGGTCAAAATGTATGTTCCTGTAAAAGCTTAAATGAGAACCACTATTAACACTCAAAACTGCCAGGGGTTTGCTCTGAAACTAAATAATCCTTCTGCTTCTTATTCTGCTAAGTGCTTTATTAACTCTTCCAAAATTCTTTTCAAAAAATATTTTACAGTGAATGGAAATACTAAAGCAGAAAATAAAAGAGCAATAGCAGTTTTCTGGATTGGGAGTTGGTATATAATATAGTTAAAAACATTGCTTGGCTCTTTTAATAAAGTATATTATTTAAATTATTGGCCAGCATAAAAGAAGATTCATTTTATAACATTTTCTTGTAAGCTAAGCTAATTTTATGGTAACATTACAGTAACATGTACTTCATTAAATATTAACTAGGTTCATTTTTCTGAACATTTCTCATAAATATCCCTGTACACTGCCAGAAGAACTTTTCCAGTGGTTTCACCCAAAGCCAGGAAGATGTATTCATGTTGATAAGGAGTGACAAAGTAATGTACGATATGGATGTTCACTGATATCATTTAATAGTAGCATTTAATGAAATACATCTCTTTACCTTAATTGTGACTCTTGCAGGTACATTTTTACTTTTTAAAATTCTTATAGAACACAATTAACTTGATTGGAATACACCAATAAGAGAAACTTTTAAAATGTCATTCCTTTGGCTTAAAAGCTACAAGGCTCGATACAAGGCTGTGAGGCAAGCATGCTGCAAACTGTTAGAAACTGTCAGAAAAGCTGTTTTTTTTTTCTCAATTGTTTTCAAAATTTTAGTGAGGGAAAGAAAGAATGAAAGCATAGACCTTTAAACCAGAATCAATTGGGGCCAGAGGTCTGAGGCACTTTGTCGACATTGCTTAGAAGGCTGCTTCTATAGGAAGCCTTTCTATGGTAAAAAGTGATCAATAAGGTGGAATTGTAGGGAATGAGAGAGTGAGATGCAAGGAATGAAGAGAAGCGGAGTGGTAGGGGGCAAAGAAACCTCCTCCTGAGGTATGCTGTAGACTCAACACCACTTGCTGCATCAGGAGGCCAGATAGAAAGTCAAAGTCTCTTTTTAAATTTGGTTCCAAGGGAAAGAGAAAGCAAGATAGCCTGGAGGCTGAGAGCTACAATGGAGAGTCCCCTAAAAGTACTCTGTGTAATATTCCAGATTGAAGCTTTCTGTTACTAAGGTGCTTGACACTATGCCATACTTTCTTCTAGATGGAGCACCTGCTAAGTGGCTGGCATTGTACTTACTGTGTAGACTTTGGAGTTTGGGGCAGATGCAAGGTGAAGTGGGGATGAAACAAAGTAAATGATGACATGGTGCAGCCCTTGAGGATTGGAGAAGATAGGCAGACAGGAAAAGGTTATCATAAAATATGAAGAGTATTCTAATTACAGATGCTAAAATATCCATAATCACAACAGTTACCAAACCCTCACTATCTTCTAGGCAGCATGATCTCAGTTTTTCCCATCTGTTAACTCATTTAATCCCACTAACAGCATTTTGAAGTAGGTATTAATACCTGCTTATATACTCATTTCACAAACAAGGGAACTGAGACTCAACGAGATTAAGTAACTGGTCTAAGGTAGCTAGTAAGAGACAAAATCCAGAATCCTAACCAAGAAATGTAGCTCCAGATCTCATGGGCTTAATTTCTCCAGGGCTCTTTATTACACAAAACAGTTTTCAGGCACAGGGAAGAATTTAGATCTGATGTGACATTTGGTCACAGCAGGGAAAGAAGAACTGGAGTACACCAGGTAGTGAAGAGGAGGAAAAGAATGACTCGCAAAGGGAATAGTACATGCAGGATCAGGCTAGTTTGAGCCACACAAGTCTGTTTCACACAAGTTGCCAAAGGCAGACTGCAGGGAGAGGAAGTTGTGGGATTATCGAGAGAGGGGCCTGGTTGTCAGGGACCTTCACTCAGAGGAAGCAAAATAAGCAGTGGAGCCATAGTAACAAGTCACAGCCTAAGTAATAGAAACTGGTTATCCTTACAATAGAAACGAAATCCAAGTCGTCAGAGAGGACTTCAGCCTTATGTGTAATGTTTGAGTGTTTATCCTCAAACGATTTAAAGGATTATATATGTATGTAAGAGTGAATACAAATTTAAAAGGGGAAAGGAAAGCTGAGATTTGTTTAAGCAGTGACTGTAAATAGGCTTCATGTAAATCTTATTTTACCATAAATATCACTTTCATGTAATGAGTTGTTAAACTATGCTGCTTCTTTTAAAAGAATATTTTTTAGGCCAGGCACGGTGGCTCACGCCTGTAATCCCAGAACTTTGGGAGGCCAAGGTGGGCGGATCACCTCAGGTCAGGAGTTCAAGACCAGCCTTGCCAGCAAGGTGAAACCCCGTCTCTACTAAAAATACAAAAATTAGCCTGGCACAGTGGCACGTACCTGTAATCCCAGCTACTCGGGAGGCTGAGGCAGGAGAATTGTTTGAACTCGGGAGGCAGAGGTTGTGGTGAGCCGAGATTGTGCCACTGCACTCCAGCCTGGGTGACAGAGTGAGACTCTGTCAAAAAAAAAAAAAAAAGAATATTTTTTAAAAAGTAAGGCAACTGACTAAATATGAACTATATTTCTAAGTATTTTATTTGTTTTCTCAGGGAATAGACTAACATTTGAGCATATATATGCAGCTAAACTCACAACTCCAACTTTTGTTGGAAGACAGACAACTAAGATGAAGGCAAAATATTTAAATGGAAATTATCAGATACTAAAAGATAACTTCAAAAACCTAAAGGGATGGTAGATGCCAGAATGACATAGGATCAGAGCCATGGTTGTTGGCTCCATTGAGCAAAAACTACACACCTTTTCAAGCTAGTTTTCTTCTTCTCACTCCCAAAGTCAATCTTTGGCCAAATATCAAGTAAGCAAAATTGATGGTTGTATTATTCCATTCTCACTTTGCTACAAAGACATACCTAAGAATGGGTAATTTATGAAGAAAAGAAGTTTAGCCGGGAGTGGTGGCTCACGCCTGTGATCCCAGCACTTTGGGAGGCCGAGGTGGGTGGATCACGAGGTCAGGAGATCGAGACCATCCTGGCCAACATGGTGAAACCCCGTCTCTACTAAAAATACAAAAATTAGCTGGGTGTGGTGGTGTGTGCCTGTAAGCCCAGCTAGGCTGAGGCAGGAGAACTGATAGAACCTGGGAGGCGAAGGTTTCAGTGAGCCAAGGTCATGCCCCTGCACTCCAGCCTGGTGACAAAGATAGACTCCATCTCAAAAAAAAAAAAAAGTTTAATTGACTCACAGTTCTGCAGGCTGTACAGGAAGCATGGCTGGAGAGGCCTCGAGAAACTTAAAATCATGGCAGAAGGTGAAGGGGAAGCAGGCATGTCTTACCAAGGCAGGGTAGGAGAGAGAGAGAGCAAAAGGGGAAGTGATATACATTTTCGAACAACCAGATCTTGGGAGAACTCATTCACTATCATGAGAACAGCAAGGGGAATACCCACCTCCATGATTCAGTCACCTCCCACCACGCCTCTCCACCAACACTGGGGATTCAACATGAGATTTGGGTGGGGACACACAGCTAAACTATATCAATATTTTTGCATCACTTCAAACCTTACCTCCATTCTTGCCTTTTTCCTGGTTTCTTCTTCTCCCATCGTCCTCAAGCCGTCTAAGCTTTCAATTAATTCATTCATGTAGTAAAATGGCTTATCTACTATAATCCAGGAAGACGCTTACAATAGGCAAGTAAATAATTCCTATCCTCTTCTGTCAAATAGTTGTAGTCTATTCGGCGGGCTGGGGTGGGGTATGTTTTATTTACTTATTATTTACTTATTTATTTATTTTTGAGACCAGGTCTCACTCTGTCACCCAGGCTAGAGAACAGTGGCATGAATATGACTCGCTGCAGCCTTGACCTCCTGGGTTCAAGTGATCCTTCCACCTCAGCCTCCTGAGTAGCTGGGACCACAGGCATGGACCACCACGCTCAGCTAACTTTTTAAGTTTTTGTAGAGTTGGGGATCCACTGTGTTGCCTAGGCTGGTCTTAAACTCCTGGGCTCAAGTAATCTTCCCACCTCAGCCTCCCAAAGTCCTGGGATTACAGTTATGGGCCACCGTTGTGTCCAGAATTGGTGGGTTCTTGGTCTAACTGACTTCAAGAATGAAGCCGCGGACCCTTGCGGTGAGTGTTACAGTTCTTAAAGGCGGCGTGTCCGGAGTTTGTTCCTTCTGATGTTCGGATGTGTCTGGAGTTTCTTCCTTCTGGTGGGCTCATGGGCTCGCTGGCTTCAGGAGTGAAGCTGCAGACCTTCGCGGTGAGTGTTACAGTTCTTAAGGCTGCGCGTCTGGAGTTGTTCGTTCCTCCCTGTGGGCTCGTGGGCTCGCTGGCTTCGGGAGTGAAGCTGCAGACCTTCCCGGTGAGTGTTACAGCTCTTAAGGCGGCGCGTCTGGAGTTGTTTGTTCCTCCCTGTGGGCTCGTGGGCTCGCTGGCTTCCGGAGTGAAGCTGCAGACCTTCGTGGTGAGTGTTACAGCTCATAAAAGCAGTGTGGACCCAAAGAGTGAGCAGTAGCAAGATTTATTGCAAAGAGCAAAAGAACAAACCCTTCACAGCATGGAAGGGGACCGGAGCGTTGCCACTGCTGGCTCCGGCAGCCTGCTTTTATTCTCTTATCTGGCCCCACCCACATCCTGCTGATTGGTAGAGCCCAGTGGTCTGTTTAGACAGGGCACTGGTTGGTGCATTTACAATCCCTGAGCTAGACACAAAGGTTCTCCAGGTCCCCACCAGATTAGCTAGATACAGAGTGTCTATTGGTGCATTCACAAACCCTGAGCTAGATACAGGGTGCTGATTGGTGTGTTTACAAACCTTGAGCTAGATACAGGGTGCTGATTGGTGTGTTTACAAACCTTGAGCTAGATACAGGGTGCTTATTGGTGTGTTTACAAATCTTGAGCTAGATACAGAGTGCTGATTGGTGTATTTACAATCCCTTAGCTAGACATAAAGGTTCTCCAAGTCCCCACCAGACCCAGGAGCCCAGCTGGCTTCACCCAGTGGATCCGGCACCGGGGCTGCAGGTGGAGCTTCCTGCCAGTCCCGCACCGTGCGCCCGCACTCCTCAGCCTTTGGGTGGTCGATGGGACTGGGCACCGTGGAGCAGGAAGCGGCGCTCATCGGGGAGGCTTGGGTGGCACAGGAGCCCACGGAGGGTGTGGGAGGCTCAGGCATGGCGGGCTGCAGGTCCCGAGCCCTGCCCTGCGGGAAGGCAGCTAAGGCCCGGCGAGAAATCGAGCGCAGCGCCGGTGGGCTGGCACTGCTGGGGGACCCAGTACACTCTCCGCAGCCGCTGGCCCGGGTGCTAAGCCCCTCATTGACCAGGGCGGCAGGGCCGGCCGGCTGCTCCCAGTGCGGGGCCCGCCAAGCCCACGCCCACCCGGAACTCCAGCTGGCCCGCAAGCGCCGCGCGCAGCCCCGGTTCCCGCTCGTGCCTCTCCCTCCACACCTCCCCGCAAGCTGAGGGAGCCGGCTCCGGCCTTGGCCAGCCCAGAAAGGGGCTTCCACAGTGCAGCGGTGGGCTGAAGGGCTCCTCAAGTGCCGCCAAAGTGGGAGCCCAGGCAGAGGAGGCGCCTAGAGCGAGCGAGGGCTGTGAGGACTGCCAGCACGCTGTCACCTCTCCCCGTGGCTGGCCTCTTGGGGGTTATAGATACACAAGAAAATCATCTCATGAGAGAACTTTTCTTTTTTTTGAGACGGAGTCTCGCTCTGTCGCCCAGGCTGGAATGCAGTGGCACGATCTTGGCTGACTGCAAGCTCCACCTCCCGGGTTCACGCCATTCTCCTGCCTCAGCCTCTGGAGTAGCTGGGACTACAGGCACCCACTACCACACCCTGCTAATTTTTTGTATTTTTAGTAGAGACGGGGTTTCACCCTGTTAGTCAGGATGGTCTCGATCTTCTGACCTCGTGATCCTCCCGTCTCGGCCTCCCAAAGTGCTGGGATTACAGGCGTGAGCCACCGTGCCCGGCGAGAGAACTTTTTTAGAAATACAGCTTTAGAAGTAAGTGTGCTAGTGATGTGAAGGCATGCGTGTAGATGAGATAAGAACCCATCTGACCAAAACCTTTCTTGGCAGTAACACATGATTTGGAAACTTACTTTTCCTTTGTTTTGTATCAAAACTATCTGGAACTACATTTCATTCTTAACAGACTCATTTTCTTTTAGGGCTAATTTGATAAGCAAATTGAAATGAAGACTGCTAATGACTTAAATGTGATCCATGTTTTAGCGGAATACTCTAATATCTGCAAAGCCTCATTCCGCTCACGATCTTCATTTGATTTGCAAGAAGAAGCCACTCTGATAATTGATGATGATCAGAGTTACACAGTAGTAATCTTTAAGAGTCTCTTTTTGGGTAACTTTTTGTGCTTACAAAGAGTGGTCTTTATAGAGAAACATGTTCAGACATGCACTGACCTTTCACCCAGGAGGAGCTATCCCAAGTCTTATCTATCCCAATTAGATCCTCTGTTTTGGAATTTGGAATTTGTATCTGGAGAGAGTAGATCAGTGAGCATCAGGCATTTAATTTGTAATGTATGTAAAGTTGGGGATGAAATGACAATGACAGTGTTTAAGTAGAATACAGAAAGCATGATTGGTAAGGAGAGACAGAGAAAGAGAGAGACAGGCTGAAAGAAGTGCCAAAAGATACTGTGGTTTCAGCAAGAGAGGGAATGTGAAAGAAGCTGTCCTGTTTTTTTGACTGTTACGAAATTCTTAATGCTGTTTCCCCATAAGGTCTGGTTGTTCTTATATCTGATGGCGTAAGATAGACCCATCTGCCTCCTGTTTTAGAAGCACTTTACTCATCTTTACCTGGTGGAACAGGATGTTGGATCCAGAGAAAAGAACAGATATGAGTAAACTCTAGTGTTTAGGAAAATGAGCTCATGTTCTGTGCACTCCCTTTCCTGTGCATCCTCTTGCTGTCAATTTTCTGACACTCTGTATCAAGGCAAAGGAAATGACTGTGGGGAAAATGACCAAGTGGCTGGTTTTAGGCTGCCTCTCATCCAGGCCCTTATCTGGAAGGCCAAAGGAAACTTTTGAACTCACATGTTGTCCAGGCCAGTTCACCAGGATTATACCTGATAGAGCTTTGTGGATAAAGCCATGGGTAGAAATAAAGTATATTTGTCTGAATTAGCCACATTCTGCTGCATATGCCCCAAGGCAGTATGGTATGATGTCTATGGTCACTGTGAGACTTAAGATTCTAGCCAACTCTCTTTCCATCAGAGACTATCTTCTCTGTGGATAAACCTGCTTCACATTGCCTTAATAAGATTACATGTGCATGAATTAAAATGTGCATGAATCAAACTCACATCACCCTCCAAGGGAAACTATCCCAATATCTCATACAGTTACTGAAACCAGAACCAAGTCCAGGATCTCTGGATTATGTACTATTCTTATTATCAAGTCCAGAGGTAGCTACCTCAGAGTGTAGTGACGTATCCTAAAAATGACAATTTATCCACTCCCAGTGCATACAGTGTACAATGGTGGGAAAAGATTGGAATAACGAATAAAAATTCCCATTCAGAAAAGAGAATGGTAAACAACACATTGATTTGTGGCATATATCACATTCCCTTGGACAGGAATATTGAGGGCTCAATATCTGACAAATGAAATGAATCAATTTATCAGACAGTATTGGACTTGTAACTTAGGAGGCTTTCCATTTGTCTATTGTCCTTCATGTTCCCTGTTTTCACTCTGTGGGAAAATCTCCTTTGTCCATTGCCCTTCGTAGGAATGTCTGCAATGCTCTTAGGGAATAATTCACATTTGAATACAGGATAGGGGGAAGCGGGGGAAGGCAGACTGTAAAGTACATCCTGTTGCCTTAATAGTCTATATTTGAGGAATGGGGAAATAGAGGTTTCCTCAGGGATTAATAGGTTGGTAATCAGAGTCAAAGATTATCTAGACTGTTAAATCTGAGATTTACTTCTGTCTCTGGGCTCTGTTCACCCTTCAGTCAACCCACAACCTTAGATTTAATGGCCTTTGTTTCCATCTTGGTTTCTTTCTTTGCAAGCATATTGAGACTGTTTTATAAGAAAAGCTCTTCTTAGAATGCTAGAGGGGTTTATTATTGTTGTTGTTATTATTTGTAGATATTAACACCCTCGCTCAGAAATAGGTAGAATAACTAGTCAAAAACTCAGTAAAGGCATAGATGATATGAATCATATTATCTACCACCTTGACTTCACTGATATTTATAGATCACTACAGCCAACAATTGTAGAACGCACCTTATTTTCCTGTTTTTCTCCCCCACAAAACATGAATGTAGAATGTACATTATTTTCAAGGGCAGATATTACATTCAACAAGATAGAACACATTCTGGGCCATAAATTAAGTTTCAATACATTTAAAAGGATTGAAGCCACCTGTGTACATTCTTTGACCACGAGGAAACTAAATTAGACCTCACTAACAATAAGATATCTAGGAAAACATTGCACATTTGGAAATTAGACAATATTCTTCTAAGAGACACATAAATAAAAAATCACAAGAGAAAACAGAAAAAAATCACAAGAGAAAACAGAAAAAATATATTTTGTATGAATGGTTGTTAAAATATCAAATACTGAAAGTTGTGGAATGTAACTAAAGCAGTGTTTACAGAGGAATATGTACATTTCAATACTTATATTAGAAAAGAAGACTGGTCTCAAAGCAATAACTTAAATCAGGGATTAGCAAATTACGGCCTGCATGCTTATTCAGGCTTGTCACTTATGTTGTAAAAAAAAAAAAAAGAAGAAGTTTAATTGGGACATATATGGTCTATGGCTACTTTTGTGCTACATTGGCAGAGTTGAAGATTTGCAACACAGGCCATATGGCCTTCAAAGCATGAAATATTTAATATATATACCTTTAAAGGAAAAGTTTATTGATCCTTAACCTAAAGTTCTACCTTAATAAGTAGATAAAGAAGACCAAAATATATCCAAAGTAAGTAGAAGGAAGGAATTAAAAATAAGAGCATGTCACAACAAAATAGAAATCAGAGAAGGAAAAGAGACAATACCTAAGCTGAAGAGTGATTTAATATCTGAGTAATCAGGTCTGGAAGAGTAATGTTGACAAGACACAGGGGTCTGCTACTCAAGTAAACTTCTTGGAAATCATGTGAGTTGATACCCAGAGAACAATCACTGAGTCTCTTACAGAGAAACTGTTGTCCTTAAAAACTCCAGCAAACAAAAAGGGGGCACAACATCTGGTAGCTTTGTTCAGGTATCCTAGAGACTTCATGCATCTCATGGGGATCCTCATTAATTCACTATGGAAGATAACTTGAAGCCATTTTTGAGTGAGGTCTTTACCAATAACAGGTCCTACAAACTATCCAACAAGCTGCATATATTTCTCTCACTAGACTGATAAAGGGAAAAAATAGCATAATGAAAGAGAAGTTATGGATACAGATCTTACAATTTCCTTAAACTGACACAAGAAGATACAGAAAATCTGAATAGCATTTGTTTTGTTTTGTTTTGTTTTGTTTTTTGAGACGGAGTCTCCCTCTGTAGCCCAGGCTGGAGTGCAGTGGTGTGATCTCCGCTCACTGCAAGCTCCACCTCCCGGGTTCACGCCATTCTCCTGCCTCAGCCTCCCGAGTAGCTGGGACTACAGGTGCCCGCCACTACGCCCGGCTAATTTTTTATATTTTTAGTAGAGACGGGGTTTCACCATGTTAGCCACGATGGTCTCGATCTCCTGTCCTCGTGATCTGCCCGCCTCGGCCTCCCAAAGTGCTGGGATTACAGGCGTGAGCCACTGCGCCTGGCCCTGAATAGCATTTTTCTATCAAAGAAACTGAACTCCCCCCACCCCCAAACTCCAGGTCTAGACAATTTAACTGGTTTATTTTATCAATCTTTAAAAGAAGAAGTAACATTAATCTTATACAAATACTTTTAAAAAATATAGGTAAGGAAATTCCTTAATTCATTTTTAAGAGCCCACCATAACATCAAAACTCATCAAAGGCATTACCAGAATAAAACTACGGGTGAATATTCCTCCTAAATTTTTATGCAAAGAGCTTTAACAAAATATTAGCAAATTTAATCTAGCAATATATAAAAAGAACAACACATTGTGGCTGAGTATATTTTATCCAAGGTTGGCTAAATACTTGAAAATCAATCAATGCAAATCACCATATTATAGCTTTAAAGGTGAAAAGAATGATAATTTCAATGGACTAAGAAGAAGTTATTTGAAGAAAGTCAAATACCACAAGTTCTTACTTATAAGTGGGAGCTAAATAGTGTGTACACATAGACACAGAGAGCAGAATAATAGACATTGGAGACTCGGAAAATGAGAGGGTGGAAGGGGGTGAGGGTGACAAATTGCCTATTGGGTACAATGTACACTATTCAGGTGATGGTTACACTAAAAGCCCAGACTTCACCACTATGCAATAATACATCCATGTAACAAAACTGCACTTGTACCCTATAAATCTATACAAATAATTTTTAAAAAGCATTTGAAAAATTCCAATATCCACTCCTAAAAGAAATAAAACATTTCAGAAAATTACCCTTAATTTGATAAAGAACATATGCAGAAAACCTGGTATCATACTTAATGATGACATTGTGCATATTTTCCCTTGAAGATGGAGAACAAGGCAAGAATGCTCTACCCAGCATCATCCTGGAGATCTCGGCCATTCACAAGGCCTTTGGCAACTAAAAGAAATAAATTTAAAAATCACTAGAAAGGAGAAAGTAAAACTGTCTCTAAAGACATATTACATGATTCTTTATATTAGATAATCCTAACAAATCTACCTCCATGACAAGAACTAATAAATGAATTTAGCCAAGTAGAAGAATACAAGGTCAATAAACAAATGTAAAATTAAATATGAAAAGTTATGCCATTCAAAAATCACATTGACAAAGGACACCTGAGAATCAACTGAAAAAATTATATGCAAGTCCTTTATGCTGAAAGTGATAAAATATTGAATAACAGAAACTACAGATATTAATAAATGTGACTGTATACCTTGTTCATCTTGTTCATGGATCAAAAGTCTCAATATTGGTAAGACAATTCTTCCCCTATCATCTATAGATTCTAAACAGTTCTAAACCCTAATTCTAGAATAAATTTTTATAAAAATTGATTAGCTTATTCTGAATTCTACATAGAAATTCAAAGAACCAAGAACATAAAAACAAATTTTGAAAAAGAAAATACAACTCTACTTGTTATTTACACACAAGGACCATCTTTATGTATAAAGGCCTTTAAATACCTCAGTGGTTAATTTGGTGGGTGCAGAATTTGTGGCTGTGTATGTTTTATTAAAGAATCCAACATTGATTAACTATTTGAAAATCAATCAATGCAAATCACCATATTACAGGTTTAAGGGTGAAAAAACATGATAATTTCAATGGATTAAGAAAAATCATTTGAAGAAATCAAATACCACAACACAAGTTCTAGTTTACAAGAATTTTCTGCCCTCACCAAATCAACTACAGAGGTAATTAAATTTGCACAATATACACAATTATAATGATAATTTATAAGTAATTATAGCTTTTTAGTTACACTTTGCCTTCTCTTTTGTATCTCCCTTTTATCTTGGGAAGCAGACTACATCAGGTTCTCAGCACCTTAGTTATTATGAAGGATATTTATTTATTTTTAATATTTCTTCTCAATGACACATAAGGTAGGAAAGAATGATTGATTGAACATTACAGCAGAGGACTCAAAACACTGAATGTGAGATAGAGATGTATAGAAAGGCATAAGAACACTATCAAAAGCATTTAAAATAAATATTGCCTACTCTAAAATTTTATTAAAGTCTAATCCCTCATATCAGGGGATGGGATATTTTGACCAAAAACAGTAAAACTTCCTAAGAATGCTTTTTCAGATATTACTCTTCCTAGAATCCCACTCATCAGCACTATTCAGAACAGAGTTGGGCTAAAAGCTAGGCTTGTTTATCGTTTAATTTTTACCATATCACCTGAATTTTTTCAAATATCAGGTAAACTGGAAAAATACTTACAGGAAACAAAATTGAAAGCTATCCTACAACTATTTTCTTTTTAGAACTGTGTCCATGAGAAGCAATTAATTTTGTATAATCACATTTTTATCTTTTGACATTTATATAATTGCTTTTAAGTCAGTATTATGTTTTAGAAGATGAAAGTATGTTACCCTACTACCTAAATTTGACAGAGATGAACACATACTGTGAAATGAATCACAAGAAACTAAGTATTTAATTGTACTGGATTTGTAATCTTTTCAACTCTTTGATTTCGGATGGACTGAAATTTCAGTGTTCTAATGTCCCCAGTGTAATCTTGTTTCATTTAATTTTGGTGACATAACTTGGCTCGAATAAATAATGTAGATTATAAGAATATAAGCATTTTGGTGAAGGTGCCTCTAAATTTCAGAAACAGAGATGGCACTCTGTAAGAATTACAGATGCTACATTGTGTTATTAGGTTGCAAGGAAATTAGAGTATTAAAATCATGGCAGAGGATATTTCATAAAATACAATTTTTTTCCATACTAGAAAAAAATATTTTCTTAAGCTTACTCCTAATTTATTTATGTAGGTTTCAATTTTTTATTAATTCTTATAGAAATATATGATCATTTAAAATGTTACCTCTTAACCAGAATTTATATTCCAAAGAGACAAGTTTAATAATCATTTAAAAAATTAATAGAACATGATTTCGATTTATCTCTAGCTTTTATGTGTCTTTTTATCTTATCTAATTAATCCTCTTTTGCTAGACATGTAATTGCCTCTAATGTTTGCTCTTGCAGAAATAAATTATCTGAGTAAAGAGGTGTACATGTTTTACAATGAGATAGATTTTGTCCAGTTGTGCTCCAAAGAAGCTATACTAGTTCATACTCCTGCCCAAAATGTATAAGGATCATTTTCCCTGACATATTTACCAACAATAAGTTCTACCAGACTTTGCCTACTCTATAGGCAAAATATAATATCTTACTCTTATTGTATTAATCATTTATCTTTCTTTAATTCTTTGATGGGCTGGATAATTTTTTTTTTTTTTTTGAGACAGAGCCTCACTCTGTTGTCCAGGCTGGAGGGCAGAGGCACAATCTCAGCTCACTGCAACCTCTGCTTCCCGGGTTCAAGAAATTCTCATACCTCAGACTCCCAAATGGCTGAGATTACAGGTGCATGTTACAATGCCTGGCTAGTTTTTTAATTTTTAGTAGAGACAGGGTTGGCCAGGCTGGTCTCGAACTCCTGGCCTCAACTGATCCACCCACCCCGGCTGGCCGGCTGAGTAATCTTTATATGTTTATGAAACCTATTTGATTTTTTCATTTCAATTGACTGTTCATGTCCATTGGCTTTTTTGGTCTAGTGTGTTTTCTTTTTCTCATTGATTTTTAAGGAGTTCTGTGTAATGTTAGATATAGTTCTTTTATGTTCTTTTTAGAATGGGGCATAATATTTTACACAATTACTGGTAAATAGATAATGCTATTTAAAACTTTTAAAAATTCGTTTAAATAATTTTGTTTAAACAAATTTATCAGAATTGTTAAATAAAATTTGTCTAGCATGAAATTGTGGATAATTTCATAAGAAGGAAATGAACTATATATTCTTTGAATGTCTGTTTTGTGTTAGAAACTCTGCTATGTGCTGTTGTGGGGTGGGGGGAGGGGGGAGGGATATCATTAGGAGATACACCTAATGTTAAATGACGAGTTAATGGGGGCAGCACACCAACATGGCGCATGTATACATATGTAACTAACCTGCATGTTGTGCACACGTACCCTAAAAGTATAATAAAAGAAATAAAATAAATAAATTAAAATTAAAAAAAGAAACTCTGCTATGTGCTATCTTATACATTTTCTGTATAAATATTTTCAGAAATCCAGTGAGGTCGTTATTTTTAATCTCTAGTTTTATAAATGAGAAAACAGAGTCAAATAATTTAGGCAAATTGCTCAAGAAAAACAGCAAGTAAGTAGATGAACTGGTAATTTAACATAGATCTCTCTTATTCTAAAACCCATGTGTTTCAGACTCAACCATGATTTATAACCTCAATTCCGTCTTGCTCATAGAAGACAGTCAAGGAACACTGGTTGAAAAATTAAATGAATATTAGAAGTATTGTCAAGTAGATCAGCTTGACTGAAAAGTGTCCAAATACTGGGTAATGAGAATTACCATTTGCTTGCCACTACTGTCAAGCAAGTGAAGCATACTTGAGATAGAATGGAGTCATGCCACAGCCAATCATCTCCATTCATTCCACGAAGTATTCTGAGAGAAGAGCCAAGAGAACTAACATATACTAGGGAAAAAATTTCACCACTAAAGTTGTCTATTTTTCTCACCTCTATTGAGATAAAACTGATAGATAAAAATTGTATCTATTTATAGTATACAATGAGATGTTTTGATATATGTATACATTGTGAAATGATTATCAAAGTCAATCAAATTGACATATCATCAAGCCAAATATTTACCATTTTCTGTGGTAAGAACATTTAAGATCTACCTTCTTAGTAAACTTCAAGTATACAATACAGTATTATTAGCTATGGTCAGCATTCTGTACATTAGCTCTCCAGAATTTATTCATCCTGCCTAACTGTGACTTTGTTCTCTTTGATCAACATTTCCACCTTTCCCCCACCATGCAGTCCCTAAAAGCCACCATGCTACTGTCTGCTTTTCTAAGCTCAACTTTTTTAGATTCATCCTATAACTCAGATCATAGAGTATGTGTCTTTCTGTGCCTGGCTTACTTCACTTGGCATATCTTCCAGGTTCATCCATATTGTCGCAAATTGCAAGATTTAATTTTTAAGGCTGAATAATATTCCACTGTGTGTGTGTGTGTGTGTGTGTGTGTATGACTCACGCCATATTTTCCTTATTCATGCATCTGTCGATTGATTCCATATACTGCCTACTGTGAATAATGCCATAATAAACATGGTAGTGCAAACTTCTCTTTCAGATACTGATTTTTATATATATAAAATATATCTATAATATATACAAAATATATCTATTATATATAAAATATACCTATAATACATATAAAATATATCTTATATATAAAACACATCTTTACTATACATAAAATGTATCTTATATTTAAAATTCATCTATAATATATATAAAATATATCTTATAAATAAAATGCATCTATAATATATACAAAATATATCATATATAAAATACATCTATAATATATATAAAATATATCATAAAATACATGTATTATATATAATACATAAATATATCTATAATACATAAAAAACATGTATAATATATAAAATATATATCACATATAAAATATATATTGTATATAATATATAGTATATAAATATATATTATATATCATATATATTATATATAATATATAGTATATAAAATATATATTATATGTAATATATAGTATATAAAATGTATATTATATGTAATGTATAGTATATAAAATATATTATATATAATGTATAGTATATAAAATATATCTTATATAATATATAGTATATAAAATATATCTTATATAATATATAGTATATAAAATATATCTTATATAATATATAGTATATAAAATATA